>NC_000008.11:38647981-38951011 GCF_000001405.40 Homo sapiens
TTCACCCTTAGAACACAGCAGAGAAATGTGGCAGAATGTGTCCATGGAGAGGGAGTGAGTTTGAAGAGAGAAAACAAGGGTATACTTGAAAGAGAAGAAGCATTCAGGGAAGGAAAGAGGGGGCAAGATGCTGAAATGCCCAAGCTCCATAAAGGACAGCAGAGAGGCATGAACTTCCCTCTTAAGGACTTTCTGGGTGCTGTGTGAACTCTTCCTGGAGAGCTTAGGTCTTCCCAGCTAAGACAATGATTGCATAACCTCTCATTTTCAGCAGACTAATGGGCTGCATTAACAGCCTTTTTTATTAGCTTTTTATGAGATGATGATCTAGTCCTGGCTCTTTGGTAGTTAGTCAAATTGTCAAGTTGCTCATAAACCAAGACAAATTAGAAATGACCATCCTCTCTTCTGAAGGAGTCTGGCTTGCCCACTGGCCATCTTTTGAGTGTTCAGACAGGAAGGCAGTGGTGGTGGATAGAGCGGAGGTGATCAGGTTGTTCCCTAGAGCTTTATGCTCTTTTAATTCAACAACCCCAGGGATAAAGGAAGAATGTGATTCTGGACTCAGGAGCAAGGGGCCAAAAACAGAAGCCAGGAGTTATGATTTAATGGAATTTAATTAAGTACTATTCTCGTTTGAGGAAGATTTTCTAAGTCATTAACCTGTAATCTTCCTATTACAACCAATTGCCCCCAGGGAGAAAGGGAGAAAGTTTCTTCTTCCATTAGAAGGAATGAAGCAAAAGGACTTCAGGAATTTAATACCCAAATTCCCCTTTGTGATGATGTCTCAGAACCCCACAAGTTTAGGAAACCCTAGGGCAGAGATTTGGAGTTTAGTCAGAAATGGTATGTTAAATTTGGGTTCAAAGATGGTTTCCAAATGAATTATGTGAGGTAAGAGCTAAAAGAGTTTGGAGATTATTTCTCTAAAAGTGCCTCATTTTTGTAGTCGAGGATTGGGAAGGAAAAGCCATCTGTCTTACCCACAGGGCAGAATGGCAGAGACCCACCTGGCTCTGTGACTCCTATTCCCTTCCTACCTTGTTACATGGCCTTTCTCCCATGGAAGCTAAACATCCTATTTGGCTGGGCAACCATATCAAGGAGGCACACTTTCTTTTTCCCTTGGTAGTCCCCTCCTTCCTTCTATTCCTCTCCTTGATCACTGCATCCTACTTATCCTGTTACATTCTTACCCATCCCATATAGCAAGGATAGAGCAGGGTGCTTTGCATTTGTATCAATGCATAAAAGAAGGACAAAACCCAAGAGATTCCATCTACGGCTTGAGATGCTCAGTCTTTCCCAATGCTTGCTGCAATGGCTTGTCTTAATTTTGAAAACACTAGACACTCACAACAGCTAAATCCTGCAGCTACTTATGCTTGTTCCTTCCTTATTCTGCCCTTTCTCCACGTTGTATATGTATCCATGTGGCTTTGGTGCTGGGCAGGTGAAACACTGATTGATGGAGACTGCCGCCCTCTAACTCCAGAACAGATCTAGAAATGGTGGGGAAAAGCTGCGCTGAAGGGTATCCCTACTCAGTAGAATGTCCCCAGCTCTGTCCGTTACCAGGAAGAGGCCACTGGACACAACTTTTTATCTTTTTACAGAGGGAGACTAGAGCCATACAGAAGGTGAATGATTGTCCAAGATCAAAGTTAGGGACACTCTTGGGAATAGGATTCAGATCCTCTGACTTTGTACCCTGGTTCTCTTTCCACTACACTTCACTTTTTAAAATCAATTATCAATGCACTATAGCTGGCAGAATTCCAAATTAATGGAATCTCAAATTAATAGAATTCTTCAGGTATTATTATTAATTTACTAGATTTTTAGAGCTATCTTTCCAAAAAGTTCAAGACATACTACACGTAGACATTGAGTCTTGTTATGAAAAATAAAGGAGATAACAAAATTACGTGGAAAGACCAGAAAGCGTTGATTCATTTTTTCTTAATTAAGAAAATATTAATTCATGCTTTTATCCAACTGGGTTTATGGAGGGCTTGCTATACTTCAGCACAGCATGTTTGCTGCTGAAGGAGATAGAAAAATGTAAAACGATATTTCCTCTTCATGGGCTTATACTTAATTAGGGAAACACACAGAAGGAAAGATCAGTGGAAGCTTGAGAGGTCAGGAAGGGCTTCATAGATGAAAATAAACTTGAGGTAGACCTCAGAACGGGGAACAGATTTGGATTGACCTGAAGAGAACAGGGGATTCCACGCAGGAGGAAAAGCTGGGGTCAGAATAAGCCTGACTTCTGTTAGTTAGCCTTGCTGAGCAGTCGTATTTGCTTTGGGAAAGGAACAGGAGATAAGTTGAGTAGGTAGGGTAGGGCTAGAGCATTGAATGCCAGGAGAAGGTAGAGGGTATGAATGGAAATGGGATGAGAGCCTAAGCAAGGTTTAATTTAAAACTTCCAGCAAACTGAGATCAAAAGAACGTGGCCTTCTAGCCAGTCTTTCCATGGAGACAACTGAGGAGCCTGGAGTGGGCAAAGGACCCTCGGGCTTGCGGTGGCCACGGGCACCCCAGAGGGACGGAGGGCGCCATACCGCGGTTGCCATGTTCCTGCATGTGTTTGAAATCTGGGCTGACAAGAAGAGCTGGACAATTTTGCTCCGTTACGTATTGAATTCTCTTCTCTGTGGTACAGGATCCCCTTGAAGCGTGACAGCTGCAATGACTTCCAGATGTCCGCCTCCTGTCTCCTAGCCGACTGGGGTGGATGTGGTAAACTCCGCGATGGAAACCAAAACCCCCACCAGATGTGCCATGTCAACGTCAGCCTCGCGCACATCTGGCTTCAATGCCGGCCGCCAGCCCCAGAACAAATGGCGGCTTTCCCGCTGTATTCAGCTAGTCAGCGTTCCCCGGTTAAAAGGCGCTGGGGCAGGAACGGCCGGGGCCTTCGGGGGCGCGACGCGGCGACGCCCAGCCTGGGAAGGGGCGCGGGGCCCGTGTTGGCCGCGGTGGGTCCCGGCTCCCTGGAGGCTGAGCCCCGGGCGCTCTTTCCTCGCGGCGCTGCCGTGGGGTGGCCGGGAGGGCAGAACGAGGGGCTGCGGGACGGTGTTCGGAAGAAAATCGTGCGAGTTTAAAAACATCCAAAGTGAGCCGAGCTGGGCCCCAAGCCTCGGCCTCGCGCACTCGCCAGGCCCAGGAGGCGGAGCAGGCGTCGGGACGGCGGCGACCAGAGCCTGCTGGACAAGCGGGGCCGGGTGCCTCAGCCCGGCCTCCTCCTGGCCTCCCTCTCCCCAACTCACGCATCCACCAGCAGGACCCCCTACAGGGCAGGCGCAGGAGTGAATCTTAGCTGTCATTACTACTGAGGTGGTATTTTTCTAAATAAAAAAATCAGACAAATGGATATCCTGAAAACAGGACAGAGCGTGTGAAACCTGGACTCAGGGAAGGATGGTGGCCACACCCAGGCCCGCTTGTCCACGGCAGCCGGCAGGAGCGGGCACTATCATGTTTACGAGCTGCCCTTCTACCTACCCACGAAGTCTCATTTAGTCACAACAGATGCTGTATATTGGAAAAGGCCCCCAACTGAGCACCAAAAGACTTAGGTGTGGGTCCTGGTTCCAAATGAGCCAGGAGATATGGGGTATATCTTGGTTCTTCCTTTATAAATTGGAATATATATCTATTTCTTTTTACTTCATAGAGTTCTCTGACTCTTAATTGAGCAAAGTTTACAAAGAGAAGTGAATTAGATCTAGAAATAGAATTCAGGTTCCACCGATAACTGGCTGTATAATTTTATGCTACCCACCTCGGGGAAAAGGAAAATGAAAAACGGCTCTGAAAAGTATGATGTGCTATACACATGCAGGCTTTATTACATTTATTGTTTGAAAAGAGAAAACTGAGGCTCAGGGAAATTAACCGACTTGCTCCAAAGCCACGTAGTAGACAGACATGTTTCATTATTTACTTTGGTTTGGCCTGGGTTGACACATAATTAGGGTTTTAATCAGTCACCTTATGGCTTTGCAGTTCATCCTTCCTTCT
This sequence comes from Homo sapiens, assembly GCF_000001405.40. Lineage (NCBI taxonomy): Eukaryota > Metazoa > Chordata > Mammalia > Primates > Hominidae > Homo > Homo sapiens. Next base: position 38,652,017 of record NC_000008.11, read on the forward strand.
GTCTTCAGCTTTAAGGCCGGAGCCGTTTCTCTCAGCTGACTTGGTCACTGAGGAAGGAGGAATCTCATGTTAGAGGCCCAAATCAAAACCATTCTGCATAAAGCCACTGGAGTGCTAATTCAGTGGCTTCTCTGGATTCTGCCCACAGAATTTCCATGAAGTAGTTGCTCCCTTCTGGGTATATAGCCCATGACAAATGTTCAATGTGTCTCTGCCCTGGCTGTTCAATCTCATCCCTTCTCATTCTCTCTGGCTCCCTTAAATCTGCTTGTCATTCCTCCAAAAACATCATCCTTTTGTTTCCACTTCTCTGTGGAAATTTCTCTCTCTCAATCTCTCTCCCTCTCTCTGTAACTTTCCCTGTTGGTTACCTTGCATACTTGACCCATTCTCTAAGTTAACTTAGCCAGGTGCATTCTTTTTGCCATCTTGTATTAAAAGAAAAAATTTATTTATTTATTATTTATTTATTTTTACAAAGCACCAACCACTGAAGAATAAAAAATTAATTTTGACTGAAGTGATGTTTAAAAGCTTTTAAAATTCAAACATTACTACTAGACTGTAACAACAATAAGAAAAACAGCAATCCTTTGACCACTCCCAGTTACCCCCCAGCCAGAAACAATTACTTTCAACTCTTTTATCTGTTTCTTCTTGGTATTTCTGTCTTTATTTATAAATCACAGCTTATCCAGTTTTTCTTGGTTTACTGATTTTAGGAATTGTCTTTTGACTTCCTATCATGGAAAATGTGACCATATAGCATACTAGTGGAGAGTATGGACTCTGGAGAGAAATTACCTGGTTTAAATCCCAGGTCTAATACTTACTAATTGTGTGAGTTTGTACAAGTTGCTTGACTGCTGTGGGTCTCGATTTCCTCCTGTGTAAAATGGATGATAATGTCAGAGGTGTTTGAACCACAGCAACTCCATCTTGAATAGGAGCTGGGTAAAATGAGGCTGACACCTAATGTGCTGCGTTCCCAGACGGTTAAGGCATTCTAAGTCACAGGATGAGATAGGAGGTTGGCATAAGATACAGGTCATAAAGACCTTGCTGATAAAACAGGCTGCAATAAAGAAGGCAGCCAAAACCCACCAAAATCAAGATGGTGATGAGAGTGACCTCTAGCTGTCCTCACTGCTATACTCCCACCAGCTCCATGACAGTTTACAAATGCCAGGCAACATCAGGAAGTTGCCCTATATGGCCTAAAAAGGTGAGGCATGAATAATCCACCCCTTGTTTAGCATATCATCAAGAAATAACCATAAAAATGGGCAACCGACAGCCCTTGGGGCTGCTGTGTCTATGGAGTAGCCATTCTTTTATTCCTTTACTCTCTCAGTAAACTTGCTTTCACTTTATGGACTCATCCTGAATTCTTTCTTGCGCAAGACCCAAGAACCCTCTCTTGGGGTCTGGATCAGGACCGCTTTCTTGTAACAATAATATTATCTTCCTCATAGAGTGACTATGAAGATTAAATGTTGAATATATAATGGGCTTAGAATAATGTCTGGTGCACAGTAAGCGCTATATAAATATTACTTATTATCATCATTAAACTGGCCTGCACACACTTTCCCTCTGCTCAACCTCCCAACATAGTTATGCCACCATTTTGGGTAAAATCAACATTAAATATTTATTTTATGACTATGTAAATATTATTCCCAGGTAAGCCACATAGAATCCTATAATTATGTTTCCTTTTTCATTCAGCCTTTTGTTTTCCCTGGAATTAATAGTTTTCTGTTTTTGTATTTTGTTTAGTTTTCTATGTACCTATTATTAATTCATCCACAAAATCTCCTGAAAATACATTCAAATACAGGTATTCTCTTGGTTTCATTATTTTCATTGGCCGCCCTTCCTAGAGCTTTTTGGCTTTCCTGTTCCTGTCTGGACTCTTTGCTCTGTGGCCTGATTCACAGCTCTAGCCCTGTGAATAGGACATTCTACGGGTCCCTTCAACATCATCTGGGATTTATCTTTGTTGGAGTCCTGTTGCCTGGATTATACATATGGTGGAAACTGCTGCTTATCCTCCCAAATCCTTTCTTTCCTTCTTTCATTGTAATAGAAATGTAGCTATATGAGGTTGCCTAACTAAACGCTACACTTCCCAACTCACCCTTAAAGCTAGGGATTACCACATAACTAGATTTTGCCAAATAAATGCTAGTGGAAGCAACTGTATATTACTTCCTGGCCTGGTCCATAAAAACCTACACACTTTTCCTCTGGTGAACTGGAAAATGAAAGTGCTTGCAATCAAATTTTCATCATGCAGAAAAGGATAATGCCCTAGGATAGTCATCTTCAAACTTTAGCATGCATAAGAATCACGTGGAAGTCTTGTTAAAACACAGATTTCTGCCCTCTATGCCTAGAATTTCTGATTCATTAGGTCTGGTGTTGGGACCTGAGAATTTGCATTTCTCATACGTTCTCAAGTGATGCTGATGCTACTGGCCTGAGGATCTCATTTTTGAGAACCACTGCCCCTAAGACACAGCAGAAAAACAAGATATGCAGAAGGAACCACAATCCCTGAATGACCAAAGGAAGCAGTTGTCCACGACCTGAAATATTTATCTTGGGCTGTTATGTGAGAAAAAAGTAAGTTTGCATCTTCATTAGCTATTCAATTATGTTTGGTTTTCTAAATTGCAGCAGTCAGCTTTCCCATCACCATGTCTTTTTCTCCTTTTCTTACTCCGATATTTTAGGAAGCACACCCACCAATAGTTTCTTGAGAAAAGAAGATAAATTTTTTTGAGACTTTGAATGTCTGAAACTGTTTATTATATTGGTACACTTGACTGATAGTTTGGCTGGGTATAGAATTCTGGGTTAAAATCATTTCCCCCAGAATTTCTCTATTACCTTCAATTGCCATTCTGATTCTCAATCTTTTATAAGTGAGTTGTATTTTCATTTTAAAATTTCTTTTTAGAATCTTCTATGACCTTTTTACTCCTGGTGCTATGAAACTAGAGAATGAAGTGTCTTGGGTATGTTTTTTCTTATTCACTGTATCGTGCATCACTCTCCTTCAGTTCAGACCCAGTATTGATTCTTTAATGATTTCTTCCTGTTTTCTTGGTTCTGTCTTTCTGGAACATCTGTCTCAAGTTTTCTTATCCTTTACATCTAACTATATCCTTTATCTATATCTTTTATTCTATGAATTTAGCTTTTTCTTCTACTCTTCTGGGAGATTTCCTCGACTATCTTTCAAAAGAAAAGTTGATGTTTTCCCCCTCATATGTGTAACTACTCAGAGTATTGCCTTGTTTTCTAATTTTTTAATAGGCTCCTGTTATCATTTCATGGATGCAGTATTTTTTCTTCTGCTTCTTGCCCTGGTGTTTTTTGTTTGTTTGTTTTTTGTTTTGTTTTTTGTTTTCCCTGAGCTTCTCTTTTTGGTTAGTTTGGTTTCTTTTGGTGTATTTCATATTTGGAGCTTTCTCAAAAGTGATCCTCTTCCACGTGGAGTGGGGAGACTTGTCAGTTGTTGGACTTCACTATAGCTTATGTGGGGCCATTTCCTTAGGGGAAACTCCATAGTCTTTTCTCTTGGACCCATCAGTTGCTCTCAGAAGAATGCCCCAATTTCCCTCCAGGGAGCAGGGATGGGGAAAGGGAAAGGGTGTACGAACCTGGCTGCCAGCATGCTGGGACTTGAGTTAAGGAAGGGGCTAGGAGTCTTATTTTTCAGTGGGTATGTCAACTTTCACTTAAATACATGTCTTTCATGAAGATGCCTCATCCTACCCTCAGCAGTGCTTCCTATTTCTGATTCAGAATGGTCTGATTCGGCCTCTCCAGGAGGTAAATTGTCTGTCTTCTTTTAGGGCTACAGAGGGGATCAGAAGGATCTAGCTGCTCCATTTAAAGTCAGTGTGGAGTTTCAGTCATGGCATGAATTTTAGTTTCCTCTGATCCACGAAGTCAGTTATTGCTCATCTGATCTGCTTTTCAGCTCTCAAAATGTTGTTCACATCTTTTGGCTGTTGACATCTCCTATTCCATTCTTTTTAACATTGTGGGCTTATGAGTTTTTTATTTTGTTTGTTTGTTTCTGTGTTTGTTTTTAGTTCTTTCTTGTCATTTTAGTGAGTTTAAGAAGGGAGCAGAAATAATAAACATCTGCCCATCTTTTACTTGAAGCTTCTATCTCTTCTAAGGAAAAATAAAGCCATTGGAAATTCTAAATTGCCCAAATTATATTAGTGTGTATTAGTGCAGTGGAATTGTATTTTTCCTTTTCCTTATTTTCTGTAATGCACTTATTCTTTTTGGAATATTTTAATTGCATTTCTTTTGATTCAGTGCTTCTAGTTCTGGGAATTCATCCTAAGGCAGCAACTAATGATGTGTGCAAGAAACCTCTACAAAGCGGTTCCTCAGAGTGTATTTATACTATCAAGTATTGGAAACAACCTAATTGTCTAATAGGAGATTGGTTAAATAGCCAGGGTACATTCATGTAATGGCATACTCTGCAGCGTTAAAAATGTTGTTCTGGGAGATTAATGATGTATAAAATGTTCATAATACATTGTAAGTTTAAAAACAATTACAAAAACCATATGTAAAGTATGGTTTACTTTAAAAAAAGAGTCTATGTAAATGTATATATTCATAATTAAAATGGCAAGGATATATGTATTAATATATATTATAATGCTGATTGTTAACAGTGACATTATTGAGTACCTACTATTTGCCTGGTCATGTTCTGAGCCTCTTATGTGGATGACTTTAGTTCATTCTCATAAGAACGATGCGAGGTCAATGCTATTATTATTTCCATTTTACAGATGAAGAAACTAAAGCCTAGAGAATTAATGTAATTGCCCAAGGGCACATAGAGCCATGACTCACACTAAGGCCCACTGACCCCAGAGTCCATCCACTTAATCATAATCACTATACACCAAAATATTAAGGCTGGTGGTATTTCAAGTGACCTTTATTTTGTGTGTGTTTAGCTGGAGTGAAGAAGAGGGAGGGTGAAGAAATAGAAGGGATATGAAGAGGTTGACCTTTGTTGCATTGTTTTCTTTGCAATTAATTAGTGGAAAGACACCCCTCTCCCCACTTGCACAATTTTGTTTTGGAGGTCTGGGATCTAGACAATTTGTCTCTAATATATGTTTAAGGCCAGTACTTTTTTGGTGCTTGTCACATATCATTAGATGAAAAGTCATTGGAAGGCACAAGCTGTCCATGTTGAGCCAGATTTCATTAGAAACCAAACCCTGTGACAAGAAATCTGAGCAACAAAAAGAGACACAAGCCCAACTTTCCGACTTCTTTTGAGCCATATTCTATTGACTAAAGTTCCAGCATTTTTTCTTTCTTTTGCTTGTGTTTTTTCATCATACCTCGTGCAGAGTGGTTTATGGGCTCTCAGCAAAGGCTGTGGGCCTGCTGACGAGTTGTCCTGAGCAATAATTTGAGAAACCAGTGCTGTTGTTGCTGCTTCCCCTCCTCAATGTTGGTGCTTTGAGCCTATGACTCACAGAGCTAGGCTCAGGGCCTCTTGGGCTACAGTCAAGGACAGGTTCTCTCAGGAATATTTGTGGGATGCTTGTACCTGTCATCCTCCTAGCAGTCCCTGTGGGTCCCAGCTGAATCTGATTAAAGGTTCTTCCTGATTTATAGAGTCTACCTCCTCCCACCCCTTCCCCCATTCTCACTCTGCTTGAGCTGCTTGAGCTAGATCATTAAGATGCAGCAGGTGTACAATATTGTTTTGCTATAAAACTAAACGGGCTTAAAGTGTTCAGAGATAATGCATTCCTCTATCAGAGGATTTATGAAAGAGTAAAGATATTCTGGTTTGGCCCCTTTCCCAATGTATGCTCTTTTCCAAGCCCCACACATTAAAAACTGTGAGTATTTTTGTTACTTTCCTTTTTTTAAAAAAAATGTTTTTTTCTGCAATAGTTGCCTCTGATTAATATCCTTGTGCTCTCTGAGACCCAGAAAGTGGTTTAGTTTCCCTAGGACACTTTAACAATAGTGTGATTTACAGAGCAATTCACTGGAGCCAGGGGGCAATGTAATATAACAAAGCATTTTTCACAGCCTTTCTCCCCGGAGTTGCCACAAATGCAGAACCACTGTGCAGACAACACAGGAATGAAGGTAAATTCACTGAAAGAACAAAAGGCACAGGTTTCCCAAGGTCATTTTGGATAATCAAACATCCAGTGGGGACACATTAACCTTGGTAGACTCAAGCCGAGTGAAAAGCAGGCAGAGGTGGAGTGGGGCCAGGTTGCCCTCAGTGGGATTCTAATCTGAGAAATTGGTGTTGCCACTTAGCAACAGCAGAGTGCAGTTGATTGGCACCCCTGTCTATTATCACCAGCACTGGGCTGAATACAGCATCCCAAATCACTGAGGGTTGTATGATTTGGTGCTAAGGAGCAGACTAGAATCAGAACCCTATGACTTACTAGTGTGTATGGATGACATTGTGCAAGGCCAGTGGCCCTTCTGCTCTGTAAGCAGACTTGCTTCCCATGTCACAATGGTTTCACAAATGCTGGAGAGATTTAAAAGAAAGTTCTGCTTGTTAGGAACCATTTCCTCTTGAAGCATTAGTGTTCACTTGGCCAAATGCACACAACCAGCCCACAGTGTACAGGAACAAGGCTTCCAACAGCCTCATGAGTTAGTGGGCAGCTCAGTGCAAGAAAGGCTGCATCATTAGCCCGAGCTAAATGCAGCAGGCAGCCTCTGAGCCTCGGCCTAAGAGCCAGCCTTCTTCCCCCAGCTGGGATCAGCAGCTGCCTATGGAGTTTTGCTCTGGACTTGAGTGATGATTCATCTGACCAAGTTTTTTCCTTGCTGACTCCTCAAATTCCCAGACTATAAAAAGGAGGATTTAAGGAGGGTCTCGAAGTCAATCAGTCAGTGAATAACTCTTGATTAAACAACCACCTTGTGTCTAGCAGAAGGCTTGCCACTGTGGTCCCTTCCAAATAAAAAGAAGACATATGTTCCTTTCTCATAAGGAGCCTACAGTCTAGTTGGGGAAGCCATATAAGTATATGCAGAACAATAAAAAAGTGATAAAGTGCTGAACTATATATAGTGTTGGTTCTAGATGCAGGTGAAGTTGCATTTAGAGGCTGGCACTATGCATGGAAGGTTCATGAATGGAGTGGGCTGGAAATGCTGGGTCCACTGGAGATCAAAACGCAGGCAATATAAAGTGTGCAAAGTTTCCTATACTGTGATCAAGTTGGAAAAAAAAAAAGCTAAATGTAAGTCTCATAGGTTGAATTGTCTTTCCTTCTGGCTGTTTACCAGATTCTGTACAGGATTGAGGGCTCACCAAAACTTTCACAGCATGGTAGCCATCCTCCAAGATGGCTCTGGTGGGGACCTCTGCCTCCTGGCATTGACACGGTTGTGTTATTCTCTCTCACATTGTGCCAGGGATGGTCTATATGACCAATTAGAATACGGCAGAAATATTGGTATGCCAGTTCTGAGATTAGGTTATAAAAGATACTGTGGCTTCCACAGAGATCTGAGTCTCTCTTTGTCTCTGTGCCACTCTGTCTTTCTCTCTTACACTGGGCAAAGCCAGATGCTATATGCAGCCCAATGGAAAGAAACCATATGGAGAGGCCCACATGGCATGGAACTGAGACTTCTACCTACAACCATGTGAGTGAGCTTGGAATTGAATCCTCCAGCCCCAGTCAAGCCTTCAGATGACTGCAGTCCTGACCAATAGTTTGACTGCAACTTCATGAGAGACCTCAAATCAGAATCACCCAGATAAGCTGCTCCTGGGCTCCTGACCCACAGGAACAATGTAAAGGAATATACATTTGTTGTTTCAAGCTGCTATCACTGAGCACTCTTCTTTTCTGGGCCAGCCCCAACTCTGTAGTCCAGTCTACAGCTCAGGCTGTGCTCTGTCTTCTTCAGGTTCAGTAGAATGATGACATCTGATTGCAACACTCTTCAACCTGGGGTCAAATTCATAGCAGCTCTTTCAAATTCAGGACTGCCAAAACTTCTCTCAGTAATCAGATCAGACTCTGCTGCCACAGTGGGTTTTCAGGAGTAGTCAGAGACTTCCCTGGCTGTGGGTACATCGCACAGCACCAATGTGTACTGTACAAGCATGAGTCTTCAGCCTGCTGATTGGACAGGAATGTGTAGTCTTCTATGTGGTTTGTGAAAACCACAAGCTGGAAAAAAAATCTGCTAAGGAATGAATGGCATCTCCACCTTCCCTGCAGTAGTGGACATGAGAACATGAGATGTTCATTCAGAGACCTTTCAGCGGCTTTTGCAGTTGCAAGAATGGTCTGAATCAGAAATTGTGAAGCTGCCCACAGACATTATGGTGAAATCCTGCCATTGGTGAAGCACTTGCTGAACACACAGTTTTCTTTTGGCCAAAGTTGAGAACCAGTGATGTTCTCAAAGTGACTGGGCTGTGTGACACTTTGAGAGGATGGCAAAGAAGCAGATTGGGAAACACTAGTGGACTGTTGGGGAGAGGAGAGCCATGGTTCTGTATCATGGACACTCTGACTTCATGGGAGCACAGTTGGCTTCTCTTCCCAGTATTCTCTGTTTTGGTGAGAGGCAAGACCATCACTTAGTTTTTTTAAAGACATGGGAAGGAATTGTTTTGGAGCCCTCACAAGTCTCCATCTCCTTATTATGTCATTGAGTCTTGTAGAGAACCTTCTATTTTTCCAACCCTTCTCCTCTCCTCCATCCCTACTGCAATTGTTTAGTTTGGGCTTTCATCATTTCTTGCCTGGATTATCACAGTTGCTTTATACCTGAGAATCAGAGTTATCATTCCATGGCAAAGATCTGATAAGTGTTGCAGAAAGTCAGAGACCCTGAATGGAGGAACTGGCTGGAGCTGCAGCAGAGGAACATAAATTGTGAAGATTTCATGGACATTTATCAGTTCCCAGATAATATTTTTATAATTTCTTATGCCTGTCTTTACTTTAATCTCTTAGTCATGTTATCTTCGTAAGCTGAGGATGTACGTCACCTCAGGACCACTGTGATAATTGTGTTAACTGTACAAATTGATTGTAAAACATGTGTGTTCGAACAATATGAAATCAGTGCACCTTGAAAAAGAACAGAATAACATCGATTTTTAGGGAACAAGGGAAGACAACCATAAGGTCTGACTGCCTGCGGAGCCATATTTTTCTTCTTGCAGAGAGCCTATAAACAGACATGCAAGTAGGAGAGATATCGCTAAATTCTTTTCCTAGCAAGGAATATTAATATTAATACCCTGGGGAAGGAATGCATTCCTGGGGGGAGGTCTATAAACGGCCGCTCTGGGAATGTCTGTCCTATGCGGTTGAGCTAAGGACTGAAATACGCCCTGGTCTCCTGTGGTACCCTGAGGCTTACTAGGATTGGGAAACTCCACCCTGGTAAATTTTTGGTCAGACTGGTTCTCTGCTCTCGAACCCTGTTTTCTGTTAAGATGTTTATCAAGACAATACGTGCACCGCTGAACATAGACCTTTATCAGGAGTTCTGATTTTGCCCTTGCCCTGTTTCCTCAGAAGCATGTGATCTTTGTTCTGCTTTTTGCCCCTTGAAGGATGTGACCGACTCCCTGTTTGTACACCCCCTCCCCTTTTGAAACCCTTAATAAAAACCTGCTGGTTTTGCAGCTCAGGTGGGCATCATGGTCCTACCAATATGTGATGTCACCCCTGGTGGCCCAGCTGTAAAATTCCTCTCTTTGTACTCTTTCTCTTTATTTCTCAGCTGGCTGACACTTATGGAAAATAGAAAGAACCTACGTTGAAATATTGGGGGCAGGTTCCCCCAGTAGATAAGGTAATACCTTTACTCAAAAACATTCAGCATGGGCCAGTCTTGGTGGCTCACACCAGTAATCCCAGCACTTTGGGAGGCTAAGGTGGGTGGATCACGAGGTCAAGAGATCGAGACCATCCTGGCCAACATGGTGAAACCCCATCTCTACTAAAAATATGAAAATTAGCTGGGTGTGGTGGCATGCACCTGTAGTCCCAGCTACTTGGGAGGCTGAGGCACGAGAATCACTTGAACCTAGGAGGTGGAGGTTGCAGGTGGAGATCGCGCCACTGCACTCCAGCCTGATGACAGAGCAAGACTCCATCTCAAAAGAACAAAAACAGAAACAAAAACAAACAAACAACAACAGAAAACATTCAGCATGGTGGACAGAGTTCTTCTACTTCCATTACTGAAAAATCAAAATAGGGTTTACCCACATGGTGTAAAGACCCTGGCTTGAGTTCTGGTTCCACCACTGATTAAGTTCTCTAAGCCTCAGTGATCTCTTTAGTAAAATGAAATAATAGTGCTTGCCTGCTATAGAGATTGGCACATAGTAGGTGTGCCTCGAATAATTGTTGATTGAGTATATATATTTTTTATAAACGTACGAATATCTCTTATATATGGTAGTGGTGTTAGAGAGAGTGTATGTATTAGATGACTCTCTTTCTTAATTGTAATGATATTACTGTTACTGGGCGTGTGTGTTTTAAGCAACAGTTATCAAACAACTTCTTATATAGTCTGACCTCTCTCTTTTCATCCACATTGAGGCGTGACAGTCATTCTTTAATTATGTCCTCAGGTGATTGGTCTTCTCTATATAAAATAGTGTTTTCTTTATGCTTCTAGTGAACTTTTGTTTTCCTGTTGTTATGCTTTATTTATTTATTTTTCTTGTAGGTTTACCAAAATCCTTTTGAAAAAGTAAGCCTATTCTTTCAGGTATTGTCAGACCTGTCAACCCCTCTCTTTTTCTCACAACACTTGTGAACACACTCTTCATGTCCTCATTACTTGATAGAAATATGGTGAGTCCATACCTACAGGTCACTTTCAGATATTCCACCACTGTATCAAAGCCCTCAACAAAGAAGCCTTCTACATCCTTTCTCAGTCATTAGCCAAGCAAAAGCAATTGTCAATGCCTCAAGTAAGTAGTATCTCTCCTCTGATTCCAGAAACCCCAAGACCAAGAGAAAATGATTTATTTGGAAAGACACAGACCCACCTAAAACAATTAAATGTTATGTCTGCAAAATAGTAGAAAACATGAAGAAAAGAAATTAAATGAATGTATGCAAGTTCCTGACACATGATAAGCATGAAGAACTCTATCTCCCCCTGTGCTTCCCTTTATATTCATGTCAGTTGATGTTTTCTGGTTGCAAACAACAAAAACCAATTATACCCCACTTAAGGAAAAGGGAATGAATTAGAGAGATTTTTATTAGGTCCCGTGCTGGAATGAGTGCTCGCTAAACTTTTTTGTGTATGTGTTTTGCTTCGTTTCACTCTATCTTCAAAGCTCCAGGAGAGGGAATCTGGCATTCTTAGTCTGGTCTGACTTGTGACAAGTGCCCAACCTGTAGGTGCCATTTGGAGTGGTGAATAGGTGGGTGGTCAAAGAATCAACCAATGTCCACTCCATGACACGTAAGAGACTTCCCAGCCTGACTTCCATCTGTGCCTCCTCCCTAGATGTGCTCCAGTCTCACAACACACTCTTTCCTACACTTAAGATGTTTGTTACTTTATTCCTTCTGCATGATACCACCTTCCCCATCTCTCCCCTTAAAAGTCCTTAGCCAGGCGTGGTGGCTCAAGCTTTGAGTAATCCCGGCACTTTGGGAGGCTGAGGCAGGAGGATCACTTGAGTCCAGGAGTTTGAGATCAGCCTGGGCAACATAGTGAGACCTTGTCTCTACAAAAAAATGAACAAAATTAGCCGGGTGTGGTGGCACACTCCTCTAGTCCCAGCTACTTGGGGGGCTGAGATGGAGGATCACTTGAACCTAGGAGGCAGAGGCTGCAGTGAGCTGTGATTGTGCCACTGCACTCCAGCCTTGGTGACAGAGCAAGACCCTGTCAAAACAAAACAAAACAAAACAAAACAAAACAAAAACCCAACCAAACGAAAAAGGTGCTATTCATCTTTCAAAACTCAAATGTCATCCCAAAGAAGACATGAAAATGGCCAATAAGTGCGTGATAAGATGCTCAACATTACTAAGTAATAGGGAAATGAAAATCAAAACGAGATACCACTTCACACCTATTAGGATGGTTACTAGGAAGGAAGGGAGGAAGGGAGGAAGGAAAGAAGGAACGAAGGAAGGAAGGGAGAAAGAGAAGGAAGGAAACAAAGAAAGAAGGAAAGAAAGAAAGAAAGAAGGAAAGAAAGAAAGAGAAAGAAAGAGAAAGAGAAGGAGAAGGAAGGAAGGAAGGAAGGAAGGGAAAAAGAAAGAGAAAATAACAAGTGCTGGTGAAGATGTGGAGAAATTGGAGCTCCTGTGCTCTGTTGGTGGGAATGTAAAACGGTGCAGCCACTGTGGAAAACTGTGGCAGTTACTAAAATAATAATAATGATAATGAAAAATAGAATTACCATATGATCAGCAAGTCCACTTCTGGATATATATCCAAAAGAAATGAAAGCAGGGTCTTGAAGATATATTTGTAGATCCATGTTCATAGCAACATCATTCACTATAGTCAAAAGGTGAAAGCAACCCAAGTGTTCATCAACAGAGGAATGGATAGGCAAAATGTGGTATATACAAACAATGAAATGTTATTGACCCTTAAAGAGAAAGAAAATTCTGGCTGGGTGCAGTGGCTCATGCCTGTAAACCCAGTGCTTTCTGAGGCTAAGGCAGGAGGATCCCTTGAGCACAGGAGTTCAAGATTGCAGTGAGCTATGATCACACCACTGCCTTCCAGCCTGGGGGTGACAGAATGAGACTCTCTAAAAAAAATTCTGACACATTTTTCTACATGGATGAACCTTGAGGACATTATGCTAAGTGAAGTAAGTCAATTGCAAAAAGACAAATATTGTACGAGTCTGCTTATATGACGTACGTGGAGTAGTCAAATTAACAGAGACAGAAAGTAGAAGGGTGGTTGCCAGGAACTGGTGCAAGGGAGAAATAAGGAGTTATTGTTTAATGGGTACAGAGTTTCTGTTTTGCAAGATAAAAGAGTCCTGTGGATGGGTAGTGGTGATGGTTGCATAACACTGTGAATGTACTTAATGCCATTGAGCTGAATACTTATAAATGGTTAACATGGTAAATTTTGTTATGTATATTTTACCACAATAATAATAATAAATGAATATCAAAAAATGCCCACCCAAATTTTATAAGCTACTTCCCCCACAAAATTAGGACCTACCCCTGTATATATGATATATTATAAAATACCCTCTGATAATTTATTTTAAGGAAAATCAAAATTCAAATACAGGCCAGGCTCAGTGGCTCACTCCTGTAATCCCAGCACTTTGGGAGGTTGAGGCGGGCAGATCACTTGAGATCAGGAGTTTGAGACCAGTCTGGTCAACATGGTGAAACCACATCTCTACTAAAAATATAAAAATTAGCTGAGTGTGGTAGTGTGCATCTGTAATCCCAGCTACTTGGGAGGCTGACATGGAAGAATCGCTTGAACTTGGGAGTCAGAGTTTGCGGTGAGCCAAGATTGCATCACTGCACTCTAGCCTGGGCGACAGAGCAAGAGTCTATCTCAAATTAGAAAAAAAAGAAAAAAGAAGAAAAATTAAAATAAAGACTATTACTTAGAAACAGAAAACAAACCCCTCAAGTGTCATCGCTTCTGTGCACTCTTCCCAGAACAGTGACCCTCTGATTGGAGAGTGGTGCTCAAAATTTTGTGTAAATGAGAATTATGTGAGAAATTTGTTAAAATACATCTTCCTGGGGGCCTTCCTCCCTGGGATTCTGATTTGGAAGATTTGGAGGCCTGAGAGTCTACATAAAAACGTAGATTAAAGACAAGTTAAAAAGTCTGAATCTGCTTCCTGTGGTCTGTGCACAGCCAAGAGAGTTCTTCTGCTCTGTACTAGTGGCTCATTCAACATGTCTCCATTATGGCCCTTACCCTGTCCTGTTCCCTCCGTTCCCGCCTCTGCCTCCTTACCCCGACAGAGGTTCCACCCCCGGTGCCTGGTATCCTCGGTACCTAGCACCGTGCCCGACACGTAACAGACACTTTTCATGTATGCTTATTTAATTACTCTCTCAAGCAGTGTTTGCAATTGTCAATAATCAAAAGACACTTGTAAAGCATCATATTTTAAAATAGATTATCACTGACATGGGAGTCAGCCAGGACATCCCCACTCCTAACCTCAACCAGCCTCATGGGTGCAGGAGACGATGGCAGACCCTGCAGGGTGAGGGTAGGTGGTGATTATGGGAGTTCTGGAGTGAGAAGAAGATGAAGTTTATCAATAGACATAACCAACATCCTGAAATATACCAAGAGAGAGAAAAAAGGAGCCGGAAGATGACTGTTTTTGGCCAGGAAATCCCCAGAAAGGAGCCCTGGCTTTTCTGCCTGCTTCAAACTAGCTACTTAAGAGAAGTGTGCCCTGCCAGAGAGTCAGGAAGACAGGCTCAAGCAGAGCCGCCAGCCTGGGGGACTGCCAGCGCCCGCTGTCGGGCCCCTCCACCAAGCACAGGGGCTTTTTTGTGAGGAAACGAGAACAACGAATAATCCCAGTTGGCAGGGCACCCCCAGAGGAAGTCAAGAGGCTTGGCTTGCAGTCGCCTTCACTTCCCATATGCCGGTGTGTTTGTTGGCATCGCACTCTTGTTAATTAAAGGAAGTGTGTGTGTCTTGGGCGCTGGTACCCTGGCCCCATACATCATTCTTTCCAGGGGTCTTCACCACAGTGCTGCCGCCAGTGGAATCAATTAGGCTCCCTCCCAAAAGTCAGGCTGATTTCCAAGCCCGGAGGTAAAACAAATTCCCCTGCTGCTGGAGCCTGGGGCTCACATGGCAGCCTCACGTCCCACCCAGGCCCAGGAGCTCCAGGGGCCTGATCTGAGGGACAATCATTAAAACAGATAGAAAAAATAACTAATCGGGGTAACTCACTATCCTGAGAGATCCAGGGTCTGCGGGGAATCTGCTTGTTTCAGACTGGAGTCTCTCATAATCCATCACAATCCTGCTATACTGTTTAATTTTATTTGGGCCTGGCCTTATAAACAATTTTTTGTGAAGCCAGAGGAAAGGTGCCCCAAGCAGAAGTGAGCAGGCTTCCCTAGGAGTCAGTAAAAGTTTTCTTTTTTCTTTTTTTTTCGAGACAAGAGTTGCTCTGTCGCCTAGGCTGGAGTGCAGTGGCGCGATCTGGCTCACTGCAACCTTCACCTCCCAGGTTCAAATGATTCTCCTGCCTCAGCCACCTGAGTAGCCGGGATTACAGGCATGCCCCACCACGCTCCACTAATTTTTGTATTTTTAGTAGAGACAGCGTTTCACCTTGTTGGCTAGGCTGGTCTCAAACTCCTGGCCTCAACAGATCCAGTGCTGGGATTATAGATGCGAGCTACCACACCCAGCCTCCTAGGAATCATTAAAAGTTATACCTGAGGCTGGGCGCAGTGGCTCATGCCTATAATCCAGCACTTTGGGAGGCCGAGGCAGGCGGATCACCTGAGGTCGGGAGTTCGAAACCAGCCTGACCAACATGGAGAAACCCTATCTCTACTAAAAATACAAAATTAGCCAGGTGTGGTGGTGCATGCCTGTAATCTCAGCTACTTGGGAGGCTGAGGTGGGAGTATCTCTTCAACCCGGGAGGTGGAGGTTGTGGTGAGCCGAGATCACGCCATTGCACTCCAGCCTGGGCAACAAGAGTGAAACTCATCTCAAAAAAAAAAGTTACACCTGAAGTATAACAGTCTTCATTAAAATGCCACCCAGGAGCTTCCAACAGTCCAGCCCACTCTCCAAGCCATTCACCCAAGAGCCAAGATAGAGAATGGACCCATATGGGCCATGTTTGAGGAAACCCAGGGCTGATGGGCTGCTCCAGACAGGCTCTGGGTGTTCTTGAAGGGTGTTGAAAGGACACACACTCAGTCCTTTCTCAGTTCTCAGGCATCATCATGGGGAAGGCTGGCAGACCAGCAAGATGCCTTGGGCACTCAGACTCTTACTGAACTGGGCTCTGCTTGCTGGTGCAATAAGAACAGATATCCACATTGAGGTTTGCAGGGGAAGAAAGGAAGGTATTTATTTGCAGCGACCGAAGCAAGGAGGACCAGGCAGCCAACCCCGAAATCTGACCTCCTCAATGGCTCATGGGTAAGGGTTTTTAAAGGCAAGCATAAATTTCAGGAAATTAGAAGTTACTGGCAAAATCATAAAGCAATACCTGGAGGTTACACATTGGTTTTGGCTTAAAAGGGTGGGATATCTTGAAACGGGGGCTTATAGGCCATAGGTAGATTCAAAGATTTTTCTGATTAGCAATTGGTTAAGGAAAAGAAGCTTTATTTTAAAATTTGGGCTCAGCAGAACAGAATGTTAGCTCCAGCTGATGGGTGTGCCCCCCCCCCCAAGGCCCCTCGGAAAGAAAGTTAGAACAAAGAACCATGGTCTGACTCCAATCTTCAGTGCCCCCTTATCTGAGGTCTACATAATGGCAGATCTATTGGGCAGAGGTCCAGGTTTCTGAAACACAACTCAGAAATGTATGTTAAGATGTTTTGTTTATCACTGATCCTTAGAGAAATGCAAATCAAAACACAGTGAGATACCATCTCACGCCAGTCAGAATGGCGATTATTAAAAAGTCAAGAAACAACAGTTGCTGGTGAGGCTGTAGAGAGATAGGAACGCTTTTACACCATTGGTGGGAATGTAAATCAACCATTGTGGAAGACGGTGTGGCTATTCCTCAAAGACCTAGAACCTGAAATACCATTTGACCCAGCAATCTCATTACTAGGATATACCCAAAGGAATATAAATCATTCTGTTATAAAGATACATGCACGTGTATGTTCATTGCAGCACTATTCACAATAGCAAAGACATGGAATCAACCCAAACGCCCATCGATCATAGATTGGATAAAGAAAATGTGGTACACCTACACCATGGAATACTATGCAGCCATAAAAGGAATGAAATCATGTCCTTTGCAGGGACATGGATGGAGTTGGAAGCCATTATCCTCAGCAAACTGATACAGGAACAGAAAACCAAACACCACATGTTCTCACTTACATGTGGGAGCGGAACAATGTGAACACATAGACAAAAGGAGGGGAACAACACACACTGGGGCCTGTCAGGGTTGTTGAGGGGAGGGAGAGCATCAGGAAAAATAGCTAATGCATGTGGGGCTTAAAACCTAGGTGATGGGTTCATAAGTGCAGCAAATCACCATGGTACATGTTTACCTGTGTAACAAACATGCACATCCTGCACATGTACCCCAGAACGTAAAATAAAATTAAATTTAAAAAAAAGAAAAAAAGATGTTATGTTTAGTTTCTACAGGGGAACCAAATATCCTACAATTCTAGCTTCATTGCTATTGTTTTAGGCTACTATTACCTTCTTGCTTAGCATACTGCTCATTTACTTCTCAGGACTAGTTCGGTGTCTGGAATTTTCCTTGAAGAAACTTAAGACTTTCTTTTATTTCCATGCTTGGGGGTGGTGGAGGCATGCAGGCCACTAAGAGTGGGGGTCCCTGCTGTCTCAATAGGAGACCAGCCCTCAGAGAGTTCATTGGGGCTCAGCACAGTGTGGGCTCTGGCAGATCCTGGAGCTCCATCCTTCCTGAGCCCATGCTCACTGCTCTCATTATGTCCTGATATTCAGAGTCATTACAGAAAAGGCTCACGGACCACCCCACGAACCACACACATTTAAAATATTTTATTTTATTTTATTTCTTTGAGACAGGGTGTCACTCTGCTGCCCAGGCTGGAGTGTAATGGCACTATCTCAGCTCGCTGCAGCCTTTACCTCTTGGGCTCACCCAATCCTCCCACCTCAGCCTCCCAAGTAGCTGGGATTACAGGTGCTTGTCACCATGCCCGGATAATTTTTAGTATTTTTGGTAGAGACAGAGTTTCCTCTATGTTGCCCAGGCTGGTCTTGAGCTTAAGTGATCCGCCCAACTTGGCCTCTCGAAGTGCTGGGATTACAGGCATGAGCTACCACGTCCAAAACATTTTAAGTCTTAATCTCAGCCTTATAATGAGACAGGGATAGTTGTCGCCCATTTAGAGATGAGAGAAGTAAGGCAGACAAAGGGGGTTGAGTCAGAATTAAACCCCTCTTCTTTGGACTCCGAACCCAGAATTCTTTCTGCTAAATCACTCTCGCTGGACTTCCTGCTCCAGTTGACTCATTTGCCTCAAGCTGCTTTGGACTTGGTGTGCTTTAATTTCCAAGAGTATTTCAAATTTCCTTCTTTTCCTCTACCAGTAATCTTAACACTGGCGGGATTGCTAATAACAGCAATGGAATGAATAGCAGGGCCCACTAGGGGAGATTACTGAGAAGAAGGTCGCCCCTAAAATTATGCTACAAAAGCAAGTTACTTTGAGTCACTCCAACCCTGAAGGAGAGAAAATTATGTCAAAAACCTGTCAGCCCTGAGGTGGTTTTTAGCTCCTATGATGGTTTTACGTGAAAAGGTTTGACTCTTACTTTTAATTGGCCTTTGCAGCCATAGCACAAAATCAGCTAAAAAGTTAAATGAGCAAGAATGTGAAAGTAAGAAAGAAGATAAACTTTAAAGAAACACCTGGCCAGGTGTGATGGCTCATGCCTGCAATCCTAGCACTTTGGGAGGCCAAGGCAGGAGGATTGCTTGAGGTCAGGAGTTGGAGACCAGCCTGGACAACATAGCAAGACCCTATCTCTACAAAAAAATTTTAAAAATAAAGCTTATCAGGGCATGATGGCACATGCCTATTATCCCAGTTACTCAGGAGGCTGAAGTGGGAGGATCGCTTGAGCCCAGAGTTTGAGGCCGCGGTGAACTATGATTGCACCACTGAAAAAAAACGGACACGTATATCATTACCAGTTACAAAGGAAATGTAGAAACTGTAGGGGTCCAAAATCCCAGCCTGGAGATTCTTTCCAGAGGTTCTACATGTTGGAGCGTCTGTGGGTAAATACGTGACAAGACTCTCTGCCCCAGGGCTGGGTAGGATTCCTGGAAATGAGGTACACCGCAGGACTGCTGAAGCAGTGGGGTCAGCTGGGACCTTGTGCTCTCAGCCAGCAGAACTTGAGAAGGATTGGAGGGAAATACTGCGCAGCCCATCCTGGCTGAATACTTTCCTCTCCTGGAGGCTTTCGGAGCTAGGCTCCCGTTAGCAGGAGAGTATGAACCACCAACAAGGGGCTGTGAGGTTTGCCACCGTATAATGAGTTTGGGTGGAGCACTTTGGCCACCTGAGGAAGCAGGGTTTGGAAACTGGTGTTCTGTTTGCCAGCCCTCCTCAAATACAGCCATTGTGCTGGAGAACCAAATGAAAGCCCTGGTAGTGCTAGCTTCAAGGACCACACTGCTTCTTTGACAGAGCCAAGCCCTGCACCCCTGTGGCTTGGATGAGTTCCCTTTGACCACCAAGGAAGAGGAGGAAGAGGAGTGCGCAGTCCTCGTGCAGCAGGTTCCTAGCATCTGACAAAAGTCTTGGATCTGGGGTGGAGAACTAGACAGACACTGGAAACAGAATCTTTTTCTTTTTTTAAAAAAGAGCATCTTGTACCAAGTTGTTCCAAGTTCACAAAAATCTCCCAAGCTCCCAACATGGAGTGACTGTTAGAGGAGTTTGTTGTACATGATTCAGAGACACATGGATTAAATTTCTCTTAAAATATACATCAATTTGAAAATTAAAGGGGAAAGCGTCTGAGACGAGACATGTTTGGATTTCTGTCAAACTCAGGGCCTTTGGAAAGCAGCTCAGAAGCCAGGATGTGGCTTCTCAGGGCTCTGCCTGTCCTCTGCCTCTTTCCTTTGTGTGTTCCATGCTCAGGTCATCCTCCAGCTCTGCAGGGCTGCACTGGCTTTGGCTGTGTCAAATCCTGGAGCTAAGAACCAATTTTATGTTAATTTCTTGGCTTGGGGTTCCCTTCTGATGCAGTTAGTAGATATTTGGACTCTAAACTTGGGCCAAGCACATGGCTGGGGTTTTGATTTTTCACAGGGGTCTGTTCTTCCCCCCAGCTGGAGCCAGGGTAGAGATGAGCTTCCTTAATATCTTTCTGGATTGATGGTTGGCTTTTCTCAGAGCATCTGGGTTTTATGTAGGGGACTCAGTTCCAACCAGTCACTTTATCCAGGCATGAGGCCTCATCTCCTGTCCCTGCATGGGTGTTAAAAGCCAAGCCTTTGGCCATAACTGGACCTGATTGTCTCCCCACGACCACTGTTTTCAGCTCTCAGCTTCCTCTTCACTTCAGCATCTGGGGACTTCCTTTTCTACCTTACAAGCTCATCCATGCGTTATTTGTTAACTTATTTAATTTTATTTTCAAAAATTGTGTTAAGATACACATAACATAAAATGTACCATCTTGGCCAGGCATCATAGCTCACGCCTGTAATCCCAGTACTTTGGGAGGTCGAGGAGGGCAGAATGCTTAAGCCCAGGATTTTGAGACCAGCCTGGCAACATAGTGAGACCCCATCTCTACAAAAAAATTAAAAATTAGCTGGGCTTGGTGGCATACGTCTGTAGTCCCAGCTACTTGTGGGGCTGAGGTGGGAGGATCACTTGAATCTGGGAGGTCAAGACTGCAGTGAGCTGTGATCACACCACTGCACTTTAGCCTGGGTGACAGAGTGAGCCCCTGTCTCAAAAAAAAAAGTACCATCTTAGCCATTTTAAAATGTACAGTTCAGTGGCATTAGGTGCATTCGTGCGGTTGTGCAGCCATCACCACCATCGAGCCACAGAACTCTTCTCATCCGGCAAAACTGAAACTCTGTACCATTAAATGATAACTCCCTATTTCCCCTCCCCTAGCCCCTGGCTTTCAGTCTCTGTGGATTTGAGTGCTCTTGATACCCAGTCTCATTCAGTATTTGCCCTTTTGTGATTGGCTTATTTCACTCAGCAAAATGTCTTCTCCATGTTACAGCACATGTTAGAATTTCCTTCCTTTTTAAGACTGAATAATGGTTCATTTCATATACATAAATACCACATTTTGTACATTCATTCTTCTGTTGATGAACACTTGGGTTCATTAACTTTTTGGCTATTTCAAATAATGCTGTTCTACAACATGGTATACAAATATCTCTTTGAATCCCTGCTTTCAATCCTTTTGGGTATATACCCAGAAGTAGAATTGCTGGATCATATAGTAATTCTATTTTTAATTTTTTGAAGAACTGCCATGCTGTTTTCCATAGCAGCTGCACTATTTTACATTCCTACCAAATGTGTACAAGGGTTCCAATTTTCAATTTCTCCACATCCTCACCAACACTTATTTTCTGTGGGTTTTTTGTTTTTTTGGGTTTTTTTGGATAGCAATCATTCTAATGGATATGAAGTGGTATCTCACTGTGGTTTTAGTTTGCATTTCTCTAATGACTAGTCTAGTATCTTTTCATGTGCTTATTGGCCATTTGTATATATTCTTTGGAGAAAATGTCTATTCAAGTCCTTTGCCCATTTTTAAATTAGGTTGTTTGTGTTTTGTTGTTGTTGTCCATGCATTTTAAGAGTTTTCTTTTATCTATAAATCATTTCTATGGGTTTATAGTGAGTATTTCCATGCCACCCTTTGGCCATTTTGCTGGCTTTCAGAGTGTCTGCCTTTCTGATGGCTTTCACTGTACCCTCTCCAATATCCCGTTTCGTAGCCAAGAAACTTCTCTGCATCCTTAGCCTTTTCTGGAATGTGTCCTATCTGCTTCCTTGTCATAACAAACTTGGTTTTTCCCTGATGAGACCACTGTCCCTGAAACCCTTTCAGGTGAAGGACCCAACACTCCCCTCCCACCCTTTCAAAGCACACACAGGGGGTCTCAAGTTCAGTCGAAGAGCTTAGCATTTATTAAGATATTAGTCTCCTCCCTACTCCAACTTCTGCCATCCCCTTCCATGCCCAGGCTGTGATCCTATTCATCATCTGAGCCTCAGAGTCACCTGATGGTGTGAACAGAAGCTTCACTCTGGAGATAGATGGATGGGACTTCAAAATTCCATTTCCATGATCACTGTGGTTCCTAATCACTCTGCACTTTAATCTCCTTGCCTACAAAAAAAAAAAAAAGGATAAGAAAACTTATCTTAAGAGGTGGTTATAAAATTTAAATGAGATAATGCATTTTGGATGCCCAGCCAGTTGTTAGCACAGGATAAGTGCTTATGATGTTTATTTCCATTTCACTTCACTTCCACTCCACTTTCAACAAGCAGAAAGCTACAAGTGGTACTTTATTCTCACTCAGAGCGACTCTCCTGTGTGATGTGGAACCCTGGAGCTCTCCTTTGTGGCCCTATCTTCCTAACTGCTGTATTGGTTTCCTGTGGTTGACGTAACAATTTTCCACTGGCTTGGTGGCTTAAAATGACAGAAACGTATGCTCTCATAGTCCTGGAGACAAGAAATCTAGAATCAGCATCACTGAGCTGAGATCATGGTGTTGAGAGGGCTTGCGCCTCACTCCCTCTGGAGGCGGCAGGGGAGGATCTTGTGTCTTCCAACTTCCAGTGGCTGCTGGCCTTGCTTGGCTGGAGGCTGCAGCACTCCAATCTCCACCTCTGTGGTTACTTTGCCTTTTCTTCTTCTGGTGTCAAATCTTTCTCTACAAGGACACCTATGATTGCATTTAGGACCCAAATGGGTAATCCAAAATAATCTCCTCATTTCAAGATCTTTCACCACATCTGCAAAGTCCTTCTTTAGCTAAATAAGATGACATTAATAGGGCCCAGGGACGAGGATGTGGATGTGTTTTGGGGGGCCATTGTTCAGCCTACCACACCGTTCTTCTTCCCACTCCCTGCCTGCTAAATCTGCTTCTCAACTGCGTGACGTTGTTCAGTCCCCCCTTACTTCCTGTATTTAGAGTTATCATTGGTCCCCTACCTTCATTCCCCTCCTCCCCACACACCCCTCCCTCACGACGACACCCCCTTGCTTGTCATCTCCACCACACTCCCCAGAACCTTCCATGCCCTCATTCCTTTGGCCTTCAGCCATGTTAGTCCTTCTAATCCACCCAAGAACACAGACACTTTTAGGTGGGAACTCTCCCAATTCCTTTCCCTTTCCTCTAAAGTAATAAACATATTTCCTCCCCCCTGCTCTTTTGTCTCCCTCCTTCTCTTTATCCATATCTTTCTCTACTTTTGGGTATAGGTTGTGTTGAATGGGATGGGGGCTGGGGGCTGGAATGAGTGGAAGAGAAGGAGGGGTCTGAACACAGACCTGATGGGAAGGGGGGCTCTGGGACATCTGGGAATGTGAAGGTTTCTCTTGGTTCAGCCAACATGGCCATCAGCCCAGCCAGAGTCAGAGCCAACCTAAGAAGACGTGATGGTCAGGCTCTTGCTGCTGGAAGTGAGGATGGGGCACTGTCACCCACTAACCAGGTGGCAGGTCACACGAGGCAGATGGTGCTGTGGATGTGAGGCTTCCTGCATAGTGAGAAGAGATAGCATCTCTGGGTTGTATACTATCTTTGTCTATGTATTATGTTGGTAAAGTCTCCCCCGTGTCCCTTGGAGGTGGTGCTCTAGTCACCTTATCCAGGTGTGTGTGAGTCCCAGAGGTGGTTTCATATCTAAACAGCAAAGCCACACATAGCCCTCCTCCCTGGGTGGTTTCCAAAGTCCTCGAGGAGATAAGATATTTCACTCTTAACAACACGGTGCTCTACACAACGGACATGCTGAGGTCAGAAGGAGATCTTAGGAATTTAAAAAACACATTAGAGATGAAAATCTTAATAGAAAAGAATGATGAGAGAGATGAAGAAATCCCCAGAAAGTAGAACAAAAAGAGAAAGAATTGGAAAATAGGAGAGAAAAAGATAAGAAAATTAGAGGACAAATCCTGGGGATTTGATATCCAAACAATAGGTCCAAAAAGAGGGAACAGAGTCTATGGAAGGAGGGAAATCATTAATAAAAGAACTCAACTTCTCAGACTCTAGGGCTTGTGATTCCTGATTGAAAGGGCTTCCTGAGTGTTTGGCCCGGTGGATGAAAACAGGGTTACACCAAGTACATCATCATGAATTTTCAGGATGTTGGGATCAAGGAAAAGCTCCAACAAGCTTTCAAAGAGAGAGAGAGAGAGAAAAGTTACATGCAAATTATCAAGTATCAAAAAGGTATTGGATTTCTCAACAGCAACCCAGAAAGTCAGAATGCAGTGAAGTAATGCCTTCAAAATGCTGAGAGAAAATTATTTCCTGTCTAAAATTCTATATCCAGCCAAACTGCCAGAGAGAATAATGTGTTTTCAGATAGTCAAGGCGTCAAACACTTTACTCTAACATATGCTGTCCTCAGAAGCTCCTGGAGGACAGACTCCACAAAAACAAGGAAGAAAACCAAAACAGAAGATAGGAAGGACAGGGGATCCCACACAAGAAACAGTGGAATTCCCCAGACTTGTGGTGAGGGGGTGTCATCCTGCTGTGGCCTGAGGAGGTGGCTGCTGGAAGTCATAGGGCAGTGAGAATCATTCCCTCAAGAGATTTCAACCTAGTGGGAGGAGGACAATTTGAGGAGCTCTTGGGGTTGAATTAGTGGCAAGTATACAGAAAACTAAGAAAACAAAGAAGAGGACAGTCCTAATATGAATGTTGATGTAACCAAATTATAACTGTGTTGAGCTGACATGGGGGCTGGGAAGTGGGAGTTTGGGGGCTGGGGTGAGGATGCCAGAAGAGAGTGAATTATTATTTTCCATTGAGGGAAGTCAATAGGTAATTAAAGCCAAAAAAATGAAGAAGTAGCAATATAAGCACCTAATTAGAAATATGAGGGTAAAGATTAAATACCCTATAAATCAACCCAGAGAGTTGAAGTTATTGTTTCTGGGAAGTGAGAAATAAAGAATAAGTCTTCGCTGTTTGGTTTGGCCTGTTGTTTTGTTCTTCTCTTTTCAGAGAGCGTCTCACTCTGTTGCCCAGGTGAGATTATAACTCACTGCAGTCTCGAACTCCTGGGCTCAAATGATCTTCCTGCCTCAGCCTCTGCAGTCGCTGGGACTAAAGGTGCACACACCACACCCAGCCAATTTTTAAAAAATGTTTTGTAGAGATGGGGTTCTACTATGTTTCCCAGGCTGATCTCAAACTCCTGGCCTCAAGCAATCCTCCTGCCTCAGCCTCCCAAAGTGCTAGGATTACAGGCGTGAGTCACCCACCCAGCCATGGTCTGGTTTTGAATGTGCTTTGTAGAACTGCCCATCCCCTCAAATCTAAGTCAATGGCTCACATCACCACTGCATATGAGAGTCACCCAGGGAACTTCAGAAACACCAGTACCCGGGCCATCCATCCAACAGACTCTTACTTAGTTGTTCTGCAGGGAAGTCTAAGCTTCAGGATTTTAAAACATTCCCCCAGATGAGTCTCAATTTTAGCCATGTTTGGGAACCACTAAAAACCATGCATGTATAACTTTGATAGAAATTAAAACTGACTTTGAAAAAGATGAATGTATAAATGAAGCATGTGGGATATTTCTGGGCACTCTATCCTTAGATATTAATACTTCCAGTGGGGCTCGTAAAGGTTCTGGAAAAGGGTGGCTTGAGATACTCAAGGCAGGCTTCACTCAGAACCTCCAGAATTTGATTCTTGTCTGCCAAGAAAACATACCTCAGGATCAACCTGAAATTCCTTTAATAGACGACAGCTTTTCATTTGGGGTTACAGCTGAAAGGGAATAGTGGGAGATGCCAGAGGATTAATTTTACTTAGAGGTGTGAATGGCGTGCAGCTGATCGTGCCTTAGCAGGTCAAAGAGCAGAGGTCAAGAGAGTAATGCCTGAGAAGGGGAGGAAAAGCCTTGAGGTGGGGGAGGATAAAAAAGGGGTTGGTTGAAACAAAAGAAATCAAACTTCAGCTCTTTTTATCTAATTATAGATAAATAGCCTCTTCTCCTGCTCTCTTAAGAACCCCCTGAAGATGCCAATTTTGAGTTGTACATTAACTCATGGCCCTGGCTAGTTGCTGGTGACTTTCAGAAGGGGGAGTCCGGCCAGGTGCAGTGGCTCCTACCTGTAATTCCAGCACTTTGGGAGGCCAAGGCAGGAGGATTGCTTGAGCCCAGGAGTTCGAGACCAACCTGGGCAACATAGTGGAGACAGGTCTCTACAGAAAATTTAAAAAATTAGCCTGGCATGGTGGCGGGCACCTGTAGTCCCAGCTACTTGGGGGGCTGAGGTGGGAGGATCGCTTGAATCCAGGAGGTTGAGGCTGGAGTTAGTCCAGTGATCACACCACTGGACTTCAGCCTGGGCAACAGAGCAAGACCCTGTCTCAAACAATAATAATAAAATAAAAATAAAGGAGAACCTCTGTCCTTAGTTTCTCTTCCAGTCCCTGAGTCAAAGACAGCTGTGTCTCATGCCCCCGTGGGAGGATGGCTGCCTGCCTCTTCGGGTCACCTGAGCAGAATGGCGTCATTCTCGCCGTAGTCCTCACTCTCTTCTTTAACACATCCACAGGTGCACCGACCCTTTTTTACTGTGCCTCACACAGGCTGCTTTCTTCCTCTGCCATCATCCTGCTCAGTATACAGGAACCCGTTGTTCACCACACAGTGTACCGTTATCCCCTTTGATATGCTGCTGTTTGAGCCAGATGCTGTCTGTCTTCTAGCATTTCATCCTTTGAAAGGTTGAAGGAAGCAATTTCTATGAAGGGTGGCTCCTTGTAAGAAAGCGAAGTCATATTGCACTTCATGCCAATCTTGCGCGGATTTACCTGTCTCCACTCCCACTCTCAGAGATTAATGAATGAAGAAGTACGTTTTGGTGGCTTTAAGCTGGCCATCCCCTAAGAAATGCCAGCACATGCCAGTGATAATGAGGAGGCTGGAGGGCTCAGCTGCTGGTCCCCTTTCTGCACTGGGACCCCCAACTCTATCCTGCATCGTAAATCTAGGGGAACGTGAATCCCCTTTCTATAAAAATGATGCTCTTCCTCAAGGCATGTTAAATATCTGGAATGGAATAGACATGGTCCTGAGAGATTGCTTTTAAAATAAAATTTAAAAGCCTTTCTATATTGAATCATTTGTATATCTTGAATAATTTTTTCCTATTGACTTGTATTTACATGTTTAGATATAATGGGAATGAGATTGTCAAAATAAACTAAATCACGCTTCAAATAATTCAATTAGCACTTTTAAAAACTACAATAAATGAAACTATGAAAACAATCCCACTCAGATGAATGAATCAGAGATGTCCAACATACGGCTGCAATCCAGTGGAACCCTCCAATCAACAGGGGACAATGGCTCTTATTGAATCTTACAGATGCTACAATTAAAACTTACATTGTGGCTGGGTATAGTGGCTTATGCCTGTGATCTCAACACTTTGGGAGGCCAGGGCAGGAGGATTGCTTGAGCCCAGGAGTTTGAGACCAGCCCAGGCAACATAAAATAAAAAATAAAAAACATAAACAACATAAAACAAAAAGTAAAAAATAAAAAATAGCCAGGTGTGGTGGCGCATGGGCCTGTGATTCCAGCCACTCCAGAGGCTAAGGTGGGAAGACTGCTTGAGCCCAGGAGGTTGAGGCTGCAGTGAGCCATGTTCATGCCACTGCACTCCAGCACTCCAGCCTGGGCAAAAGAGTGAGGCCCTGTCTCAAAAAAAAAAAAAAAAGTTATATTGCATCCTCTGAAACCTGACATGAGGGCACTCTGAGTAACTAATATTAGAGAAAAAGATATTTTTATACAAATAAGTCTAATAGAAAAAAAGCACTTAAAACAGTGTCTGGCACAGAGAAAATACTCAGTAAACACTTTTACTGGAATACTATTTTAACAGGAAAATGTGGGCTCATGGCCCTGCCCTCGGTACCCACTATGTGTGTTCAGACTCTATGGCTCTGAAGATACATGGCTCCTGGTTTAGTTAGGGATAGGAGACAGAGCCTAAAAAGAAGGAATAATGCATTTTGGGGTGTGGGGTGTGAGGGGAGAGGCTGAGATGTTTTCTGAAGGAAGAGATCTTCAATCTGAGTCCTGAAAAATGAGAAGGTGTTTCCTAGATGGACCCAAGAGTAGGGCTTTTCCAGGCCGAGAGCAGAGCTTGCATATGAGTGAAGGTGGGAAAGCAGTTGGAAAATAGTGGTGGAAAGAGAGGGTATGTTTCAGGGAAGTTGGACAAATGATGCAACTGGAAGGTAAGCAGGGATCAGGTACTGGCAGACTCTTAGGTCCCACTTTAAGGACTTTGGACTTGATTCAGTGGAGCTGCAGAAGGGTTTTCAGCACAGGGTGTGTTTGCATGTGTATTTGGCATATTTGGGCTGTGTTGAATGACCACAAACATTAAGGCTTTCCAGGGGTTAAAGGACAATTCCGGAAAGGAGCAGAGATTAGATGAACGAGTTGAATAATGGACATGATCCAAAGGCACCCAATAATCTAGGAGCTACTCAGATAGCTAAGACAATGGAGAAAGACGTTAAGGAAGGGGAATCTTCTAGGAAATGTTGCTAGGGGCGGAACCGTGGAAACTGATGAATGTTAGCTCCTTCCTCTGGGTTGGGGGCGGATAGCGAGCTCCTCTCACAAGCCTTTATTGAAGTGCAGTTGGTTTGAGAACTGGGAGGTGTAAATAGCTCCGCAGGTGATTGTGATACATATTAATCGTACTGCTCATTTGTGTTGGGGGCACAAAAGAGAAGGGAGAGATGAGACGAGAACTCATATCACGAGCTTGCTAGGCAGAGGTGACTCCCACATGAGAAGCAGTCTAGAATCTAGAACCTGGGCCACGTCTAACCTGGGCAAAAGCGGCCTCCATGCATCTGCTCCCTTGATTCATGGATGGTCTACATCCTGATCAACTCTCACCCCAGCAGGGCAGTAGCTTTTTGCTCTCCTGAAAACAGCCATGTGTGTGTTGTGCACAAAGCCAGGGCAGAGGAAGGAGCCCTGAGAACAAGCATGGAAGAGCTGGGTCCAGCCATCACACTGCTCCTTACTGGCTGGGTGGCCACGAGCAAATCACTTGACCTCTCTGAGCTACAAGATGATAACTTTTTAAAAGAAGGCAATGGAATCTGCCCCAGCTCCCTCACCCGGCTATGGCGAGGGTGGCTAAGGGGAGGGAAGAACTGCAGCCTGTGTTGGTGGCAGGCTCCAGAGTGGCAAGGAGGACAAGCAACTCCAAGTGAGGTCAGAGCTCAGTACCACTGTAAGACCTGCATGTGATTAAACATTAAACAGTAGCTGGGTGAGGTGCCTCACGCCTGTGATCCCAGCACTTTGGGAGGCTGAGGTGGGAGGATTGCTTGAGGCCAGGAGTTTGAGACCAGCCTGGGCAACATAGTAAGACCCTGTCTCCACAAAAAAAAATTTAAAAAAACAAGCCAGGCATGGTGGTATGCTCCTGTAGTCCCAGTCATTCAGGAGGCTGACAGGGAAGGATTGCTTGAGCCCAGGAGCTGGGGGCTGCAGTGAGCTATGGATCATGCCACTGCACTCCAGCCTGGGTGACAGAGTGAGACCCCATCTCTAAAAAAATAATAATAAAATAAAATAAACAGCAGAAAGGGCACAAGGGGATTTCCTGGGACCTTCGATAGGGTCTATAGTCTCAGGTGGTAGTTAACTGAAAGTATACATTTGTCAAAATTCATTGAGCTGGCTGGGTGCGGTGGCTCACGCCTGTAATCCCAACACTTTGGGAGGCTGAGGAAGGCAGATCACCTGAGGTCAGGAGTTCGAGACCAGCCTGGGCAACATGGTGAAACCCTGTCTCTACTTGAAATAAAAAATTAACTGGGTGTGGTGGTGCACGCCTATAATCCCAGCTACATGGGAGGCTGAGGCAAGAGAATCACTTGAACCCAGGAGGCAGACGTTGCACTGAGCTGAGATCACGACACTGCACTCCAGCCTGGGCGACAGAGCAAGACTCTGTCTCAAAAAAAAAAAAATTCATTGAGCTGTAGGCTTAAGATTTGTGCGTTTTACTGTATACTGATTATGCCTTAATTTAAAAAAAAAAGAAACAAGAAGATGAAAACATCTGCATTGAGAGTGGCTAGCTGTGCTTTCATCCATGGCACACGCGGCCATAGCAAGGCCACAGGGAAGGACCACTCCTCAGAGCCGAGCCCGGGGCTGCTGGGTTCTGGGCCGCAGCTCCCTCCCCAGATTCCTCAGCAGAAGGCCAGCACAGCTCTCTCGAGTTGTTCAAAACCTGCTGGTTTCAGTGCATTCTGGGAAAATTGTTGGCTTTTAAAAACAAACAGGATGCCCCGCGCTGAAAGGAGGGGGAGCCTCAGAACCACAGCTGAAGTAATAATGAAAAACGCAGCCGTCAGTGAATCAGTGGGAGAACAAATTCCCTGGAACACTCTGGCAGAGGGGCCCGAGAATTCTGGAAAGACGTCTTAACGAGATAAATGTGTATCCATTCACTGATTTGTGCCTCCTGACAGGACATGCTTCTCTAGCAGTGTCTGTATACAGTTGTGTGAGCGTCACAACTCTGGTGCCCGGGGCTTTTTGTATCCCACTGATTTGCACTTGACGATGAATGTCATTTCCTGTTGGCTCCCTGAACAGTGCTCTCTCTCCCGAGAGGGGACTCTGTCAACGTGGCTGCCTGGCTGTGTCTCCATGACCTTAGCTACCCACAGCAAAACACATCTTTTCCCTCGAAGCCACATGACCTCCTCTGATGGAACAGAACACAGTTCCCTAAGAGTTTACAGGACAAACATAACCACCTCCCCGAGGGGGTGTCAAGTCGTCACTGGTCCAGGCAGGAAGCTTGGAATCTAAGCAGCCACCTTTCCTGCAAGGAACTGTGGGGGCAGAGACTCCAGCCCCACGCTCCTCTCACTCATCTCTGGAGGCCAGAACCCTGTGGAGGAAAAAACAAGGCGGGGAGGGATCCAGCTTTCTCCAGAAGACAGGAACAGGGGAAAATGATCCCACTGCTGTTTCTCCTGGGAGCCACTGCAGGGATCATTTCAAATTCTCCTGTACGGCTGTTGTAATAAAGACAATAACTCAAAAGTTTTAGTGAGGCAGCCAACATGAAAAGTCAAGGACCTTAGCCATCCAAATGTTCACGGTACCTTCCCACATATTCTGCAAAGGGGAGCTTTCAGATAAGGCAGCAGGAGAAATATTGATGTGGATGGAGAGTGGCGGGGAGCAGTGATGGAGCTGGACTACAGAGCTGAATAGTGGCAGGAAGCCAGCTCCTGGCCCCATCAGGAGCAGCACATTCAGCATTTCTACCTTTCCCTCTGAGCCTTCTAGCAAATGCAGCCACGACTCCCTCTGAAATGAGCTCAGAAATACTGGCTCTCCCCCTGTCCCTCTGGGACCCCTCAGGGTCTTGGGGCTTCTCCAGGGTCACCAGGGACTTCTACCTTTCTCTGACAAGTTAAAGGGCTTAGTTCTTCTTTTATTTCCAGAATGCAAACCATAATCACTTTGCCTCCGCCGTGGTGCTGGCTGGCCCCTCGCATGATGGTTTTCATCAGAGAAACACCCATGAGCTGCAGTGGTATTCAGAATGACGTGATGCCAAGCCGAGGGGAAAAAATTGTTCAGAGACAGTTTACTGATATAAAACTGGCCAGGCCTTGAGGGAACAATGGACAAGTTCCTGGTTCCCCACCCAGTTGTACAGGCTGCAGGCTTGTCCTGGTGGCTCGTGTGACCTTGCCCCGGTTCCTCCCCTTGTAACTTCAGTTGGTTCCACTTCTGGACCTCAACACATGCACACACAGACATGTGCATGCACACACACACATCACACAGACACACAAAGAGCCCAGGGCACCAGGGTTGTGATGCTCACACAATTGTATACAGACACACATGCGCACACAGACACACACATGTACACAGAGACACATGCATGCACACAGAGACACATGCATACACACACACAGACTCTCACAGCCTTCTATCCCTGGCAGCAGTCTGGGGTTGCACTAAATATCAGAAGCATCAGCATAAATTTTACAAAGATTAACCT
Source organism: Homo sapiens (assembly GCF_000001405.40). Classification (NCBI taxonomy): domain Eukaryota; kingdom Metazoa; phylum Chordata; class Mammalia; order Primates; family Hominidae; genus Homo; species Homo sapiens. The sequence goes on from NC_000008.11 coordinate 38,684,141, forward strand.
CAAACAGACAGCGCAATGCCTGGAATTTCTACCTACTATGCGTATCTGCAAACATCTCAATTCACCCGATTGTGACAATTATAAATGCATGGGCCTTATTGCAGTCTCATGCTGTCTTTTCAGACTTGGTAACACACTTTGAGGGCTGGTTTTAGTCTTTGAGGTAAGACTGATGTCAAAGTGTCCAGTTTTTCCATTCATCCGCGAGTTTGCTGCCTGCAAAACATGTCTAAAATTATTCCTAATTCCAAGTCCTCTCTATGCAGTCAACCTCTCCAATGTAATAATTCCAAAACCTTTCTTGACTCCTGCTTTTAATAAAGTACATTTACAGAGGATATGAATTCCAGATTTGATTTCAAACTCTAGGGATGTATATTCCTCTTCTGGAACTTGTATATCCGGTCTTGGGATGAAAAAAAGGGGGGAGGAGAGAAAGAAAGAGAAAAAGAGGGGGATGGAGGGCCCATAGCATCACAAGCATTCCTTGTATTTCTTCTGTCTTTTACATGCTGAGCATGTAGGGCAGAGACAAGCTGATGCACAGCATCTGGTTAAAGTCAGGTAAGCAACACTCTGGGGAAAAAGCCTGAAGTCCGTTGCCAACCTCTTTCTCTTTCTAGTGTGTTTTTGCAGATGGATGAAAACTGCAGCCAATAAAGGTTTCAATTTTAGGTGATAAAGGAAGGAAGAAAGAAAGAGAAATAAAGAAAGAAAGAAAGAGAGAGAGAGAGAGAAAGAAAGAAAGAGAAAAGAAAAGAAAGAAAGAAAGAGAAAGAAAAGAAAGAAAGAGAAGAAGGAAGGGAGGAAGGGAGGGAAAGAGAGGAAGAAGGAAGGAAGGAAAGGAAGGAAGGAAGGAAGAAAGAAAGAAAGAAGGAAAAAGAAAGAAAGAAAGGAAAGAAAGGAAGGGAGGAAGGGAGGGAGGGAGGGAAACATTTTGTTCAATCACTGTCCTATCAACTCCATGCCATTTGGAACATTTGACACAACAAAAGGAACATGGAACCATGCCACCCCCAGACATCACCATGCCAGGAACATCTTCAGCCATGGATTCTCCTGAATGAAGGCTTGCAGATATGACTGGGCCTGGACACAGGAAACTGAAGTTGTGCTTCTGAGCACAAACTCCTGTCACCATTGTTCCATGGGCATCTTCTGCAGTTGTTGAAGGGGCTTTAACCTGAGGGTCCACGGCAACTGAAAAACAGCTCACAACTTGTTACATAAATGTTGAACCAGACTGGTCTAATGCAGATACACTTGTTCTCTCCATATGTCAGATAGGGATACTAATATCTGCCTCCCCTCTCTCCCACACTGGCCCAGAGTCCAGAGGAGCCTCTTCCCGTACCTTTTAAGAAGAAGGTTAGAGTGTGGTGCAGGGTCACCAAGGCACTCACCCTACTCAGAGTATGGAGGACTTGTGAATATGCTCTGATTTTTCCTAGGAGCCCCAGCCCCACTATGACGTGGGAAACTAAATTTACTCCACCCTCTAATCTCAGTCCAATCTCATGCTCTGGAAGTTTTCTTAAGATTTCTCTTCTGAAGAAATACCCAGAGTTTCAGATGTCTCTCTCCTTTCTTTCTCTCACTAAGATGGCACCAGGGTGTAGGAGGAGGGTGGATTGTATTCTCATGGCAGGAGAAGAGCAGGCTTGATTCCACATGGTGTTTTCTGGATACTCGCTCTGTTTGTTGCATGGTGGCTGATCTGGGCTGCCCCCTGGACTGGTGACCACTGATGTGTCGCTTGTCCCATACCTTGGCATTCTGCCAGTATCTGCCGAAGACTATGGGTTGGGTAGCTTGTGGTTCATTTCATCTCTTGGCTGAGTCAGAGCCCAGCCCCCACCTACTTTTTTATTTTTCCTAATTTGACCCCTTTGGCTCTCTATTCCTGTGGGTCCCTGGGTCTGGCTATGACTCCAGTGAGGTCAGGACTCAGGCAGTTCATTTTGCAGTCCTTGGCCACAGCACCATTTTGCCCCCCACCGCAGTCATCCTCTCTGGTAAGTTCTCCAGCCAGACTCAACCAGCATCTGTGCCCCACCCCTGCAGAGGCATGCAGGAGATCCTGAATTCTTTCCACACCACACAGGAACTGAGGGCAACTTGGGAAAGCCAAACTTTAGCCCTTCCACTGCTTAACCACACTGGACTGCTGAGTTTACAATGATGTGGCCGCTCCCAGATGGACCTGGGAGCCTATGTTTCCATGTAGAGTCTTGAATATGAAATGGGGGGAAAGAACCCTGTGTGGACTTTAACTTATTGAACACACCCTTCCCTCTGGGCATTCCAGAAACAGAAAATCAAGATCGATGTGTCTCTCCAGCATCTGTCTCCCTTCTTCTTCTCATGGTCCTTTGGGACCAGAAATGGGCAGGCTTTCTGCCTCTACAATTTATCATTCTCCTTTTACCCTAAAGCATCTGCCTCCCTTCCCAGCCCAGTCATTTTAAACAGAACCAGTGCTTGCAGGCATGGAAATGACTGTGATCTGAGTTTTACCTACAACCTTGTTTCTCAGATGTTCAATGGGAGCTAAAGAAATTTAGAAAATCCTATTTCTCTCCCAACAAAGCCTAGGTTTTGCAACTACTGTTTCTACAAAAATCCTACTTTGGATTGGAAGACTTTCAATATTAACTTTTTTTGCATTGATGCTGTAGAAATCTAAAGGTAAGTATGTCTCTGGCAAAAGGGTAAAGGGTAAGCCAGTCAATAAACACAAAAGAGAAAAGTATATTAATATTATTCCAAAAATGTTATCAGATGACCTTCAAAATGCCTTCCAACTTAAAAGTATTTGATTTCTGAGATGATGGTGCTTGAGGATTCAGTTTGGAAAGATAACACACTTTTCAAGTGTGTACATATATACTAACTTTATTATCATCTTTCTTATGTTTTCAAAGTGTTAACCCCTCAGAAGCTGGCCCAGGGCAGAGTTAACCTTGACGAATGGCCATTTAACCTGTTGATTCTGAATGATGCTTAGCAGCATCTAGCAATGTCTCTTCTGGCAAAACTGTTTCATGAATTATTCTGAAACCTCTGCCTTGAGCTAGTTTCCACTCTAATATGTCACAGTCCTCCTATGCCCGGTTCTGCATGCGCAGACTCACCCAACTGGCTGGGGATCGAAAATATTGCAGGCGGGGGAAACCACAATAAAAATTAGGCTGGGTGCAGTGGCTTGCACCTGTAATCAGCACTTTGGGAGGCTGAGGCTGGAGGATTGCTTGAGCCTAGGAGTTTGAGACCAGCCTGGGCAATATAGTGAGACCCCATCTCTACAAAAAATTTATTTTAATTAACCAAGCAGCACGGCCTGTAGTCCCAGTAACTTGGGAGGCTGAGATGGGAGGATTGCTTGAGCCTGGGTGGTTGAGGCTGCTGTGAGCCAAGATCTGCCATTGCACTCCAGCCTGAGTAATAGAGTGAGACCCTGTGTCAAAAAAGAAATAATAATAATAAGAAGAAAACAATACAGGCCAGGTGTAGTGGCTCACACCTATAAACCCAACACTTTGGTAGGCTGAGGTGGAACGATGGTTTGAGCCCAGGAGTTTGAAACCAGCCTGGGCAACATAACGAGACTCCATCTATACAAAATTTTTTAAAAAAATTAGCCAGATGTGGTGGTGTGCACGTGTAGTCCCAGCTACTTGGGAGGCTGAGGTGGGAAGATTGCTTGAGCCCAGGAATTCAAGGCTGTAGTGAGCTATGATTGCATCACTGTACTCCAGCCTGGGTGACAGAGTGAGACAGGAAAAAAAAAAGAAGGAAAGAGAGAGAGAGAGAGAGAGAGAGGAAGGAAGGGAGGGAGGGAGGAAGGGAAAGAAAGAAAGAAAGATGAAAGAAAAAGAAAGAAAGAAAGAAAGAAGGAGAGAAAGAAAGAAAGAAAAAAGGAAAAAAGAAAGAAAGGAGAAGAAGGGAGGGAGGGAGGAAGGGAAAGAAAGATGAAAGAAAAAGAAAGAAGGAGAGAAAGAAAGAAAGGAAGAAAGAAAGAAAAGAAAGAAGGGAGGGAGGGAAAGAAAGAAAAAGAAAGAAAGAGAAAGAAGAAGGAAGGAAGGAAAAGAAAGAAAAAGAAAGAGAAGGAAAGAAAGAGAGAGAAAGAAAGAGGGAAGGAAGGAAGGAAGGACGGAAACAATACAGTATAGTAACCATTTACATAGCATTTCCATTGTTTGAGGTATTATACATAATCTAGGGATGATTTACAGTATAGGAGAAAAGCCAGGCATGGTGTCATGAGCCTAGAATCCCAGTTACTTGTGAGGCTGACGGGGAAGGATCCCTAGAGCCCAGGAAGCTGCAATGAGCTATAATGGCACCACTGTGCTCCAGCCTGGGCAACAGAATGAGGATGTCTCGAAACTAAATAAATAAATAAAATAAAGTATATGGCAGAATGTGCGTAAGTTACAGGCAAATACTACACCATTTTATATGAGGGATTGAGCATCCTCAGATTTTTGTATCCTTGGAAACCCTGGAATCAATTCCCCATGGATCCCGAGGAACAACAGTGCTTTGGAGATTAGAAATCAGATTCTGCTTGCTGTGCCTTTTCACTTGGGTGACTCACTTTATCCCCACCCCACCCCTTTGTTCTCATACCTCCTGAGAGAACCAACTGCCATGAAGTGGGAAAGGAATTAGAGAAGATGGGTTCCTCAGCTGCTCAAGAAAGAAGACAGACAAGTCTACTATAGAAGAGAATTTGCCTTTTCAGTGGAGGAGATAAAATTAATACTGAGACAAATAGAAAACAAAATTAAACATTAAGTATCTTCTATAAGAGCAATATAAATCCAAGAAGAAAGACTGGTCTGAGATTTCACAGATGACTGGAAGGATGTCTAGATTGGGATAAGCATGAGAGAGGAGAAACGACTTAGCAGGGGAAATAACAATGAAGGCATAGGCATAAGAAGATGGGCAAGAGATGGGGACTATGAGGAGACCTGCTTGACAGGAGAGAAGAGAATGGAGGACCCAAGAACCAGGGCTACTGTGACAGACAGTGGAGTGCCACTGGAGGCTCATAGCATGCAATGTGATGAGGACCACTGAGCTTTTAAGATGACTGGGGACAAGATGGCTGTAATGTAGGAAGTGCCTAAAGCTGGAGAGGCCGTTGTCTGGTTAGTCAACTGGACTATGGTCATGGCAGTAGGAGAGAAGAAGAAAAAGCAAATTCTAGAGACACATACAACAGATAAATAGGAATTCCTGATAATTGGCTGGATATGGGAAATGAAGGAAAAGGAACTTAAGGGATTTTGGTATCAAAGATAGGGAGAAGGGTGATGCCTTTGTGAAGAAGAAAATCAGCTGACTGGAAAGGAGGCCTATGATAAAGTGGAAGGGTAGCAGAGGAAGAACCCCATCTAAAAGAAGAGTAATGGTTTCTCTTGGTTATTGGGAACTTGACCTCCCAGATGGAACAGTCAAATTGGACCCAAACAATACCAAACATTTTGGCAATGTGGATGGTTCTGTCTACTAGCAATTGGACCTATGGCTCTCAATCATCAATTAAAGAAGTCATAAACCTGCCTGCTTCACCAGATGGATGTGAGGACAGGAGGCTGCACACCACTGCAAGTTAGGCTCTGGAGCCATGCTGGCTTTTTTCAAATCTCTGCTCCACTACCTACTAGCTGTGTGGTTTGGGCAAATTACAAAACCTCTCTGTGCCTTACCCTCACCCATAAAAATAGTGATAATTATACCTACCTCATAAACAAGATCATTTGTGTTGAGCACTTGAAACTCAACATAATGACTCAACTTAATCTTGACTCAAAAATTGTTAGCTATTTATTAGTACCATCAAATACAATAATAAAAGTACTAAAATAATTTATAAATTTCAAAGTTTTCAACAAAGGGAAAGATTTTTTTTTTTTCTGGTAGAGACAGTGGGGTGGATTGGAAAAAGTACTGGACTTGGAGTCTTGATTGTAATCTCCTAAATCTACTACCAATTTTGTTACTTGAGGCAAGCTTTTTTTTTTTTTTTAAACAGAGACAATTAAAAAAAATTTTTTTTAACTAGAGACAATTTTTTTTTTTAAATTGTTCTGTTGCCCAGGCTGGAGTGCAGTGGTGCAATCACAGCTTATTGTAGCCTCGAACTCCTGGGCTCAAGCAGTCCTCCCACTCCAGCCTCATGAGTAGCTGAGACTACAGGTGCATGACACCAAGCTTGGCTAAGTTTTAAAAGATTTTTTTTTGTAGAGATGAGGGTCTCGCTATGTTGCACAGGATGACCTCAAACTCCTGAGCATGAGTGATCCTCCTGCCTCGGCCTCCCACAGTGTAGAGATTACAGGTGCAAGCCACTGCACCTGGCTAGGGCAAGCTTGTTAACCTCCAAGAAGTCTTAGTTTTCTCATGTAATTAATGTAAGTAATAATGCATGTCCTACCTACCATAGGGTTCTGAAAATAGAAAGAGATGAGTCATGTGAACCTATTTTGTAAACTATGAATGTTTTAGAAAGGAAAGGTATTAATTAGTCATTACCATGATGGATATATTAAAAACCCATACTTCATTTATGTGCTATGGTCAGAATTAATACCCAATTCTTGGAAATGCTTTCACCATGCCTCAAAATAGCATTCCATCACAATCTTATTTGCACAGGTTCCATGGCTTAATTGCCATAGAAGATGTTCAGTAGTCCCCTGAAGAGGAGTGAAGTCTTGAATTACTTTACATTGGCCTGGGCTTTGGAAATGGAAGGCAGTTACTCTGAATAGAATCATTGTAGAGCTTTGCACATTTATTATTTGTTTTAGTTAGGCCAACCCACAGGGTGGGGATGGATGTAGAGGGGCCTGGTCAACCATGAAACTGAATTTCTAGCTCTAATCAATCCTTTTAGAAAAAGCCCCAGCCTTCCTAATTTCTAAGTAATGTCCATCATGAACTGCACCTCCTTGAAGGTGAAGGCTCTTCCCGGGCCCTCCCTGGCTCAGTAGTGCTGAGTCATTAGTATGGATGGTTCATAAGAAAACAAAGCTTTGAAAGGCAGGACAGAAACAAATTCTGACTTGACCCCAAACAGCTCCCAAAGCTCAGGGTTTACTTTCCCTCTCTACACATCAATCTCAGCCCTCGGGGGGCTAGCAAGATGGGAGCAGAGTTCAGGGCACCCTTCAATCAGGAGTGGTGCTTTAGGCAGCATGGACAGGCCATGAATTATGTGAGCTCATTAAAAATATCTTTCTTTAGTCATTTCATATTCCTTTATAGAATGTAGCTCTATTTTGACCTTGGACCAGAATGGAACAAAGATTTTAACTTAACAACCCCTTCATCTGCTAATGAGAGGACACCTCTTGCACTTCAGCTTCCTCTCTCACTTGAATGTTTTTTTGGTTCAGTTTTAATTTTTTGTATTATATTCATTTATGTGCTCAATTTAGGTATTGAAAGTTCTAACTGTTGCCTGCAGAAAGGGTACAAGCCTCACAACTTTTGCCATGAATATGCATAGAGATTGACCTTTGGGAACCATTGTTCTACACTTCAGCATGGGGCCAATCTGAAATCAGGGTACATTTTCAAGCCATCAGGTACAACTTACAGCTCCATACACCAAGACCTGTCCTTGGCACCATTCCCCCTGGCCTGTGGCAATCACAGTAAGTGGAACTGGCTCCAGTTCTGGATCCGGCCTTAAAGCTCTGAGCAAGAAGCTTTGTCTGCCACTTCCGGTTTCCAGTAATCCTCATATGAGTAACCATCAGGAATAAAGCACATTCAGAATGCCTAAAAAATAAAATGTAACTACAGAACATTTCAGAATGTGTGGCTTTATCTTTTACTTCACAGAGTATTGAGGTGACATTTGGAAATCACAATTAAAGTACAATTTAGTGCTATTAATATGGATTTAAAAGATAGAAAACCACTAGTTTGGTTCTTGACATGAATTTTTTTTCCTTTCTTTCTTTTTTTATTAGAGATAGGGTCTTGCTCTGTCACCCAGGCTGGAATGCAATGGTTTGGTCCTTACTCACAGCAGCCTTGAACTCCTGGGCTCAAGTGTTCCTCCCACCTCAACCTTGCCACATATTTTAAACTGACACTACTCACCCTCTCCAAATTCTTTATTAAATCAGAATGGGGGAAGACAGGGTCAGAAATCTACCTCCTACTCTAAAAGTACAGGCATTTTCATGTGCATTACAAGCATATTAAAATATATATGCATTTTGAATTTAGCTGTGTTTAAATGGATTCACCACATTAATGAAACCACTGTCACAGGGTTAACTGGAATTATAAGCCAGGCTTTAGGCAGAATTATAGCTAGGCATTGTCTGGGATATAAAAACTGATGCACTTTGACCCATTTCTCTGCAGCTGCTAAGTAACCAGAAGTCATGTAGCTCACTGACCACGTGCTCCCCCATTGTTCCCATAGATAGAATCTCTAACGACTGTACCTTTTTACCCAAGAATTGCTTTGCTTGAGGTGTTTTTCAGATCCTGAATTCCAGCAGAATGGCTGACTCCAGCTGGTCTGAAGACCCCCATCAAGGAACTGACTCAGCACAGGAATGCAGTTTCTTTATCTCCCTGTCCCATGATGTCACCCCTCACTTCTCAATCAGTGATGATCATACTTTTTAGTCCTTTACCAAACAAGATCCCTTAAACACTCCATCCCCAAACCTCTTGCGGGGGCAGATTTGAGGTTTTTTCCCATGTCCTCATTTGGCTGCCTTGCAATTGTTAAACTCTTTCTCTGCTGCAACTCCTGCTGTTCCAGTGTATTGGTATGTTACCACACAATGGGCAATTGAACCTGGTGGTCCTGTAACATTAACATCTGACTTAATTATTTTACAGCAGTGTATCTGGGAATGAAGTTGTGGTTTTCAGTCTCCCAGCTAGCCTGCCTACCACAGTAGATTTGGATAGAGGAAGCAAAATAACATAAGTAATTTCTAACAAGATCCTACTTCTCTTGCAGCGGCAAATTTTCAGTAAGGGTAACTGTACCTTTTTGACTTTGAAAATAATTACCTAATAAAAATTAAAAACCTACTTTGGGAGGCCGAGGCAGGATTACTTGAGGACAGAAGTTCAAGACCACCCTGGAAAACATAGAAAGACCCTGTCTCTATAAAAATTTTAAAAATAAAAAAATTAGCTGAGTGCAATGACATGTGCCTGTAGTCTAAGCTACTCAGGAGGCTGAGTGGGAAGGATTGCTTGAGTCCAGGAGTGTGAGTCCAGGACTGTGACCTTGACATGGTTTGGCTATGTCCACATTCAAGTCTCATCTTGAATTGTAGCTACCATAATCCCCATGTATTGTGGGAGGAACCCAGTGGGAGGTAATTGAATCAAGAGGTAGGTTTTTCCCATGCTGTTCTCATGATAATGAATATGTCTCCCGAGATCTAATGGTTTTATAAAAGGTAGTTCCCCTGCACACGCACATGCTCTCTTGCCTGCCACCATGTAAGACGTACCTTTGCTCCTCCTTTGCCTTCTGCTATGATTGTGAGGCCTCTCCAGCCAGGTGGAGCTGTGAGTCCATTAAATCTCTTTTTCTTTAAAATTACTCAGTTTTGGGTATTTCTTCATAACAGTATGAGTCAAACTAATACAGACCTATAATCATGCCACTGCACTCTAGCCTGGGCAGTGGAACAAGATCTTGTCTCTAAAAAAAAGGAAAGAGAAAAAGAGAAAGAAAGAAAAACATTAAGAACCCTGAAAGACTTTAGCTTAAAGTTCTGCAAAGTAGAAAAACACAATTTGGTCCCAGTGAACTCTTTCATCTCACTATTGCCAGACTCTGGGTTCTGCATTCTCAGCTAATTCAGAGAAGTAGATTTCTGCAAAGACAATTCTATACAGAAGTATAAATCCTTCTGCAGTTCCAGCCCAGGGATTCATGAGAGGTTTACCCCCATCATCCTTTCCTCTTTCTCCCAGTTCTAGTAAGAAGACAGCTTGGAGGCCAGCCATGGTGGCTTACGCCTGTAATCCCAGCAGTTTGGGAGGCTGAGGCGGGTGGATCACCTGAGGTCAGGAGTTCAAGACCAGCCTGGCCAACATGGTGAAACCCCGTCTCTACTAAAAATACAAAAAATACAAAAGATAAAATACTAAAAATACAAAAAATACAAAAATTAGCCAGGCATGGTGGCAGGCACCTGTAATTCCAGCTACTCAGGAAGCTGAGGCAGGAGAATCGCTTGAACCTGGGAGGCGGAGGTTGCAGTGAGCTGAGATTGCACCATTGCACTCCAGCCTGGGGGACAAAAGTGAGACTTTGTCTCAAAAAAAAAAAAAAAAAAAAAAGACAGTTGGGCACCATGAGGAATTTGCTTATGTGCATCATTCTGCTGTCATCAGCTGAATGCCACCTCATTTTGGGCACAAGATAGATACTGTCAGTCACTGCAAACCATGTCATCAATGATGTCAAGAGAAAAACAGTTTTCCCTAATTCTCTTTCTAGGTTCCTTCTATCCAGTGTACTAAAACTCCCATAGCTATAGACAGGGCAGCTGGATAATTTCAGGCTCACAAATGGATAGAGCAGCACTGTATCCCATCACATAAGGGTTGGTCATTTCTCATTTACAGTGCATTGCAAAGAGCCTAGGTAGGGAGGCTGAGTGTGTCTTAACTCCCATTTGGATAATTGGCACTCAGAGTCTATGCAAAGAAAAGAAAGATCAGTTAATAAACTCTCATCACTGCCCAACATCCTGTACATCCGAAGTGACCTATGAAGCTTCTTTTACTTTCTGGGGCCCCAAAAACATGCCACCAACTGATTCAGGATCAGAACCAATGAGTCCAGGATAAACAGGTCGTTGGGGATCCTTGCCTTCCCTGGGGGTTGGGTTGGTCTGCTTGGCTGATCTGAGTCTGGAGTCTGGTGTGCCTGGGATGAGCACCTCCAGAGACTGAGTGTCACCCAGAACATTTGCCCTGCCTCCAGCCATCCCAGGGTTGACTTCACTGTTCCAGGCCCTTGAATTTGGTCATTTGGACTGTTGCTCCTCCCTGATAGGAATCTACCTTTTGTCCTCTTTCATAGTAGACAGGCTTGACCTCCTTCCAGTGACAGGTCATACAGGTGACCTGCCACCAGTCTCTATATGACTCACATTTACAAGATACTTGTATTAGAATAGGCTAGGTTGTGCTGTGATAAGAAATTAACCCCTGGATCCCAAAGCCGAAAACAAAAAAAGTTTATTTCTTGCATATGCTATATGTCCATTGCAAGTCCAAGTTGGGCATGTATGTGTTGAGGGAATTCTGCTCCATCAGTAACTCAAGGATCCAGGCTGATGGAGGCTCTACCATCAGTACCGGCAACAGCTAGGACATCTACAACACAGGACTCCTTCGGTCTCCTCGGCAGCCTGGACCTCTCTCCTGCGCTTCAGTGCTTCAGTAGGAGTGATCGGTGTCACTTTTGCTCACATCCCATTGGTATGGAGTCACCAAGCCCCATCTAACCAAAAAGGGCTGGGAAAGCTTGTCTTCTGTGTGCCTAGAGAGAGTGGGAAACCAGATTTTGGTGGGCACTAGTAATATCTACCGCAAGGTGTATACTTTTGTATATAATGAATAAATACCAGGCACCACAAGGAAGATGTCACTCTGAGCAGCACAGATGTTTCATGAATCCTCACAAGTTTGCCTCTGTAGCCTCAAGCAGGCACATGCAGTGTTCAGAGGATATTTCCTCCCACTGAAGAAGTCAAAGACCAAAAATGTTTTCAGGAGTGCTGTTTCAGATAGCCAAGCTCCAGGGCAGCAACTTGGATGCCCTGAACAGTGGGGTCCATGACACACTGAAACAGCCCCTGATGAGTTAATGCCAGAGCAGTCTGTGGTGCTGTCCGCTTGCAGGCGTGCATGCTTGGTTGGCACTTAGAATTCATGTTGAGCATGGCAGGCTGGGCCTGCTCTGAGAAGCCAGAGTATAACTTACTGGAACAGAAACCACATCAAAAAGCTTCTCACATGAGGAACCCAAACCCCACATCAGAATGCGTTGGATAGTGTAGAACTCCTGAAATGTAATGTGTATTCTTCCCTGGGAATTAAGAACATGTGGGCCCAGTGCTAATTATAGCCCACCCTTAATGTGTTTTTAATTAGAGATTGAGACACTTGGGTTTTAGGGGCCAGAACTGACCTGGCTATTAGATGGAGGCCCCACTGACTGTTTCTAACTTCTACAGAACTTAAATAAGCTGCACACTGTAAGTGCGCAAAACGTTGTTCTTTAGGATGATGATATCTATCTTGTGTGATTTATGGTGATAGGGATAAAACTCAGCTGAATTTACTCTGCTGGTTCTTTAAAAGATAAAGACATATACCCAGGTGCTGCCTTAATTTCTTGGCAGCCAGTAGAAAAAGCTGGTTGCTTTCAGGATCTGAGAACCACTAGCAAACTAGTTATTAACAACAACAATAATAATTTTTTTTACCATTCATTGTATGTCTACTCAGTTCTAAGGCACCGTTTGAAGAATTTAGCACAAATTATTTCATTTAATCCTCACAACGGCCTATAAGGAAGGGACTATTATTATCTTGTTCATACAAGTGAGGAAACTAAGGCCTAGAAAGTTTAAGGAACTTGTCCAAAATCCAGAAACTTTAGAAATACTGGAGCTGAGTTCTAATGTGGGTATGTCTGATTGCAAAGTCCATGCAGGTTTCAGAATAATTTCCTTTTAACAACCCAACTAATAGGAAAATTTTAAAATATTAAAGTGAAAAATTAACAAGATAAATGTCATTTGTCATCTACTTTTCAGAGATATTCACTCTCACAATTTGGTGTGAGGATAGCTTGGGCTTTTCCAAGCTATTCCAATGTTGCTCACAGGTGACTGGACTTCCTTGTCCTTCCTCTGTGTCTACCTTCAAGGCACGTCAACATCCCCTGGGATCATTCCCCTAAAGAATCCAATCCAACACAGAAATAATTGCCAGATACAGTCATGCAGCTTTTACCGACACGTTTGTAGCAATCTGGAGGAGACTACACGCAACCATCTAGCCAAATCATCCCCCACCCCAGCCCTCTGGACAACTCATTGTCTGTCCTTTTGTCTCCTTCAGACATCTCTTGCTTTCTCATGAAAAACAATTTTTTCACCCTCTTCCCTTTTCTAATTTGCATCCTCACCTATCACCCTGCTCTGGAAAACAGCAGGTTCTTCTCAGGATACTCTCTCCTCAAAGGCAGGGGTCAGGATGATAAACAATGAATAAATTTACTCTCATCTCTCACACACATTTCCTTACAAAGATAAGTTTATACTGTTAAGTAACCAACTTTCCTTTCCTCAAGAGTATATTCTGTTATAGAGGAGAAATCTTCAAGTTCTGTTTGTGATTATTTTTCTAGGTTGATGAGGAAGGAAGAGCAGGTTGTCAGCCTGTGCACTGGGAGATTTCTGGTAGAACAGTTTCAGTCATATGCTTTTGAGTCATGAAAGTCATTCTGTCTATATTTAGGTTAGTATTTAATATATTTTGGTTTAAAGTATACTGTGTGAAAGAGAAAACTTTGTACAGGTCACCAAGACTGACCATATAAATGTTATTTCTACTATTAGTCAAACTCTGTTTTATTGAGTAAGAGAAAGCAATGGCACCAATAATAGACTCTATTTTTCCTCCATTGTCCTGCATCTATTCTTCTGACTACAGAGTCAACAAGCCACTAAGACAGAAGTCTGAGCCTCATTTCCAATGGAACATTCTTTGCGAGCTGCATGGGTGGAGCCAGGCAGACCAGCTTCTGGCAGCCAGGAATTCCTCATGTAAGAGTGCTGAGGCCCAGTCAGGGGAGTGGGGCTTTGGGACACATTTGTTTGTCTAAATTATTGGTCTTTAGACACTTGTGATCACGTATTATATGGTAGATTAAAGATGGCCACAAATTATTTGGCAGACTACTCATTAATAGATGGGGTCTATCCCTCTAGCCCTTGAATCATGAACGGACTCTTGAACTGCTTTGACCAATAGACTATGATACAGGTGATGTTATGGCATTTTCTTGCTCCAAGCCTTAAAGACTGGCAGCTTCTACTTCCTATCTCTTAGAACATTTCCTCTTGGAACGCAGCTACCATGCTGTGAGGAAGCCCAAACAGCCCACTGGAGAAACCATATAGAAAAAACTGAGACTCCCATCAGCCAACAGCCTTGGCTGAGCTCCCAACTGATAGTCAGCACCTACTTGCCAGCCATGTGAGTATACCATCTTGGAGGCAGCTGCTCCATTTGATGCTACTTGGGGCAAAGATGAACAGCCCAGTTGAGTGCTTTACAAATTCCTGGTCCACAAGATTATGAATGAGCCACCAGCTTTTCAGTTTGTTTGCTACACAGCAATAGGTGACCAGAACATACTTTATCATCAAAAACATTTTAATAATCTTTGCATATGTATTTGTTATATACTATCCTGTTTTATTATGTGCATTAGAAAACACATTACTTATAAGGCACATGTATTATGTTCATTATAAAACACATTTATTATATTTTTACATTAAAAAGGGTTAACTAGAAATAGAAGTTCTAAGATTTTCTTTTCACAGACCAGTGCTTTATTTTGAGGATACATACATTTTGGTGACCATTGGTCTAGAATAGATGATACTTTGAGACCCAACTCAATGCCAACAGATAATCTCCTAATATTAGTGAAATATTTGAAAATTGGAGCATGTATAGATAGAACCAGCACATGCTCTAACAGGAAAAAATTAACCTCATATCTATGGACAGCCAAATTTGACCCAAGCAAGGATACACAAACTTAATTTTTGCCACTTCTATACAGCTCTCTTTTTAAGGCCCACAACCAACAAGTAGGGTTTTTTTGTTTGTTTGTTTGTTTGTTTGGCATGGGGTTAAGAGTGATTCATTCGATTCTTGCTGCAGCCTAGGGAGAATTAATTGTTTTATTTTATTTTATTGAGACAGCATCTCACTCTGTCACCCACGGTGGAGTGCAGTGGTGCAATCTCGGCTCACTGCAACCTCCACCTCCCGGGTTCAAGCGATTCTCCTGCCTCAGCCTCCTGAGTAGCTGGGATTACAGGTGCATGCCACCATGCCTGGCTAATTTTTGTATTTTTGTAGAGATGGAGTTTCACCATCTTGGCCAGGCTGGTCTCAAATTCCTGCTCTCAAGTGATCCACCCGTCTCAGCCTCCCATAGTGCTGGGATTACAGGCACGGACCACCGCGCCCAGTCAGCCTAGGGAGAATTTAAATGTATTAGTCCAAAGCCAGTTCACAATATATGAATATTGTTCCAAGTCAGTAAATAAAATTCCACATCATTATTTTAATAAATACATGGTATTCCAATTGGTGGACAGATAATTTTTTTTTTTTTTTTTTGAGACAGAGTCTCTCTCTGTCGCCCAGGCTGGAGTGCAGTGGCATCATCTCGGCTCACTGCCAGCTCCGCCTCCTGGGTTCAGGCCATTCTCCTGCCTCAGCCTCCCAAGTAGCTGGGACTACAGACACCCGCCACCAGGCCCGGCTAATTTTTTGATTTTTAGTAGAGATGGGGTTTCACCGTCTTAGCCAGGATGGTCTCGATCTCTGACCTTGTGATCCGCCCGCCTCGGCCTCCCAAAGTGCTGGGATTACAGGCGTGAGCCACCGCGCCCCGCCAATTTTGTTTTTATGTCATTGGATATTCAGGCTGTTTTCCAACTTCTGGTGATTAAACAATCATTCTCATAGCTAAATCTTTGCATATCTCCTTATTTATGTAATTATTTCTTTCAGATGCATTCCTAAAAGAAGAATGGTTGATTATAGACAAACAATGGATATGAATAAGCATTGTCAAATTTATCTCCAGAAGGTTTGCACCAGTTTATAATTTCTCCAACAATGTTAATTACCCAGCACCCTCAGCAGTAGTTCGTACTGTAACTTAAAAAATAATTTTTGGGCCAGGTGCAGTGACTTACGCCTGTAATCCCAGCACTTTGGGAGGCCAAGGTAGGCAGATCACCTGAGGTCAGGAATTCAAGACCAGCCTGGCCTACATGGTGAAACCCCATCTCTACCAAAAATACAAAAATTAACTGGGCTGGTGGTGGCGGGCACCTGTAATTCCAGCTACTCGGGAGGCTGAAGCTGGAGAATCACTTGAACCCAGGAGGTGGAGGTTGCAGTGAGCCGAGATCATGCCATTGAACTCCAGCCTGGGTGACAAGAGTGAAACTCTGTTGCAAAAATAATAATAATAATAATAATTTTTGTCAACTTAATATAAAGACTGTGCTAGACATATACACATGTATTTCATGTATTATACACCCTTTGTGCCTATTTTTCATATTTACTTTTATAAGCTGCCTCTTTTTTGTGGGAAGGAATAAAGCATACTGCAAATAAACAGTTTTAAAGAAGTATTTCCTAATTCTTGGAGAGATAGAAATGGCAGTTTTATTAGTCAATAACTCCTTTCATTTGCAAGTATCACAAACACGACTCCAATTGGCTTAAGCCAAAAAGGAATTTCTTGGCTCACTGAAGAGTTTCAGGCACAGCTGGACTCAATGGTTCAAATAATAACATCAGGACTCTCTCTGTCTCCATGTCTCAGCTTTGTGGCCTCTGCTCGCCTTCATTTCCAGACAGACTCTTACTTCATGGCAGCAACGACCTGGAGAAACAAAAGAGCGTTAACAAAAGGCCCAAGAAAACTGATTGGCCAACTTAGGTCATGTGCCCCTACCTGAGCCAATTGCGGTGGCCGGGATCATGGAAGATTGACTGACGAGGTCTTCGTTCCATATCTTTAGTAGAGGACAAGGTGGGTTTCACCACAGCCAAACTAAGCGAGTAGTATTATAGAATTAGGGGCTGGGAGATTCCGTAAGGAAGGAAAGCTGGACAGACGAAAAAAACAAAAGCATATCTCCACTTGAACAGATCTGATAGATTTTGACCAACCCACAGCTCTTTCTGGGTTCTGTAATGAAAGGCAATCGGATGCAATGGAAATCCTGTCTAGGAGCCGGGAAACCTAGAATTAGTCCTACCTTGGTCACTACTACCTGTAGTAGCTCTCTAAGCTCAAATATCTCATTCTGATGAGATAGGGAAAGATAAATGCCCACCTTACCTAAAATGATTCTGGTAAAACTTCAAATGAAATTATGAATGCAAAAATGTCAAGAATAAAGGATCATGCAAATATATGTTGCATGCAAATAAAAATAAAACTTGGAAATCTGTATTTCCCATTGTGGTTTCACATACCTTCCCTTTGAGAAACCAAGAGAAAAATCAGTGCATTGTGGCTCTGAGGCCCATACCTCGCTTAACCTTGGCAGTTCACTTTAACTGTGCTCGAAGTCATGTTGAAATGTCCTCAGGAAACAGGAAAGGGTAGCAGCTAAAAGTTGAAAACAGTACTGACGTCACACTATGCTAGTTTCTTTCTAGGAACATTTGTATCCTGTCTGTCTTTGCTTTCCAGCTAATTAACAAGCCCGTGACCTTCCTTAGCACGAGGATGACCACAGTCCAGCGTGGAGCAGCAGGAAGTGGACGGCCATGGAATTGCAATCCAGCTGCGTCCCAGCTCGGTGGAGGGCCAGAGCAAGAAGCCAGGCATGGGGGCTCTCTGAGAAGCTGAGCACTTCTGGATGGGAAATTTGTTTGAAAATAGTCATATGCAGGCAAGGGGTGAGCACGTAGAATTATGCACAGGGCCTGTGTTTCACCCAGTTACCCAGAGAAACCTGCACTAATTGTTCTCAGCCAACAACACAGAACAGTTAATGCTCTGCTCCGAACAGGGAAGCAAGGCTTTTGCCCACGTTCCTGCTCATGCCTGCCAGACTACGGCAGGAGATGGGAGGCGCAGCCAAAAGAAGCTCCAGCCAGCTTCTCAGCAGGGAATGCTCATGTGTAGGTGACTGTCTGCAGAATGGGGATTTGAGAGGTATACCCGCTCCCCAAATGCAACCCTCTTATCCCCTCAACAGCCTGCCAAGTTGCTGCCTCAAATCCCCACAATTCAGACAGTTCCTCTAGAGGCACAGTATTGTCACCAGAAAGCCCGGTTAAAATACAGATATGGTGAGAGGGTAGATAGGGAGAGAGACTAAAAAACCCATTAAACCATTATCCTCCATTGAACCATTATCCCCTAGGAAAGGTAATATCGGGGGAAGGGGATTCAGAGAGGGTGATTAAATAGGGGACCAGAATGAGGACCCGAGATACTTGAGGGGAATGAAGAGTCCTGAAGATACATTTTGCCTGTCTCTGAGGCTGTTAAAAATTACTTAAATTGGAGGCAGGGTGCAGGGGAGTGGGTATGATTAATGGGTACAAAATATAGGTAAAAGAAATGAATACGATCCAGTATTTGATAGCACAACAGGAAGACTGCAGTCAACAATTTATTGTACATTTAAAGAATAACTAAAAGAGTATAATTGTAATGTTTGTAACAAAGAAATCATAAATGCGGCCAGGTGCGGTGGCTCACGCCTGTAATCCTTGCACTTTGGGAGGCCAAGGCAGGTGGATCACTTGAAGTCAGGAGTTCGAGACCATCTGGGCCAACATAGTGAAAAGCTGTCTCTCCTAAAAATACAAAAAATTAGCCAGGCGTGGTGGCAGGTGCCTGTAATCTCAGCTACTAGGGAGGCTGAGGCAGGAGAATCGCTTGAATCCAGGAGGTGGAGGTTGCAGTGAGCTGAGATTGCGCCACTGAACTCTAGCCTGGGTGACAGAGTGAGACTCTGTCTCAAAAAAAAAAAAAAGAAAGAAAGAAATGATAAATGCTTGAGGTGATGGATACCCCATTTACTCCAATGTGATTATTACACATTGCACGGCTGTATCAAAACATCTGATGTACCCCATAAATATATACACCTACCATGTACCCAGCAAAATTAAAAAGAAAAAAAATTACTTCAAATGCCTCAATACAAACTGTAACATCTCCATGCACTTGGTCACATCCAACCTCACTTCTTGATTTACATAAAGAGAAGACAACAGCCTTCGTCTGTCATTTTGACTCCGGATTTTGCTAAATGATTGTTTACATCTCAGTGCCCTGCTGGAGACTTCTGAGATGTGAGGTTCCCTGGCTGGAGCAGGTTTTCAGTACAAATCTGTAAAAACAAACTCTGAGTTTTGATTTCCAGATGGTATCTGTTAATGTGAACACTGCTGCTTCAGGGACACTTTCAAGCTCATTTTCTCCTCCTAAACAAAATGAAGCTCTGGGCCCAGGGCAGCTTCCTTCCATTTTGCACTGCTTGGGTTCCTAGCAGCCTGGTCTTTCACTCTTTCTTAGTAGTTCTGCACTGGCCCGGGATTAGGGACTAGAACTGTATTTGCTTTCCTTGGCTGTGGCGCCCCCATTCAGAGCATCTGTATTACCTCACAACATATGGCACAGTGCACACTTTTGAAAGCAAGGAACTGGAAACTTTCTCTTTTGGCAACATTTCCCCCAGTCGCCCTGGTGATTTCCACATGCAACACTTTCCATACTCATTGAGCACGGAGTTTAGAGGGTTTGAAATAAAAGGCCTCTCAAGCTTTCAGTCCTGGCTAAGAAAGCCCTCTCCACTGGATGCCAGAACAACGGGTTACTCCAAACACTTTGGATCTGACACATCAGTCAATGCAGAGGAATTCAGGGGGCTCATGTCTCTTTGTACGGGTAGCCTTAATGGTAGATTTTTTTCCCCCATGGTGACATTTAGCCCAGTTATGAAATCAAGCAATGAGACGGTCAGCTTTTGCAAAGGCAGGACTTCTGCTCCTTAAAAAGAAATGCAGCCAGCTATGCTGATGGGAGAAAGATAAGAATTACCTTGGGGAAGGGTGGCTAGATAGCCAGGGCCGCAGGGAGAAATTGCCGCATAGGGACCTAATGTCAGTTTCAGAGAACCAGACAGCAACAGGAAAGCCACGGTGAAGCCACATCAGTGTATTGCTTTGCGCTGTGGTCAAGCCGAGAGAGCACACATTAAATAGCCTTTATGCCACCTTAGAATGCCAGGCAAGTAGTCACCAGGTAGACACAGGAAGCCCCTGAACATAAAGAATGCTGAGGATGTGTCTGAGACGCTCCCACCCCACCACCGTCCTGTGTGACCCACACACATCTCTTTCTTTGTGTACCCAGACAGGGGTGAGAAGTAGTATCTTAGGGTGAGAAGTAGGCAGAGCTAAAGGCTGCAAGGTGGAGCATTTTAATCTTATCAGATACTGGACCTACCCAAAGTGACAATTTAAATGATCGAAGCTTTAAACTAGGTTGTCTGGACGTTAGTGACTTATTTGCCTTCTAACCAGGATGTGAGGCAGGGTAGGGGGAAGGCCAGCAGAATTACAGACAACATAAACGAATTACCTCTTCCTGCACAGCCTGCTGAAAGATGGGGTAATTGTCATTTTGCTACACGAAAGGCAGGACCTGCCCCTCTGCTTCTCAGCCCACACTGTTTCTGTATCTTGCCACACAAACAGAAACTTCTGGGCTTTTGTTCTTGCCCAGATCCTCCCTGCGGATGAATCCTTGAGATTACGCTTACAATCTGCTCCTGGAGATGTGGGCTATCAGGCGCCCCCATCCCTCACTCGCGTCTGCTGGCAGTGCCGGCACATTTGGCATTTGCTCATTTTCCCTCTGCACATTCTTCCCAAATCTCAAACTCCAGGGAGTTCCCCTTTGTCCCCTCCTGCAGTCCCAAGGGGCAGGACCAGACTAAAACTCAGACTGACTTCAAAGCAATGAATGAAAATGCAGAAAGAAATCTTGGACAAGAGTCTCAAATCAACGTGCAAACTGACAAAAGGCAGGCTCCTTTAGTGCATCTTACACAGAAGATGCAGTCCACAGTAGACCCACAATGAAGGCCAAGAAAAGATAAACCAGCCGTTTGTGCTTCAATTATTCCCTGCTAAAGACAGCGCCCCCCCACCCCCCGCCTTTTACCTCATTCCCACTCTCACTCTACCTACCTCATGTCTGTCCTTCTTGTTTGTATATTTTGTTCTTAAGGACTCTTTTTGTTGAGAGGGGGAGCAGGGACAGGGTCTCATTCTGTCGCCCAGGCTGGAGTGAAATGATGTGATCATAGCTCACTAAAGTTTTGACCTCCTGGGCTCAAGTAACTGTCCTGCCTCAGCTTCCCAAATAGTTGGGACTACAGGTATGCACCACTATGCCCGGCTAATTTTTTTATTTTTTGTAAAGATGGGGCCTCACTATGTTCCCAGGCTGGTCTTGAACTCCTGAGCTCAAGCAATTCACCTGCCTTGGCCTCCCAAAGTGTTGACATTACAGGTGTGAGCCACCATGCCCAGCCCTTAAGGACTGTTAATTAATAAAAAATGATGACAATAGCTAATGCTTAGTGAGCACTTCCTATGTTCCAGGCTCTCTGTGAAGAGCTGGTCCTATGAAGCCACGTAATCTCCTCTGAGATTGAAAAAATATTTAGGATTGAAAAATAAGCTGAGGAAACTGTGGTAGGGGATGTGGAAAAGCCGACTGAAGCTGCTGGCTTGGAATAGGAACAAGACACACACTCACAAAATACAATGCTCCACTCTCCTCTTTTTTAGCTAATTTCCAGACTTCCCGCTTCCTTTGGCTGCCAAAATCCTCCACATTGTGGCTGACACTCAATGCCTCCATCTACTATTCCCTAAACCGCGGACTTCCACCCCCACAATTCTATTGCAACTGCATTTGCTGGAGGTTGCCAGGACTTTCTTCTGGCCAAACACAATGGTTTTCCCCCCTAGTCCTCAGCCTTGCTGACCTCAGGGCAGTACTTGACATTGTTTATGACCCAGCCTTCCCAAGGCACTTTCCCACCTTTTTCTCCCCTGTTTACCTATTTGCTGTGTCTTCCAAATGTGCCTCTGAGCATGGCTCTTCTGCAGGGCTCTGATCACCCTGGGGCTCTCTCTCCCCTAGACAGCTCCTCTCATGGTTTTAACTAGAAGATCTCTGCTATGACTCCCAAATTTACCTCTTTATATGGTTTGGCTCTGTGTCCCTACCCAAATCTCATCTTGAATTGTAATTCCCATAATCCCCATGTGTCAAGAGCAGGACCTGGTGGGAAGTGATTGGATCATGGGGGCAGCTTTCCCCATTCTGTTCTCATGATAGTGAGTGAGTTCTCATGAGATTTGATGGTTTTACAAGTGTTTGACAATTCCTCCTATGCACACATTTGCTCTCTGTCACCTGCCGCCATGTAAGACATGCCTGCTTCACCTTCCACTATGATTGTAAATTTCCTGAGGCCTCCCCAGCCATGCTGCACTGTGAGTCAAATAAACCTCTTTCCTTTATAAATTATCCAGTCTTGGGAAGTTCTTTATAGCAGTGTGAAAATGGACTCATACACTTCTCCAGCCCAGACTCTGCCCCTGTGCCCCTAGGTGCGCCCTGGTTCCCCTTGGCCCTCAAAAGTTTTGCTGAAAAATCAACTTGCAGAAGGCAGATTAATTGGAGAAAAGGCATACACATTTATTTAATATATGATTAATATATTAAATATTGTCCAATAATATGATTGGACAAAAAGGGAACCATCTAATGCTGATAGACAGAGTGGGAACACCAAGCAAGGACTGTCTGTCTAGAGTCTTCTTTGCCTCTCTGAGCAGCACTCCTTCCTTCTGGGTTTGGGGCAGGACCCTTTCTGGAAAGGGGGTCTTATGACCTACAGTCCAATCAGGGAGGTCGGAAAATTTCCTTATGGCAAATTTTTAAACAGAAGGCAAGGGGAAAGTTAGAGAGTAATATTTTTAGTTTTTATGGCTTGCTTTGGGGGGAAGGGGTTCTGGTTTCTAAGACCTGCCTTGGGTTGTTCTTAGATTCTAGTGTCTCTGGCTAGTCTCGGGAGGATGGGACTGAGAGACAGGAGGACAAGAGAAGATCAGAGAAAAACTTTTGTTTCTGAGGCCTTCATTTTGAAGTATCGTTTTCTGAGCCCCAATAACCCAAATCCTTCATGTCCCTGAATAAATTTATCTTCTTCCCTCAAATTAGTTCTTCTTCCAAATATGCCTATGTCCCATTGTCTCTAAGGAAAGCCCAAGCCCAATACCTTGAGGCACGTTCTACTCCCCCACCTCTTCCAATCTACACATCCAGACTCCAAAACTGCCCCACTTCATGCTGTCTCCATCTCTCTCAAAGATGCTACCTCTCCATACCTCAATATTTTCCTAAAGTACTTCATTTGAAAGCAGTTTTTGCTAATCAACACTTTTAGAATAGACTTTCCACTTAGAGAAATCTATCCTAGGGAAATCATCAGAGATTCATGAAAACAAAGACTAATGTGTCTGAATCTCAAATAGGAACAACTTAAATGAAGAGGACTGAGGGCCTTAGTTAATACATTATGGTGTGTCCACTGCAAGGGAATGGTGCAGGCTTTCACAATTGGGCTTCAAAAGGATATTTGATGGTATGAGAAAATGTTTATCCTATATTGCTAAGCGAAAAAAAAAAAGACAAGGGAGAGAGGAATGAATAGGCAGAACACAGAGGATTTTTAGGGCAGCAGAAATATTCTGTATGATAATGCAATGAGGGATATATTATGTCATCCTACATTTGACCAAACCCTGGCAGGTCTTAGAAACCAGAACCCCTTTCCCTCAAACCAGCCATAAAACCTAAAATACTACTCTCTAACTTTCCCTCCGCCTTCTGTGTAAAAATTGGCCATAAAGGAATAATCTGGCCAGGAGCGGTGGCTCATGCCCATAATCCCAGCACTTTGGGAGGCCAAGGTGGGCAGATCACTTGAGCTCAGAAGTTCAAGACTAGCCTGGCCAACATGGTGAAACCCTGTCTCTACTAAAAATATAAAAATTAGCTGGGCATGGTGGCAGGTGCCTGTAATCCCAGCTACTTGGGAGGCTGAGGCAGGAGGATCGCTTGAACCGAGGAGGTAGAGGTTGCAGTGAGCCAAGACCACGCCATTGCACTCCAGCCTAAGCAACAAGAGCAAAACTCCATCTCAAAAAAAAAAAAAAAAAGAAAGAAAGAAAGAATCTGACCTACCTGGTTTGGCTGTAGGTCATCAGACTCCCATTCCAGCAGTGTCTTGCCCCATACCCAGAAGGAAGGCGCTCTGCACAGAGAGGCCAAGAAGAATCTAGGCAGACAGGCCTTGCTGAGTTTTTCTGCTGAGTCTGTTAGCATTAGGCCATTCCCTTCTTCTCCAATGTATAATAAAAGTTAAACAGAATGTACAACACCAACAGTGAACCCTAATATAAATTACACTATTTGAATTATAATGATATGTCAATGTAGGTTCATCAGTTGTAACAAATATACCCCTGTGGTGAGGGATGTGGATAATGGGGAGGTGGTGCATGTGGGGTCAGTGGGTGTATGGGAAATCTCTGCACTTTCCACTCAATTTTGCTGTGAACCTAAAACTGCCCTAAAAAAGTTAGGTCTTAAAAAAAAAAAAAAAAAGAGGCTGGGCACGGTGGTTCATGCCTGTAATCCCAGCACTTTGGGAGGCTGAGGTGGGTGGATCACTTGAGTTCAGGAGTTCAAGACTAGCCTGGCCAACATATAGTGAAACCCTGTCTCCACTAAAAAAAAAAAAAAAAAAAAAAAAAAAAATTAGCTGGAAGAGTTAGTGGGCACCTGTAATCTCAGGTACTCAGGAGGCTGAGGCAGGAGAATTGCTTGAACCCTGGAGGCAGAGGATGTAGTGAGCCGAGATTGCACCACTGCACTCCAGCCTGGGCAACAGAACGAGACTCTGTCTCAATAAATAAATAAATAAATAAATAAATAAATAAATAAATAAAGAAGAAATAAGCTTTACCTTGACACACACAAACACACAGCCCACAAATGGGAACGTACACCATGAATCCTATCTCAACCACCCTCCTCCTGGCTCATTATACCCCAGCAACCTCCTCTTCTTTCATTTCTCTTAAGCTGTTTCCTTCCCAGGACATTTGCACACATCAGGACAAACTCTGAAAGGCTTTGAAATGGGGGAAGAATTTGTAGGCATTCTGACTTACTCTTCCTGGTCATCTCCATCTTTCATTTTCTGAGCTAGAGACAACTCTGCAAGTTGTAGATGACTAAGAGCAATGTAAGGATTATTTTCCATATGCCAATACATTCTATCCAGCAGAGGGACAACTGCCCTTCATCCACCGAATTTGGAATCTTTGACATGTTCATTTCAGCATTCTTGATTGACCTATGTAAGTGTGGTACTTTGAATTAGCCTTTGAACCAGTTGTAAGATCTTAATGTTTCCCTCATTCATTAATGAGGTTAAAGATTAAATAAAAACTTTGACAGATGTTCATCTTATGATGATTCACCTGGTTTTTTTTGTTTTTTTTTTTTTGAGGGTCTTACTCTGTGGCCCAGGCTGGAATGCAATGGTGCAATCATGGCTCCCTGCAGCCTTGACCTCCCAGGCTCAAGTGATCCTCCTACTTCAGCCTCCTGAGTAGCTAGGACTTACAGGTGCATGCCACCAGGCCCAGCTAATATTTTGTGTGTGTGTGTGTGTGTGTGTGTGTGTGTGTGTGTGTGTGTGTGTGTTTGTAAAGATGAGGTTCCTCCATGTTGCCCAGACTGGTCCCAAACTCCTGGGTTCAAGCGATCTGCCCACCTCGGCCTCCCTAAGTGCTGAGATTACAAGCATAATTAGCTTCTTAAAGAAATGCATCCTTTAACACACCTGTTATGTGCTTCTCTCTCTCTTCATCCATCTCAGCCCTGCTCATCCTTCAGGTCTCAGCTTCAATGTTGCATCCTGGGAGAGGCCTCCTCTATTCTAGATCAGGTCTCTCAGATTTATTCTCTTGCTGGTCTCTTTCTTCACTGCACTTGTTACAGTTGATAATTATGTATTCTGTGAGCTCACTCATTCTGGGAATGAAATTACCCGTGATTTGAATCTCCTTCTTTATATTTTTCTTCATTTGACATGTTTCTATAATGAATATTTACACTTTTACAGTTTTTTAAATGTTGTCTTTAATCACTACTTTCAAAAGGAAAAGAAAAAAAAACTGTGGTATTTTTACTGTCAATTGCCCTTTGTAGTTCCAGGGAAGCCTCCCTCTCCAACTACCCCAGCCCACCCAGATTACTCCCGTACACAAACTCCTATTGCAATTCTATTGTGTTTCACGCAATTATACTCACCAGAGCATCCAGTAACAACATCACAAGCACCTGTGCTGAAAGCTGTAGGGGGTGGGGGGATGCATGAGACCCTAAAAAGGGTAAGTTGTGCTTCCTACTTTAGAGGAATTTATGACCTTATGGTGGTACAAGACATAGAAGAAAAGTTAAATAACAATGTGCAGTATTATTTAACGAAGCACCATAGCTTTAGATATATGTTCAGGCTTGGGTTTACCGAAGGCCAGAATGGTCATGCGGCCTTATCGTATGATCTCAGCCCACATGTTCGTTAGTCTTGTGAGTTAGACTAGGGTGCAACTTCACGGACGGCAGGACCACATCTTTCTTGGCTTCTTTCGTATAAACTACAGTACTGAACACAGAGCCCAGGCGCATAGCAGAGGCTTCTACCGATTGATTCACTTACTGTCCAGGACAACTGGCTGGGTCAGTTCTCAGCACATAGCTTCTCTGGGAGATAGGAAGCTTTACTGAGCCTCTCCTCACTCCAGCATAACGTGGATCTAGTCTTACCATGTAAGTGTCCACGTTGTTGAAAAGTGATAGGCTTGCAATGGTTGGATTCCTGCTGGGTCTGCTTGGGGAGGTGATGGAGAATCTTGCAGCAGCTGATAAAACAGAGAAGCCTGGGCACCTGGGCAGGAGATTTTTCTACAGTGGTGGAGCAGCAATGGCCACTTCCGGCAAGTGGTTCTATTCCAAGATCCCAGGGCTCAGAGAGCAGGAATGTTTCCAGGAAGATGGGCCATTGCTTAAACAGAAGCCGGAGATTAACCACGTTTACACACTAGGTTAAAATATCTAACTCTTTGGTCCAATCACAGGGGTGTCAGCTGTTGGAAAACAACCTAGTCCTAACGACCACCTCTAGTTCAGGAGCATTGAGGTCAGAGCTCTGCCATCACCCTGCTGTTTTGCATCATGCATAACACCTGCCTTCTCTCAGGCCTCCTTGGAAATGCTCCCCACTATCTGCAGCTGAACCCCTAGTATAGAGACATGACCCTGGCCACTTCCAGAATGGATTTACAGTGTAGCCACAATAAAATAAGGTGGACTAGGCCGGGTGTGGTGGCTTACGCCTATAATCCCAGCACTTTGGGAGGCTGAGGTGGGTGGATCACCTGAGGTCAAGAGTTCGAGACCAGCCTGACCAACATGGTGAAACCCCATCTCTGCTAAAAATGCAAAAATTAGCCAGGCATGGTGGTGGGTGCCTGTAGTCCCAGCTACGTGGGAGGCTGAGGCAGGAGAATCGCTTGAACCCAGAAGGCAGAGGTTGCAGTGAGCTGAGATGGTGTTGCTGTACTCCAGCCTGGGCAACAAGAGCGAAACTCATTCTTAAATAAATAAATAAATAAAATAAGATGGACTAGAGGAACTAGGATTGGAGAGGGAACTACTTTTAAATCATAATATTCTACATGTGGTATACCCTGGTTTTTTTTTTTTTTTTTTTTTTTGAGACCCAGTCTTGCTCTGTCACCCAGGCTGGAGTGCAGTGGCATGATCTTGGCTCACTGCAGCCTTGATCTCCTGGGCTCAAGAGAGCCTCCCGCCTCAGCCCCACAAGTAGCTGGAACTATAGGCATGCACCACCATACCTGGCTATTTTTTTTTTTTTTTTTTAGAGATGTGGTTCCACCTTGTTGCCCAGGCTGGTCTCAAACTCCTGAGCTCAGGCAATCCTCCCGCCTCAACCTCCCCAAGTGCTGGGATTACAGAAGTGAGCCACCACGCCTGGACTACCCTGCCTTCTTTAGGTGGTCTTAGAAACTAAAAATATGTTTCTCACTTTTCTGACCTCAAATTAGTTTGAACCTCCTCCTACATCCTTTTTTATTTAACTCCCCATTTGTACAATCTGACCCTCTTCATGAAATGAGACACCGAGAGGCTGATTATCTCTTTCTCTCCTCTCTCTCTGCTTTAGGAGGCATGCTTTCTCTTTAAGCCCGACATCAAAGCAGTAGCTATGTTGTCCTCCGAATTCTCTGTGATGCTGTTTTCAGGAAGGCCTCCTGGGTAGGGTGGAGCCGGGCCTAACTTATCGTGGTGATGATTCCTGCTCTGGAGGGGCATCACTGGGTCAGGATACCTGGGCATATAAGCCATAGGCACTGGTGGTGGCTGGGAAGGGCAGCAAGTTCCCTAGACATGGGACTCTCGGGGCCAAGATGGCTCAAGAACACTGTGGGGGGTCCTGTCTGAATGTGAGAGTCCAGAGTGTCACCAGAGCAGCCAGGTGTGGGCTGCAGCACCGGGGCAATTGTGTTCATTCCTCATCGTGGGGCCTCTCATCCCACCCCAGGACAGGATAAAAGAGTGTCATGGAAGTTTTGCAACTTGGCTGGATGATTTGCTCACCGCATGTGGGCCACATTGTCCTGCCCCTCCTGGCAGATCTTTGGCTCTGGAAGTGGTGTGGCACTCACTCCCCATCGCTGGCTCACTGCAGGCCTTCCCTCCTGGCAGCTCTGCTCTGGGGCCTGCCTGCCCAGGCCTGATTAATGCAGCCCAGTTTCCTCCAAAGATGCCTTGGAGGTGGAGGTGGGGGGGCGCTCAGTGAAGTCATTCTCACAGCCTAATTGACTGATCATTTTTATTTCTCCTTTGCTGTGGACTTCCTGTTTATTGCTCCTTCCAGCTTATGTGAAGCCATTTGCAGCCACATGATGTTTTAAGATTCTCTTTATTCAGGGATAGTCAAGAGACAAAACTGGAGTCTGCCTGGAAAAACAAAAGAGGCAATAGTTCCAGAGCATTCAGGCTCTGATTCCTCCGTTGCGGGGGTGGCTGCCGACTGCTTTGCCCTGCGATGTGATGATTGCCAGTTATTAAGCCTGTCTGGTGGAGCGGGGAAGCCAAGTGAGGAAAACAACAATAAAAGGAAATAAATGGTTCTGAGGGACTGAGAACCGTGCAGACCAGAAAACACACACATACACACCAAAAGAAAACAAAACAAAAAAGCTCCTGCACTCTGTTAAGAGTTCATAGCCAGGAGGATAAACACCACTTAATTTGCAAACGATTACCATTTGGAGATGATAAAAAAATTAAATATCACTGGAAGAAAAGTTTACACAGAAATTGCCAGATCCTGTGCTGGGAACATTTGTGAATTCCTCCCCAGCCGCCTCCTGGACAACAGTTCACGGCTAGACTCCACGGCATCTATTCCATGGCTGGTTTGGTTTAGTGGCTCTCAAACCAGGCCAATGTTGTTACCTTCTCCTTCTACCTCCCCCAAACATTTGGCAATGTTTGTAGACATTTTCTGTTGTCACAACTGAGACGGGGAGTGACGACTGCTAGCAATTTGGTGTAGAGGCCAGGGATTCTGGACAGCCCCTCACAATGCACAGGACAGCCCCCCACAGCAACAAAAATTTCCAGTCCAAAATGTCAGGAGTGCCCAAATTGAGCAAGACTGGTAGGAAGGTATCCAAGGGCAGAAAGGAAAACACAGAGTTGAACTGGGCTTGAGTTCTAGCTTTCTCCTTGGAAGAAGTCGTGGTAAAGGCAGGAGGTCCACCCAGGAAGTTCCAGACTTCCTGGAAACACACTAGGCCAGTAAGGTCTATGGAACTGTATTCTTGTCTTGGTATGATCAGGATGTCTCCGTCTTCTAAAATCTAGGTGAAGTTGGCTGGGTGCAGTGGCTCACGCCTGTAATCCCAGCACTTTGGGAGGCTGAGCCAGGCGGATCACGAGGTCAGGAGATCGAGACCATCCTGGCTAATATGGTGAAACCCCGCCTCTACTAAAAATACAAAAAATTAGCTGGGCATGGTGGCACACACCTGTAGTCCCAGCTACTTGAGAGGCTGAGGCAGGAGAATCACTTGAACCCTGGAGGCGGAGGTTGCAGTGAGCTGAGATTGTGCCACGGCACTCCAGCCTGGGCAACAGAGCGAGATTCCATCTCAAAAAACAAAACAAAACAAACAAAAACAAAAAACTAGGTGAAGACATGGACGCCCATCACTAACCAGCTAGTGGTCCAAATGCGTCCGATGTCCATGTGTGTGCAGCCACTGCCCTCTAGGGGCAGAATTGTGTGCGGCCGCTCACCATGGGTGTGTGTTTTGAGGCTGCACCATAAACCCTCAAGGCTCCTTCTTCACTCTAGGGGTCTAGGGGAAAGAGTCCTAATTGTATGGTTAGCTTTAGCTCTACCATTTGCTCACAGTGGCAAACCTCGTAACTTCTCTGAGCCCCAGGCGTGCCCTTTGTTCTTCACAGGTCATGGGAATCTCACGAAAGCATGGATGAGGAGACACTGTGTATTAAACCATCACACAAATAAATGTCCATTGCTGAGGCACCTCTGGAATCTGATGGTCAGAGATGTCCAATCATTAACAAATAGGCATTGAGGGCTTATGCACATGACGAGGTCCATGGTGGGCAGAGAAAGGTGTGATTTTAGATGGTGTAAATTGCTATGAAAAGATCATATGGGACAAGGGGACACAGAATGGTTGGGGTGGTGCAGTATGGATGCCACATCAGTTATTCAGGGTGGCCAGAGAAGGCCTTTCTATAAGCAGGTACCCAGGAGGCATGAAAGAAGGAACTACCCTTGGAACAGGGCAATAGGGGCCCCTGTCCTGGGCCTGGGGATTTGGAGGACCCCAACCACTCTGATTATTTAACACGGTTCAGACTCCAGGGAAACGCTTCTCCACCACCTTGTCCTAATGCTGTCAAGGTTGTGGGTGGTGCTGGAGAGAATTTGTGTGGCGAAAGTGCTTAGGTGAGAGAAAGGACAAATTAACTAATTTGTTCAAACCTTTCTCAAAACAGCATCAGAGCACTAGATTATTGCATAAGGAAGAATTGTTTCCCAGAGTTCTGAGAATCTGTCTTTTTCTTCTCTTTGTGTTCTGGAGATGCTCATGGATTAAAGAGGTATTTAGGATGTTTACACATGATGGATGAGGAACATTTGCAATGTCAAGTAATTCGCATTTCTCTTAAATGTGTATGTATGTTGGTTTAGATGTAAGATGCTCAAAGCATACCAATTATTTACCTTGACAGCACTGAACACCAAAATTGAGAAACGTTTTCTCTTTTGTTTGTTTTGAGACAGGGTCTCCTTATGTTGCCCATGCTGGAGTGCAATGGCACAATCATGACTCACTGCAGCCTTGACCTCCTGGGCTCCAGTAATCCTCCTGCCTCAGCCTCCCCAGTAGCTGGGACCACAGGCATGCGCCACCACACCTAGTTACTTTTTAATTTTTTTGTGGAGACAGAGTCTCACTATGTTGCCCAGGCTGGTCTCAAACTTTTGGGCTCAAGTGATCCTCCGGCCTCGGCTTCCCAAAGTGCTAGGATTACAGGTGTGAGTCACCATGCTCAGCCTGAGAATTTTTTTAAAAAGTAAGAATATCTAATATAATTTAGCTAGATTTTCCAAAAGAATTTTTCAGCTTTATTTAAATAATTGTAATTTAAACTTTTCATATTCACTAATTAGAACACATATTTGTTTAATTATAAATAATGTTGAATACCTGAGAAAAATAACTTTTTTGAAATGATATATGAAAACTATTTTAATTTTCAAATATTTACTTTCAGTTATATTTTAATGATAATATATTTTAATTTTTTACACTTTGAGGACAATAACATTTTAAAAAATATTTTATATCATTCATCTCAATATAACACAATTATTTGAAAATGATTATATTAGTGATTACATCGAAATGAAACAAAAAATAAACTTTGTGGAATAAACATATAAGTCATAGATAATACATATGTCTCTATTTTTATTACTCATTCAAATATCACCAACCAATCAACAGAACAGTTAAATATGCACAGTAATAAATTTAATTTTCTTTTGTATTTTGCTAACTTGCAGTCATCAAAACCATGTGTTTACACATATTTTTCAATTTTGTCATTATGAAGGCATTTGACATGTTAAGAGGCTGGAACATGTTTTATGTGATAGGTTTTAGAGTGATCTATAACTTTTAAATACTTGGAGATATGGTTTATGGGTTTCCATTCCGGCCCTTGTTCCTGGACCCCACTAGTGTTAGAGGTTGGGGTGTGTATGAAGATCTGGAGAAAGAGGTAATAACACGTTCTAAGCCCTGAAAGAGCAAAATGCTTGGCTTGTGTGAGGGACAGAAAGGCCAGAGTGCCTGGGCCTTGGACAGAGGTTGAGAGGTAGGCAGGGGCCGTGCCAATGTGGTAAGGAGTTTGGATCTCACTGGACTAGCAATGGAAACTGATTGGAGGGTTTTCAACGGGAGATGATGGTCCTGTCTGCTCTCTAGAGAATGGTCTTTAGGGGAACAAGAGTAGATGCAAGAGAACAAGGGAGGGGGCTGTTGCATTCGCTCTGACATGATGACATGACTTTCACCTGAGTTTCAGCAGTGGCGGTGATGATATGCGGGCAGATAGGGGACATATTTGAAGGAAGAGAGGATTGAATTTGCTGACAGACTGCGTGTGAGAGGCGGGGAAAGGAGACAATGGTTTCCAGGTCTTTGGTGTGTGCAACTGAGTGGATGGTGGAGGGAACCCTAGAGAGAGAAGTGGGGAAGTACAGAATACCTTGTATTTGGAACGCAAGTCCTGCTTTTGTAGAAGTACATGTGTTACTGATAATGGCTAGAGGAGAAACTAACAAGGTAGGATCAATTTCACTTAAGTATCTTCCTCTCTCCCTATCAACAGCCTGCAGCGTCACTGGGGCTGATTACCCAGGTGCCACTAAGAGCCTGTCTCATCCCAGTTGCCTGTCAACAATCCCTGCAAGGTTTTGATGGGATAACTGAAGTATTACTTGCTAAATCCTTTCTAGCTTGAAATCCTAGGATTTTAAGGTAATGAAATGGGACCCAGAAAAATTTGAATTTTAAGAGAGGACTTTCTGAAGACAAAAAAGGAATCAAACTGCAAAGGTAGGAGGGTTTGCAGGACAATCTGCCAATTGACCACCACCCTGGCCACAGTATTGTTGTCCACAATCCTTGTCTTGGTGCACACTTCAATGCACATTCACGTACATGGCCTATTTTTAAAACTAGCAAGTTTGCTTAGATGTCATCGTGCATTCTGTGAACTCATAGCTCAATGCGCTCAAAATAAAATAACAGAATATCAGAACAAGAAAGAAGTTGTTCAGCGGCTCTGATTCTTTGTTGCCCTGATAAGGGAAGTGAGGGTTCTGACATGTGACCCTCAATGATCACACAGCTGGCTGGTGACAGACGTGGGCCGGATCCCAGGCTTTGAGACTTTCTGCCTGGTGTGCTTCCCACAAACACAGCCTCTGCACCAGGGATGAGTAATAGGTTGTGCAGGGCGAGGACCTGACATTAAAATAAGTCTCAGATTTCTTCTTGCAACGGCTGCAGATTTATGTCATTTTCTGCAATGTAGAATATGGTCATATTCCCAAGAGCTCAGAGCTCTTTCATAAATATAATAATATTGATCTCCACCGTCATTCATGTAATCATCCAACATTTATTGAGTGCCTCCTTTGTGGACAAGCCCAGTGATGCTGAAGACGTAAAGAACAGGGTGTGCCCCCAAGGAGCTCCCACTGCCTGTTTGTGGTGGGCAGGGTGGAGACACTGACATTGATGACCCCTACGCAGTGTGTGTGGTGCTATGACGGAAGTGTGCATAGGATCCCACAGGATGGCCCAGCACTGACAGAAAGGAAGGGTAGGGAAGGCATCTGGAGTCGTTGAGCCCTGGGCTCTGCAGAAGGACTACCGGGAATTAAACAGGAGAGAAGGAGCGGTTCTAGGACAAGGGAACAGCATGTGCAAAGGCAAAGAAGGCAGCAGAGTTGGACACATTCGAAGAACTGCAAGAACTTGGATCTGCCTGGAGCATGGAGAGACAGGAAGAGAAAAGCCATAAAAGGGATGGTGAAGTGGGTGGGGCCAGGAGTTGTGATCTCCATTATACTGGTGGTGCATCTAAAGCAGACATCAAATTGGCAGCAGGTGAATTTCCCAGGCCTTCATGCTATTTACTCCAGAGAGTCAAGAAATGCCCAGGTGAGAGCTGCATTCAAGTCCCACCTTCTGCCTCCATCAGCCATGTCTCCCCAAGGGCAGAAGTTTTAAACAGGTGAAATCTTCAGAGTGAAAATCAAGGATATGATTAAAAGTTTAGGGATGGTGGAAAAGACAGCTATGGACTGAGTCTACGAGTGGGTTTTTCCTCTTCCCTTTAGCAGCACCTGCTGTAGCCTCCTCCTCCTACTCTTCCTCCTCCTTCTCCTTCTTCTTCTGTTTTGAGACAGGGTCTCAGTCTGTATCCCAGGCTGGAGTGCAGTGCCGCAATCATGACTTAGTGCAGCCTTGACCTCCTGGGCTCAAGCAATGCTCCTACCTCAGCCTCTGAGTAGCTGGGACTACAGGCACCCGCCACCACACCCACCTAATTTTTAATTTTTTTTTTGTAGAAAGGAGTCTCACTACGTTGCCCAGGCTGGTCAGCAACTTTCGGCCTCAAGCCATCCTCCTGGCTAATTTTTAAAATTTTTTTGTAGAGACAAGGTCTCGTCGTGTTGTCCAGGCTGGTCTCAAGCTCCTGAGCTCAAGTGATCCTCTCCTCTTGGCCTCCCAAAGTGCTGAGTAATTTGCAGAGCCCAAGACAATCCCCGAGTCTACCCGGGGATGGCACAGGGTCAGCAGGAGACAATAAGCTTATTAATCACAGAGTATCTGGCACATATTAAGTAGGTGCTTAATATGTATGTATCAAATGAATGAATGATGTGAGTGTATCAACAGAGATTCTTTGTTTTTCCCCCGGGATTTCTCTGATTTGCCAGGACTCCAAGTCTGATTGGCTTGGGTAGGAGGAAGAAGAGTCCTTGGGGCCGCCCAGGTGCTTCAGGCAAGGTGTCTCCCTTCATCCTTATAAAACCCTTTACGCCCTTCCGGTGTGTGCAACCGAATGGATGGTGGAGGGAACCCTAAAGAGAGAAATGAAAAAGTACATAATATCTTGTATTTGGAATGGAAGTCCTCCTTTTGTAGAAGTATGTGTGTTATTGATAATGGCTAGGGGAGAAACAAGATAAGATCAATTTCACTAAAGTACCTTCGTCCCTCCTCCCTCCCTTCTTTCCTCCCTCCTCCCTCCCTTTACAGTCAGTAGTTCAGATTTACAATCTCTTACCCTAGAGCCGGGTGTACTTCGGGATTCTGGATTTTCTCAGGTTTTAGGAAGGTAATGAGAGGTGACAGCGTGCTGGCAGTCCTCACAGCCCTCGCTCGCTCTCGGCGCCTCCTCTGCCTGGGCTCCCACTTTGGCCGCACTTGAGGAGCCCTTCAGCCTGCCACTGCACTGTGGGAGCCCCTTTCTGGGCTGGCCAAGGCCGGAGCCGGCTCCCTCAGCTTGCGGGGAGGTGTGGAGGGAGAGGCGCGGGCGGGAACCGGGGCTGCGCGCGGTGCTTCCGGGCCAGCGCGAGTTCCGGGTGGGCATGGGCTTGGCGGGCCCCACCGGCCCCGGGCAGTGAGGGGCTTAGCACCTGGGCCAGCAGCTGCTGGGCTCAATTTCTCGCCGGGCCTTAGCTGCCTTCCCGCGGGGCAGGGCTCGGGACCTGCAGCCCGCCATGCCTGAGCCTCCCCCGCCTCTGTGGGCTCCTTTGCGGCCCTAGCCTCCCCGACGAGCGCCGCCCCCTGCTCCACGGCGCCCAGTCCCACCGACCACCCAAGGGCTGAGGAGTGCAGGCGCACGGCGTGGGACTGGCAGGCAGCTCCACCTGCAGCCCCGGTGCCCGATCCACTGGGTGAAGCCAGCTGGGCTCCTGAGTTTGGTGGGGACGTGGAGAACCTTTATGTCTAGCTAAGGGATTGTAAATACACCAATCTGCACTCTGTATCTAGCTCAAGGTTTGTAAACACACCAATCAGCACCCTGTGTCTATCTAGCTCAGGGTTTGTGAATGCACCAATGGACACT
This sequence comes from Homo sapiens, assembly GCF_000001405.40. Classification (NCBI taxonomy): domain Eukaryota; kingdom Metazoa; phylum Chordata; class Mammalia; order Primates; family Hominidae; genus Homo; species Homo sapiens. The sequence goes on from NC_000008.11 coordinate 38,720,415, forward strand.
CTATATCTAGCTACTCTGGTGGGGACTTGGAGAACCTTTGTGTCCACACTGTATCTAGCTAATCTGGTGGGGAGGTGGAGAACCTCTGTGTCTAGCTCAGGGATTGTAAACGCACCAATCAGCACCCTGTCAAAACAGACCACTCTGCTCTCTGTAAAATGGACCAATCAGCAGGATGTGGGTGGGGCCAGATAAGAGAATAAAAGCAGGCTGCTGGAGCCAACAGTGGCACCCTGCTGGGGTCCCCTTCAACACTATGGAAGCTTTGTTCTTTTGCTCCTTGCAATAAATCTTGCTGCTGCTCACTCTTTGGGTCCACACTGCCTTTATGAGCTGTAAGACTCACCGTGAAGGTCTGCGGCTTCACTCCTGAAGCCAGCGAGACCACGAACCCACCGGGAGGAACGAACAGCTCCAGACGCGCCGCCTTAAGAGCTGTAACACTCACCACGAAGGTCTGCAGCTTCACTACTGATCCAGCGAGACCACAAACCCACCAGAAGGAAGAAACTCCGAACACATCCAAACATCAGAACAAACAAACTCCGGACACGCTGCCTTTAAGAACTGTAACACTCACCGCAAGGGTCCCCGACTTCATTCTTGAAGTCAGTGAGACCAAGAACCCACCAATTCCGCACACAGTGACACAACCCAATATACCTTTTATTATATCAAACCCCGAGTGGGCTAGGGGAGCACCTTGTAATCAAACATATAAACCCTTTCTGCAGCGAAATGTAAGAATATTCAAGCTAAGTAGGATAGTACGTAACTTCAGGTCAGTTGAGGTCAGGTTTTGCTGCCCCACAGTTACGAAATGCTTGTGGTTTCCAGAGTGGGGAAGTTTGGAAATGTGGATAAGGGATCGCGGACCTACAAAACCATCACCTTTTGGATGAGGTAACTGAGATTCAAAGAGGTGAAGTAATGTGCCCAAGGTCACTCTACTGGGCGGAGGAGTCCAGGTTAGGACACGGCGGTGTTGGGTTGCAAGATCCATGCGCTCTCTACTGCATAATTCTGGCCTGCTTCCTGCTGTCCGGTACAAAAAGGAGTAAATGGCAGTCCCTCCGGTGCTCAGCGGCAATGGCAATCAGACCAAGTTTGCAAAGAAGAGTTTTCTTTCTGGAACAGCAATGCCTCCACCTACTGGACATATGTGAGAATATCACCTGACTCCCCCAGAAAACGGAGTTTATTGTCCTGGTAATGGACTCTTAAAGGAGGGCAACGGAATTGTCTTTCTGCGACTCTGCAAATGACATTTCAGGAGCCAGGAAGTGGTTACTAAATTGCTGTTACATAACTATCCTTCAAAATAATAACAACAACAAAACAACAATAATAACGTTGGAACCGTCAATGAGATTTGTTTGTTTGCTTGCTTGCTTTCTCTACTGGACTCAGCTCCTGCACCTTGAAATGTACCGGGAATAAAGTAAGAGGTTGGGACAGGCGAGGTGGCTCATGCCTGTAATCACAGCACTTTGGGAGGCCAAGGCTGGAGGCTTGCTTGAGCGCAGGAGTTCAAGACCAGCTAGGGCAATATAGGGAGACCCCCGTCTCTACAAAAATAATTTTTTAAAAAATTTCTTTTAAAAATTTTCTCTTTCATCCAATTGCCAGAAATTCTATTGTTAAATGCCAATTTTACCATTCTCAGCATCTCCGAACATCCATTCTCAAACATGGCACTCTCCAAACCTTTCAGGAGCTCCTTATTGGCCACAGACACCTGCTGCTCCAGCAGATTTGCCACGTCGTATACCTCTGCCCTAGATGGGCCGTTATCATACCGCTATATCCTATTATAGTGCCCAGAACCGCCTATGAGATCTGTTTGGTTAGTTGCTTTCTCTACTGGAGTCTTAGCTCCTGCACCTTGCAATGTACCTGGAATAAAGCAAGAGTTTGGGTTGGCCACGGTGGCTCATGCCTGTAATCTCAGCACTTTGGGAGGTCAAGGCCGGCAGATCGCTTGAGCCCAGGAGTTCAAGACCAGTTTGGACAACTTAGGGAGAACCCCGTTTCTACAAAAATAATTTTTTAAAAAATTAGCTGGGCATAGTGGCATGCGCCTCTGGTCCCAGCTACTCTGAAGGCTGAGGCAGGAGGATTATTTGAGCCCAGGAGGCCAAGGCTGCCATAAGCCATGCTCACATCACTGCCTTTCAACTTGGGTGACAGGGCAAGATCCTGTCTCAAAAAACAAAAAACAAAACAAAACAGAAAACCAGAAACCAAACAACAAAGAGTTTAGTCTTTTTTGAGGAAGGAAAAATGAGAGTGAATTTATTTCATAAAATTACAAAAATAAAAAATTTTTACATTAATTAAATGCAAATATAGTCATCATTGCCTTCTAAATTTCAGTGTGATTACACATTTAAAATCCTTTCTTGAATATGTATTTTGGTAGAAGGCAGGATGAAGAGAACTCGGGGATACACACATTGCCAGAGAAGGGAGATCTTCAATAAATGTAATAACCACAATATACAGGATACTGTGTTCATATAAGAGATGGTTCTTTCCTTCAATCTCCCACATCATCTCTTCTTTTCTCAGACAGTGCCTTGAATTTCTCAAAAATACCTTATTCTTTCCTTCCTTCTTTTCTTTTCTTTTCCTTTCTCTTCTTTTCTTTTCTCTTTTTTTGAGACTGAGTCTTGCTCTGTCGCCTGGGCTGGAGTGCCCTTAGAATGAATTAGCCAAGGAAACAAAAAAGTATACATGGAATGTGACACTTTGGAAGCTGGAGTGGTTACAAGATAAGTGGATAGTTATTTTTTCAGGTATGTGTTTTGTTTCTACAACAGTTCTCTATTTAGATATCATTCACACACAATAAATTCACCCATTTAGAACATGCAGTTCAACAATTTTTAGTATATTCACAAAATTGTGCAACCATTGCTGCAATCAATTTTAGAAAAAAATTTTTTTTTTTTTGAGACCCAGTCTTGCTCTGTTGCCCATGCTGGAGTGCAGTGGCTTGATCTCCTCGGCTCACTGCAACCTCTACCTCCCAGGCTCAAAAGATTCTTCTGCCTCAGCCTCCCAAGTAGCTGGGATTACAGGTGTGCCCACAACGCCCAGCTAATTTTTGTTTTTATAGTGGAGATGGAGTTTCGCCATTTGGCTAGGCTGGTCTTGAACTTCTGGCCTCAAGTGATCCACCTGCCTTGGCCTCCCAAAGTGCTGGGATTACAGGTGTGAGCCACTGCATCTGGCCTAGAACATTTTTATCATGCCAAAAAGAAAGCCTGTATCCTTTAGCTGTCAACCCCCAAGCCCTCTGCTCCCCACGCCCCCAGGTGCTGGCAACCACTACTTTCCATCTCTGTAGATTTACCCATTCTGGACATTTCATAAAAATTGATCATATAATATGTGGTGTTTTGTGACTGGCTTCTTTCACTTAGCATAATGGTGTCCAGGTTCATCTATGTTGTAGCATATATCAGTACTTCATCTCTTTGTGTGGCCAAATAATATTCTATTGTGTGGATATACCACATTTTGTTCATTCATCAGTTGATGGACATTTGGGTTGTTTTCGGAAGCAGCTGTTATGAATAATGCTGCTATAAGCATTCGTGTACAGGTTTATGTGTGGACATTTGTTCACATCTCTCGAGTATAGACCTAGAAGGGGAAATGTTGAGTTAAATGAGATGGGTATTTTTAAGCCAGGCGAAGTGGCTCACTCCTGTAATCCCAGCCCTTTGGGAGGCCAAGGCAGGCAGATCACTTGAGGTCAGGAGTTCGAGACCAGCCTGGCCAACATGGTGAAACCCCATCTCTACTAAAATACAAAACTTAGCTGGGCATAGTCACCTGCGTCTGTAGTCCTAGCTGGGAGGCTGAGGCAGGAGAATTGCTTGAACTTGGGAGGTGGAGGTTGCAGTGAGCCAAGATTACACCACTGCACTCCAGCCCAGGCGACAGAGCAAGACTCAGTCTCAAAAAAAAAAAAGAAAAGAAGGAAGGAAAGAAAGAGGTATTTTTATCTCATCTCCCTTCTAGATTACAAACATCCCTAGGGCAGGGTTTGAGTCATTCCTCTCCTGGCCCGGTGCTATGCACATCGACATTCATTAAATATTTATTGACTAGGACGAATCAATGGATGACATTTTCAATTTTAACATATAACATGGTAGGGAGTTGCAGGACTAGAGAGGCATCATGAATACAATAAATCTTTTTTTACAAAAGCAAAAAAGAACAATCTTAACACTGACAAGTAAAACTGCAAAATATATATCTCAGAACCTCAGCTCCTCTTCTGTAAAATGAGAGCAACAATACTTTATAGTGCTGTTGTATGAAAAATTGTGTTCTATCTGAGAAGGCCTCAAAGAGACGTGGCACACATAGTAAGCACTCAATCAATACTTTGTAGCCAGTTCAATTCAATACGGTCCCTCATCCACAAACCAATCCAGCATTTGGCCTTTTGTGAAATATTGTTTAGCTTTCACCTTGAAAAGCCTGGGTTTTCATCTCACCTTCAGCTCTGTCTTTTGCTGTTCAACAAGAGATTTTTATACTTGTGTCTATATTCATGATATCAAAGCAAGTAGTTTAATAATTGAAAAAGAGGTGACTGATCTAGTGAATCTTGCTCTCCAGGTAAAAATTAGAAGTGACAGCCAGGCGCGGTGGCTCATGCCTGTAATCTCAGCACTTTGGGAGGCTGAGGTGGGTGGCTCACAAGGTCAGGAGATCAAGACCATCCCGGCTAACATGGTGAAACCCCATCTCTACTAAAAATACAAAAAGATTCACGGCTATAATCCCAGCACTTTGGGAGGCCGAGGCAGGCGGATCACAAGGTCAGGAGATCCAGACCATCCTGGCTAACACGGTGAAACCCTGTCTCTACTAAAAATACAAAAAAGTAGCCGGGCATGGTGGCAGGTGTCTGTAGTCCCAGCTACTCGGGAGGCTGAGGCAGGAGAATGGCGTGAACCCAGGAAGCGGAGTTTGCAGTGAGCCGAGATTGCACCACCGCACTCCAGCCTGGGGGACACAGCGAGATTCCGTCTCAAAAATAAAAATAAAAATAAATAAATAAAAATACAAGAAGATTAGCCAGGCATGGTGGCAGGCGCCTGTAGTCCCAGCCACTTGGGAGGCTGAGGTAGTAGAATGGCGTGAACCCAGGAGGTGGAGCTTGAAGTGAACACAGATCATGCCACTGCACTCCAGCCTGGGCAACAGAGCGAGACTCCGTCTCAAAAAAATAATAATACTAATAAATAAAAAATAAAATAAAATAAATTTAAAAAAAGAATTAGAAGTGCCATCCCACTAACTCTGCTAGGCAACACCCCGATATCTCTGGTCAGATGTGTTCATGAGGCTACATAGTCTTCAAGTCTGTGGAATTAGACTTCTGCCCTTAAGTGGGGGCATAATAAATCTTTTTAAAACTTAGTTTGCCTATTGTTTAGATATCAAATAGACTCAATCTGTCTACCTCTTTTCAGAGTCTGGTTCTTGAGATCATATGTTTATTTTAATATTATGTTTAAATATGTTAGACTATAAAATAGACATCTAACTACATACTTTTAATGTTGGGTTAAACTTTGTTGATTAGGATTATCTCCACACTACACTGAGTTTGAAATGATAGAATATCTAAATTTCAGAGTATAAATGCATTTCAATTACTTTCAAGTTTAGGTACAAAACTCAAGCCAGAACAGAAAAATATCACCTAGGGTCAGTCTCACTTCACTGACTAGATAAAAATCATGTGTAATCAGTACATCAACTCAACAATCTAGAAATTGCTAGCTTTAGTCTCTTATGTGTACAGTATAATTTTTGTAAATGAAGGATACTCCTAAAACATTTGAAACTTTCTAACCTGATGAATTGGCAAATTTTTTTTCTTTTCTTTCTTTCTTTCTTTCTTTTTTTTTGAGATGGGGTCTTGCTCTGCTGCCCAGGCTAGAGTGCCATGGTACAATCATGGCTCATTGCAGCCTCGATCTCCCAGCCTCAAGTGATCCTCCTGCCTCAGCCTGCCAAGTAGCTGCAGGTACAGGCACCACCACACTGGCTAATTTATTTTATTTTATTTTTGTAGAGACAGGGCTTCCCTAGGTTGCTCAGGCTTGTCCTGAACTCCTGAACTCAAGTGATCCTCCTGCCTTGGCCTCTGAAAGTGCTGGGATTACAGACATGAACCACTGCACCTGGCCTAACAAACTATTTTTTCTTACAATCTTACTCGCACTATGAATGTGCAAGTAATGATAATAATAGTAATAATAACAATAGCTGGTAAAAGATTGCAGTGCAGGCCAGGTGCTGTGGCTCATGCCTGTAATCCCAGCACTTTGGGAGGCCAAGGTGGGCAGATCACCTGAGGTCAGGAGTTCGAAACCAACCTGGCCAACATGGCTTCTTTTAATGCATAGAACAGAGGAGATGTTCTCATTTCCTGTTTGTGAACAAATTCCCAATTAACACTATGAAAACTACTGAGTTTTGTTGCAGGGGTCAACGAGTACCCTAAAGGTTCCCAATTTGTGGTAGCATTTGACAATTCACAGACATGCTACTCCCTGGGCAGTTACCAACAACTGAATCTTATGATCAGCCTCTCAGCCCTGTGTACTTCCACCCAATCACCTCCACAAATCACAACCAGGGGTCTTTCAGGCCTATCCCTGGGGTGCGGGGTGGGGGCAGGGAGCAGAGGAGATGGAGTTTGTAATTTGAAATGGGACCCCATTTGAAAAAAGTAGCCAATTCTTGTGTGACCATTATAGAAAGACCTAGAACTAAGAGAGAGCCTTGAAGACCTGAATCATTACCTGTTACTCCTCTTTACCACACAGGATGCACACTGTGCTGTGGGGAACACGATCACACAGACAAGGCTGAGTGAGGCAGCACCCTACCGCCCACAGTTTAAGAACAAGAACACCTGCATTGCGATTTTTCTTTTCTTTTTTTTTTGAGAGGGAGTTTTGCTCTGTCGCCCAGGCTGGAGTGCAGTGGCGTGATCAAGGTTCACTGCAACCTCCGCCTCTAGGGTTCAAGAGATTCTTGTGCCTCAGCCTCCCGAGTAGCTGGGATTACAGATGTCCACCACCACACCTGGCTAATTTTTGTATTTTTAATAGAGATGGGGTTTCGCCATGTTGGCCAGGCTGGTTTTGAACTCCTGACTTCAGGTGATCTGCCCACCTTGGCCTCCCAAAGTGCTGGGATTACAGGAGTGAGCCACAGCACCCGGCCTGCACTGCAATCTTTCACCAGCTATTGTTATTATTACTATTATTATCATTAGAGACAGGATCTCACTCTGTTGCCCAGGCTGGATTGCCGTGGCTCAATCATAGCTCACTGCAACCTCCAACTCCTGGGCTCAAGTATTTGGGACTACAGACACAAGCTACTGTGCCAGGCTAGTTTTTAAATTTTGTGTAGAGACAGGGTCTCACTATGTTGCCCAGGCTGGTCTCAACCTCCTGAGCTCAAGCAATTCTCCTGCCTCAGCCTTCCAAAGTGCGGGGATTATGGGCACAAACCACTATGCCCAGTCCAACCAGCTATTATTACTATTTTTTAATTAGAAGGAAAAAAAAAAAAACAAAAAACAGAGGGATGTGGGTGTGTATGTTTCTTGGAATCCAAGCGATCAGGGGGAAAAAATCCGTCAAAAATGTTCTCAGTACAAAAGTTGGCAAAACAGCTCTCTTTTTTAAACTGAACTTTGTAATAGGAGAAATACTCTCACAAGGACAGGATGTTTCTGAGCCAAGTTGAAGCAAAAGAAACTTTTTCCAGCATGTCAGGAACGAAGCTGACGTTCCATTAAGAAAAAAAAAAAAAAAAAAAGAAGTGCTAGAGGAAGGAGTAAGAGGTGAAAAGGCACCAGAATTCAGACGGAGCTTTAAATTCCAGACAGGGCCAGCGTTGGGAGCACGTAGGAGGCGCCCCTCGGAAAGGAGCCGGAGACCCAGCTGACTTCGCACTTGAGCTCCAGCCCCGTGGACATTTCCTGTTCTGCCTCTGGAAATTCAAGCTGAAAGTTACAAAACATCCTTTTCCCTGGAACCAAGTGCTTGGTTGGGAGACCATGCCCTCCCCTTCCTTCCTCGGAACTCCTCCCTGATCGCCCCGTGGCTTCCCCAGGAGAGATGCGAAATCAGCGGTAGCAGGTGGCGCAGAAGGGAGAGGGGAGCGACCCTGGGGACCGACTCTGGGGACCCTCGCCGAAGAGGTAGGAAACGGGGGACTGCACGTTCCTGAGGCCACTTCACACTTATTGAGCAAAACGAGGTGCTGTCCTTTAAGCCTGGGGCTGAGGTGTTTCCCTCGCTTGGGTATGCGCCGGGTGGTGGGTGGACTGGCCTCGAATCTGGAATAAGTTCAGGCATTCCTTTTCCCTCTCTCTTTCCAAGTTGAACTTTAATTCTTGGGTCTCTGGAACCACGTATTTTGTTTGGTGTGGGAGGTATTAAATGGCAGAATTCTAGGAAGTAAATATTGTGAATCCCTGATTTTGCTCTTTTCTTTATTTTCTTTTCTCTTTCCTTTTCTTTTCTTTTCCCTTTGCTTCTCTCTTCTCTTCTTTTTTCTTTCCGCCCCTGAAATGCCCAGGAGCAGTCATAAATACCTTCATCTGGGAATAGATTCGGGGAGAAGTGAGAAGGGGACAGGGCTGGGAAAAGCATTCTCACCACGGTGAACGGGGCGCGGCTGTTTTCCGGGACCTGGGCCATGTATTCTTCTGGCCCAGATGCTCTCTCCGTCCCTTCCTTCTGCCCACTGCCATAGGGACAACTACCTTGAGTTGTTTCTCCGGGTGCAGGGATGTGGCACAGACCCTGGTCAGGGCCCTTGAGCATCAGTGCCCTGCGTTTATGGACAGAACTCAGGTGCTGTCTTAAACGTTTCTGTCTGGGGCAGAGCTAACTGGTCTACCCAGGAGCCTGCGTGTAGTCCTTGGCTTCGTGAGGGACACCCGGCAGTCGGTCTCTGGAAGGCCAGCCTTGGCAATACATGTGCTGACACTGGACCTGCTCAGAGAACTCAGCATGGCTTCTGCATAAGGAGTACTCAGCTGGGTTCACATTTATTGTATACATTTGTTTCTCTTAGAAAATGGCTTTTGAACTTAAAAAACGTCTTGTGTGGCCGGGCGCGGTGGCTCACACCTGTAATCCCAGCACTTTGGAAGGCCGAGGCGGGCAGATCACTTGAGGTCAGGAGTTCGAGACTAGCCTGGCCAATATGGTGGAACCCTATCTCTACTAAAAATATAAAAATTAGCTGGGCGTGGTGGCAGGTACCTGTAATCCCAGCTACTCAGGAGGCTGAGGCAGGAGAATTACTTGAACCCGGGAGGTGGAGGTTATAGTGAGCTGAGATCACGCCACTGCACTTTAGTCTGGGCAACCGAGCAAGACTGTCTCAAAAAAGAAAAGAAAAAGAAAAGAAAACATCTTATGATCTAAGGACATCCTTGCTCCTTGGAAGGGATGCAGGTCCCCTTTGTGGAGTTCAGCGTGGAGCCTGGGGGCACCAGGGACCTCCTCTTCCCACTTCCAACAAAGTAGCTCCATCCTTACCTGACTTTTATGTCGAGGTTCCCAGTTAAAAGCATGCTTTTGAAACAATTTGCAGAACTGCTGACCTGCAGCAAGCAGTGCTTTGCCTAGACTGAAAATGACTGCTTATGGAACAAAGTTGATTGACGGAGGGATTTCTAGCTTGCCCCTGTCTAGGCTCTTACTCCGTCCTCCCATCCGCCTCCTTGAATGATCGCCTTCTGCCCTAGGGAACCCGCTGGAGGTGGGAGTGCCAACAAGGCTCAGCGAGCCAGCTGTTCCATCTCAGGCACCTGACCTCTCGTGCAGGGACAGACAAGGGGCAGAGCCCCGGAGAGCTGACATTACAACTCGGCCTCTCTCTCCAAGTCTTTTCTGAATTTGTCCTTCTAATTGTGCTCACGGTTATGAACTACATGATCAATAATTGTAACAGCTAATTATTGATCTTCCTTTATGATAACAGATTACTTATTGAGCCAGGCATGGGGCTGAGCACATTACACAGATGAGCTCATGGAATACTCAGCCCTATAAGGTAGCTTTTGGCATGACCCCCACTCTGCTGTGTGGAGCGGAAAGGAAGAGCCACTGAGTGACTGGCTTGAGGGCACCCTGCCACTTAGTGGTGAAGGTGGGGCTGGGGCCCCCTCCCCCTGAGTCTGAGCCATACTGCCTTGAATATTTTTGCAGCCCTGTTTGACAGAAGTAAGAAGGACATTGTTGTGAGTGTGGCTTTTTCGTATTTTGTCGAAGAATGCCCCTGAGAATAGGCTGGGAGGAGCAGGGTCACGGGGCCAGGACGGAATGTTCTGTGGGAAGGAAGAGTGCTCCTAAGAATAAGTGGAGTTAGAATTCTTGTCCAAACTGTATCCCTGATAAACATCACTTTTTCTCTGAGAGGTGGTATAGTTTTTGTTTGTTTGTTTTATTTTTTAGATACAGGGTCTTGCTGTGTCATCCAGGCTGGAGTGCAGTGGTACAGTCCTAGTTCTAGCTCACTGCAGCCTCAACCTCCTGGGCTCAAGTGATCCTCCCACCTGAGCCTCCCCAGGAGCTGAAACTACAGGCATGCACCACTATGCCTGGCTATTTTTTTAAATTTTTTAATTTTTGTGTAGAGATGGGGGTCTCCCTATGTTGCCCAGGCTGGTCTTGAACTCCTGGTCTCAAGCGATCCTCCTGCCTCAGCTGCCCAAAGTGTCAGGATTACAGGCGTGAGCCACTGTGCCCTACCGAGGTGGTAAGGTTCAATGGGAAAGTGCCAGGCTCTGTAGCCAGAGTGCCTGGGTTCACATCTCAGCTCTGTCACATTTTAGCTTGGTCATCTTGGGCAAATTACACAAACCTGTGTGCCTCAGTTTCTTCAAAATAATATCCTCTGGAGAAGGATGATAATAACAGTACCTATTTCACAAAGATATCATGAAGATAAGATTAGTTAATCCACATGAAGCATTTAGAATTGCATCTGGCATATGATAAACACTCAATAAATATGTTATGTGTAAAAGAGGTTGTTGTGTTAACCCAAGGAAAAGTAGTTTGGGAGCAGTCTGGAAATATGAAGTCACTGGTGTTTGAAACTATAAAATGCACACCAACAAATGCAATGTAATTTCAATTTGAGCTGGGGAGAGGAGGATTGTGCTTGGACCCCAGCTAGGAAGGAACCTGGGAGACAGCCTAGGACCTTCAGGGAAGAGCTTAGCTGTTCTCCCAGAGATAAAACTGAAAACAACAACAACAACAACAACAACAACAACAAAACTAGTCTTTAGGGTTGGCATTGCCAAATTACATCCTTGCATTAAATGAAGTAAGTGTAGGCTGGGTGTGGTGGCTCATGCCTATAATCCCAGCACTTTGGGAGGCCAAGGCAGACAGATAACTTGAGGCCAGGAGTTTGAGACCAGCCTGGCCAACATGGTGAAACTCCATCTCTACTAAAAATGCAGAAATTAGCTGGGTGTGGTGCCAGGTGCCTGTAATCTCAGCTACTCCAGAGGCTGAGGCAGGAGAATTGCTTAAGCCCAGGAGGCAGAGGTTGCAGTGAGCCAAGATTGTACCACTGCACTCCAGCCTGGGTGACAGAGCGAGACTCTGTCTCAAAATAACAACAACAAAGAAAAGAAAGAAAAGAAAAGAAAAGAAGAAAGGAAGGAAGGAAGGAAGGAAGGAAGAGGGAAAGGAAAGGAAAGGAAAGGAAAAGAAAATGGTATAAGTGTAATTTATTTACCTTTGTAGTTGTGGAAATGAGTCCCACCTCTGACCTAATGTTATATAAAGCAAAAATATGTTTTTTTCTTGTTTTTTTTTTCAATGCCATCTGCTGAACCACTTGTATTTTTGGAAGGATGACTTTAGGATTTCAAACTGAGATATGAAATTTAAGAGCTAAATATAGCTGATTTAAAACAACAACAACAACAAAAAAAAACCCAGGAGATCAAGACTTACAAAAGAATTGTGTGGCTTTTTCAAAGAACAAATTTGTGAGCTCAGCCTGAGTCTGGATTACATGTATAATGATCTTGAAACTAGTTTGCCAACTTTTACTTGAAGTAGAAGTAGATGAGAAATAAATCAATGGCTGACATTGACTGAGCACTTACTATGACCCAGGCATTGTGCTAAGTGCTTCCCCTGCGTCACCTCATTTGTTTAATCCTCATGGCCGCCTGTCAGGTGAATACTATTATTATCCCCGGTTTGCAAATAGCGATAGCAAGGTTTAGAGAAGGAGACAAAATGCACAAAAGCAGACAGCTCGTAAGCATTGGAGTTGGCATTCTAATTTAGGGCTATCTAATTTGGGTATGAGTGCTTAAACCCAACATTATAGTTCTAGTGAATCTAATAATTCCTGGCTTAAGCCATTTGTGTCTGTTTGAAGAGTACTGTACATAGAAGCTGATGGACAAGAGTCATAACTCTTGCAACATGGGCACAGCGCTAGTGTGGGCAAAACACACTTAGACATTTTGGAGAGCAGAGTTTGGAAGACTCGGCACCGGACAGGAGATGCACGGCATAATTGCATCTGAGCAAGGAGACTGTTCCAGGCAGCTCCAGGTGTAGGTAAAATCGTGAAGCAAGTTGCCTTCTTCACCTTTCTCTCTGCTCTCCTAGAGGCTTCCCTGCTCATCCCAGGCCACTCAAGATATCAGGGATATCTTTTTCTTTTTTCCAGAGATCTCAGTCACACTCTAACAAGACAGAGACGATCCCAGCTGTGGACTCCCACCAAGCCCCGCTCTGCAATAAATACCCTCCATCTCTCATATCCAGAATTGATCCTCTTTTTTTTTTTTGGTCCATCAGAACCCCCTTTAACCAGCACTTGATGTTTAGCAAACTGTTTGAAAGTAATCAATGAATTCATACACTGGTGCAGCTCTCTTGGGGGACTTTTAGGCTTCAGTGTGACAGTGACTAGGGGAGATGCACTTAGGGCAGGGAGATTCCCAGGAAACCCCTGGCCAAATGCCACTGTAGTTATCTGTTCCCTGGTGGGAAAGGCACTCTCCTTTCTGATGGTCTGAGGTCCGGACTGCAGGCTTTTGCTGTGTTCCTTCATAGGAGGCTGCTTACCTGAATTTTCAGAACAATTCCTAGCACCAGCTCAGCAGGGACAGCACCCGGCAGCAGTAGGAAGCGGGTGTGATGTTCTTCCTGGGTGCCCAGAGCCCTCTCCCTCTGTCCTTTTTCTTGGTGGCCCCTCTCCCACCCCATTCCCAGCCTCTCCCAGGCTCCCCTTCCTTCCTCACCTCCAGGAAAGCCTCGAGGCTCTTAATTCACGGGACAACCTTAAAACGCACACTGGCCAAGCATGGGCGTGTTTATAACAAGAATCAAATTATTTTGCTGGAAACAAGAGGACAATGGAATTTAGGAATCAGCAGTTCTGGGAGAGTTTTTTAAAATGTTGGAATTCGGGTCCTCCTTAGACGTCCCTGCCTCAAATAATGCACTGTAAACCGTTCTCATTCATGGCCCATCAGTCATTGCGCAGGGTCCTAGTTTAATAAGTATGGGGAACTGGGGAAAGGAAGGGAAACCTGTTGCTCATCCCAGGCCTCCCAAGATTTTGGGGATGGCAAAGAGGGGAGGGCTTCCACATCTTCTGCACTTTCAGTCTTCTAGAGGCAATGAAGATACCAGATACCTTCTTCTTTAGTTTCAGCCTGTTTGTTTGTTTGTTTTTTCTAGACAGAGTCTTGCTCTGTCACCCATGCTGGAGTGCAGTGGTGTGATCTCGACTCACTGCAACCTCCGCCTCACAGGTTCAAGCGATTCTCCTGCCTCAGCCTCCTGAGTAGCTGGGATTACAGGCACCTGCCACCACACCAGCTAATTTTTGTAGTTTTGGTAGAGACGGGGTTTCACCATGTTGGCCAGGCAGGCTGGTCTTGAACTTCTGACCTCAGGTGATCCGCCCTCGTTGGCCTCCCAAAGTGCTGAGGTTATAGGTATGAGCCACACGCCTGGCCATAAGCCTGTGTTTTTAAAATGAGGTTCCAGGCAGATACAAGCAGAAAGGAAGAGTTGCAAAAGCAGACACGATACAGAACAAAATGCCCCAAGGTAGCAGGGAGGGCTTGGTATGTTTATTATGCAACAAAGGACTCTCCTGGCCCTTGGAACTTTCCATAGTTTGACTTTCGGGTTAATCATTACCATCTGCATGGCTGCTGGCAGCCGAGGCTTTGCTTGGCCTGCCGGGCCTGGCAGTCGCGTTGCTGGCCAGCCTGAGGGCTGCACTAGCCATAGTTAGCTGCGATGCCCCCTTGAGTTTCCTGCAGGAACAAGCAAGGGTGCCTGCGGCCTGCTGACGCAGGCTGGCGGGGAGTGGCTTGCCTTAGGCCTGTCTCCTTGTCTCTCACAGCTGGCTCTCCAGGGCCGGTCTGGTTTTCATAGTCTCACGTTTCCTTTTCCAGCACACTTGTGTGTGTCTGCATACCACGTGAGAACACAGCCTGCTCTCTTCCTTGGAGTGGCTGGATTTCCAGCAGGCACCACACGTGCTTGTTCAGATGCAAGGATACGTCATGGAAAAGAGAGGCCTGAATAGATGCATCTTAGTTCATACACAGCTGTCAGGACTTGAGGCACGCATCAGCAGAGCCTGGGAAAAAGCATGAGATCTGCTTTTAGAATCATGAGCACCAGAGCTGAAAGGGATCTTACTCTCTATTCGAAACCCTTCATTTCACAGCTTTGGAAAATGAGGCTTAAGACAGGTGGGGAGTTGCCTTGGGTCACAGAGCAAGGTCCAGGGGTCCTTCTATTTCTTGAAACCAAACTGGTTGTGTGGAGAGTCTTGAGAGGAAGCTAAAGTTACATGGGTGCTGGATTTTTCCATTTGGCCTTAGAAATCACTCTCCACCGTTTTCCACCCGCGCTGTGCCTGGGAGGCTGGCCAGACTGGCACCCTTACATCTGGCTTCCGGGTAGATTTAGCCAGAGGAGGGCACCTGCAGGTAGGTTTAGAGGGAGGGGAGTGTGTCATGGAGGATTTAGTCCACTTCTTCCTTTCCCGCTGCTTCCATGGGCTGGTGGTGTCCGCTGACTGAAGGCCAGGACTCCTGTCAGCAACCACCCCCTGCACTCAGCTCTCTCCCCTGACCCTTCAGGCCTAAGGCAGTGACAGCATCTCCTACAGTGGGCAGCCCTGGGCTACGCTGCTGTCTCCTGTGGCCTCCCAAACCCTCCTCAGACCTTTGTAAATGGTCCCTTTATTAAACCCTCAAGTCAAAGAGAGAGTGTTACCTGCTGGGCTCCTGACTGAAAGAATGGATCCTGACCCACCTGACAGGTGGCTTTGTTTGTTAGCATAAAAGAGAAAATCTGTAGGAAAGGAAGATGTCCCTGAAATTTAGGAAGAGGGTGTGTTAGTTTCCTGTGGCTGCTCTAACTAATGACCACGAACTTGGTAGCTTAAAACAGAACAAAACCAGAAATGCATTCTCTCCCAGTTCTGGAGGAGAAAACTGGGGTCTACCGGCCGGTACTCCCTCCAGTGGCTCCAGGAAATCATCTGGTCCTTGTCCCTTGCCTCCTTTGGTGTCTGGTGGCTGCCAGCATTCCTTGGCTTGTGGCCATGTCCTTTTGATGTTGACCTCCGTGGTGACACTGTGTGTATGAAATCTTCCTTTGCCTCTCTTGTATAATGATGCTTGGGGTTGCATTTAAGGCCCACCCAGATAATTCAGGATAGTCTCCCTCTCTCAGAAATCCTTAATTTCATCACATTAGCAAATACAGTAAGATATTTACAAATAATAAAACATTGTTCCAAATAAGATAACCTGGCTGGGCACTGTGGCTCATGCCTGTGTGGTGGCTCATGCCTATAATCCCAGTGCTTTGGGAGGCCGAAGAAGGAGGATTGCTTGAGCCCAGGAGTTCAAGATTAGCCTGGGCAACACAGTGAGACCCCTGTCTCTACAAAAAATAAAAAAATTACCCGGGCATGGTAGCACACGCCTGTAGTCCCAGCTACTTGGAAGGCTGAGGTAGGAGGATCGCTTGAGCTCAGGAGGTCAAGGCTGCAGGAAGCTATGATTGCACCACTGCACTCCAGCCTGGGCAACAGAGCATGACTCTGTCTCCAAAACAAAAGAATAAGATAATGATAACCTTTACAGGTTCCAGAGATTGGGACCTGATAAATTTGAAGTCATTATTCAGCCTCTGGCAGAGGGTGAGAGAGGCACATCAGAGTTCCTTCAGGACATCTCTAATGGCACACATTTATGGATACCTTCATGCTTGACAAAAGTAGTGACCAGTCTCTGGGGGCAGACACATTTTTGAGGATTCTGTTCAGCTCCATACTCTCTAATTCTCTTATCTTTTTGTCTGGCAGCCAGATATCATTGTGATGGTCCCATTCTGAAGCCAGCTGATTTGTTACCAGGCAAAGCACTCAGAGAAGACAACATAGTGGGCCGCGATGAGGACACAAAAATTGTGGAAGGGCCCAGCGTGGGGACATTTAGGGCATGGAAGTCATTTGACTCAAGGGTTGGATCCTAGAGGTCAAGAATTGGGAGGCCCTAAGAAATGACCTAGCTCAGCCACCTCCTTTACCAGGTGGGGAAAATTAGTCCTGATGTGGGAATTTCCTTATCCGCCGCTGGTCAGTGACAAGGCCCGGACTAAAACAGAAGTCTTGGCACTCAATCTAAGGACTTCTCCTCCGTGCCTCCCTATCACGCCTTCCCACCAACTGGCCTCCTCCCCAGCATCTGTGAGAATTCTTTGTAGGAATTCTACCCCCAATAGTTTCATTTACTGAAAGGCAGTGGGAATGTACTCGATGTCAAGTCTGTGATGCAGCATGAAAGAAGAAACAACACTGGGGACAGTGGCTTCGCTCAGTGCCACTCACAGTGCCAGTTCTCGATGAGATCAGGAGACTGGGCTGGAACAGAAATCTACATCCAGCTTCCTTCATGGAGAAAATCTTGCTGTGGAGGCCAGGCAGGGGAGCAGCAGTGCTTAGTGAGGTAACTGGCTTACCTTCTGCCACAGGCTCCTTATCTCAGCACTGGCCAGTGTGATGGTCCCTGGCTGGAGAACACCAGGAACAGCATTGCCTCACTGCTGCTTGAGCAAACCCACCTCCCAAATAGGGCATGGTGATAGAAGAATATGCAGAAAAGACAACAGTCCCTCTGTCCAGATCCCATCTAGACAATAGAGCTCAGATTGGGAGCCATTCTTTTTTTTTTTTTTGAGATGGAGTTTCGTTCTTGTTGCCCAGGCTGGAGTGCAATGGTGCGATCTCGGCTCACCGCAACCTCTGCCTCCTGGGTTCAAGCGATTCTCCTGCCTCAGCCTCCAAAGTAGCTGGGATTACAAGCATGTGCCTCCATGCCTGGCTAATTTTGTATTTTTAGTAGAGATGGGGTTTCTCCATGTTGGTCAGCCTCGTCTCAAACTTCTGACCTCAGGTGATCTGCCCGCCTCAGCCTCCCAAAGTGCTGGGATTATAGGCATGAGTCACTGCGCCCGGCCTGGGAACCATTCTTTAAGGGAGGTAATGATATTCTAGAGATCTTCCTGTAGTTCCTGACTCACAGAGCACAATTTTTGTGAAGATTAGAAGAGGCTAGGTGTGGTGGCTCACACCTTTAATCCCAACACTTTGGGAGGCTGAGGCAGGAGGAGCCCTTGACGCTAGGAGTTCAAGACCAGCCTGGGCAATATAGTGAGACACCCCCATCTCTCCAAAACATTAAAAAAAAAAATTAGTCGGGCGTGGTGGCAAGTGCCTGTAGTCCCAGCTACTTGGTAGGCTCAGGCAGGAGGATCTCTTGAGCCTGGGAGTTCGAGGCTACAGTGGAGCCTCGGCTTCCCAAAGTGCTGGAATTATAGGTGTGAGCCACCATGCCTGGCTACATAAATTATTTGGAATTCCATCATGGACATTTGTCTCTTCTCTTCATTTATTTATTTGTTTAATCACTAACTTATATTTGTAGGGGCTTGTGGATTTCTTTTAATACTTTGAGTTGTAATCAAATACTGATTTATTAATCTTGTTGCTCAAATTGTTCCAGCTTCGCCCATTGAGCGCTCTCTCATTTGGCTTCTGTGTCCCTTTGCTAGACCCCATTATTGTGGGTCTTGGTGTTGTATTTGTGTTTTGAGCACTTTTTTTTTTTTTAACCTTCTGGTTCTACAAGATACTCCAGGCTCATCTTATATGTTCCCTGACCAAGTCCTAGAATCAGCCATTTCTTCAAGTATCCCTGGTTCCTTTCGTTGGTGCATGGTGTTGAAAACCAAAATCTTGGTGCTAGATGTGCTTGTTGATACTGGGGTGCCATTGGTTCTAGGCCCTCTCAGCTGATAGGGCAAGGAGGTATATGTGTGTGTGCTGACTTCTTTTTTTTGAGACTGAGCTCACACTCTGTCGCCCAAGCTGGAGTGCAGTGGCACAATCTCGGCTCACTGCAACCTCCGCCTCCCAGGTTCAAGCGATTCTCCTGCCTCAGCCTCCTGAGTAGCTGGGATTACAGGCACCTGCCAACATGCCCGGCTAATTTTCGTATTTTTAGTAGAGATGGGGTTTCCCCATGTTGACCAGGCTGGTCTCCAACTCCTGACCTCGTGATCTGCCTGCCTTATGCTCCTGAAGTGCATGGGCCACTGCACCCAGCCCATGTGTGCTGACTTCTATGTGTAACCATCTGTATCTATATTAAGCTAAACATGAATTCATACTGATGTCTATAACTCTAATTCATTGTCATATGGGTCACTGTAGACCTCCCCTTGCTTACCTGTAACTTTCCACTACAACCTGAAACCTGGCTCCCACCATCTGCCATTCATCCACTCAATTGTTCAACTGCAATGTACACATATAGTGGTATTAGAGTGGTTAACGTGGATCCCCATGAGAAGCAACTTTATCAACCAGATGTCAGTGCTTACATACAGTTTCTTTTGCCTTTCGTCTTAACGGACTCCACTCATTCCTAAAGTTACTTAGGTCAACAGTTTTTCCCTACACCATTTTCGGTGCAGTTGTTTTACACATTTGTAATACAGTTAGATTGATTTGTCACAGTCGGCATTTCATCTGCATTTCCTCTGACTGCCTAAATGATTTTTCTTTGATTTGCATACGTAAAGGTTCACTTTCTGTGTTGTAAAGTTCTATGTGTTTTGACAAATGCATAGTGTCCTGTTTCCACCATTACAGTATCATATAAAACAGTTTCACACCCTAAAAATCCCCTGTGGTTCACCTATTAAGACTTACTGAGGAGTAACACCTAGGGGAGGAGAAGGACAGAAAGCAGGACTGGATAATAGAGCCTTCAGGCTGTGATGCAGGAAAAACAAAGTTTCTGCCTGCCCCATGGGGAGCACCATAGCAAAGCTTGGCCCTTAGAGAGTACCCTGTTGGGCAGCAGTGGCCAGGACTTTATCCTACTGCCTTGCTCAGCCATTGTTTGGGGCTGCCAGAGAAGACTGATTTCAGCTCAAGAGAAGAGACAGACCCAGAAGGCACTAACAGCTGGAGGTTCTCAGCTAACCACATTCCTTGAAGCTGGGTTGCTAAGTCCTTTCTTGGCGAGAGATCTGAGTGCTGTAACTCTGGGTCTGCCAGAAATATCTCTGAGGATTCCAAGCAGGGGTTGGCTGACCACTGGTCAGGAATCTTGAGCTGAGGATTCCTCCATCACGTGGGATTTGGGACCAGATGATCCCATTGGCTGCCTTCAGCCTGCTTGAATCCAGGTGATCCAGCCATTCCATTCCACACATTCAGCCCACTTTGCTCAAGCCTCTGCTTCCCTTCTTGCATTAATTATCTTATGCTCTGCTGCATCCTAGAGGTAGGCTCAGAACACCTCCTTTTCCCCAGGGACCATTCCTGGAGGGCCAGAGAAGCCAGAAGACAGAGTCTAGGGTTGCCCGCACCTTTTTGATCCCAAATGTGGCTGTCTGCACCTTTTTGATCCCAAATGCTCAAGAAAGTGGTTACAGTATCCATAGCAATATAGATCAAGGAGTTGAATGCACATAAAAAGCATAAAAAGTTTGTGATGATGGGCAAAAAAATGGAAACATTCTAAGCTAAGACTTCAAAAACTAAATCTTTGTCTGAAATGTCTCCTCCCTGTGGAATGTGCAAAAAGCAAAACAGCACTCCCTACTGATCTATCCATATACTATATCTGGCAGGTACCATTCTTTTATTTTCTTCCATCTTAACTCTCATTCTCATGGTGCTCCTGGATTTCCATTTGCAGGCACAGAGTCATTTTAGTGCAATTCTGATCTTTCTCCGCAGGAAGATGGAAAACTTTCAGACCTCTTGGAGAAAGCATGGCTCTGATGTTGTGCTCTATCTGTGCTTATTCTTCCTTGTATTTAACTTGCTTAAGGTTAAAAGCCTGTTGTGTTTTGTTGTACCTTGGCAGCTCTCTCTGGCTCGCGAGTATCCTAAAGTCACTATATGGCCTCTAAGGACAGTCTTGACTTCTAAGCCAAAAGAACCTTTTATTTTACTTTGTCTGTCTTTAGAGATTTCCTTTGAATGTTTGCTTCTGTTCTGCAGCATTTTCAGGCTCTGTAGACCTTGATTGTTTTGCTCAGCCAGGGCATTTAAAAAAATACTCATGCTGCTATTTTTTTTTTTTTTTTGAGACGGAGTCTCCCTCTGTTGTCCAGGTTGGAGTGCAGTGGCATGATCTCTGCTCACTACAACCTCCACCTCCTGGGTTCAAGCAGTTCTCCTGCCTCAGCCTCCCAAGTAGCTAGGATTACAGGCACCCGCCACCATGCCTGGCTGATTTTTTTTGTATTTGTAGTAGAGATGGGGTTTCACCATGTTGGCCAGGCTGGTCTCAAACTCCTGACCTCGGGTGATATGCCTGCCTCTGCCTCACAAAGTGCTGGGATTACAGGCAGGAGCCGCCGCGCCTGGCCCATGCTGTTATTTTTACACAGTGAACCATGAATACTGATTTTAATTCCAAAGGCTCACAAATTAAAGAGCTTCCTTGAACCCTGGCCCTCAGGATTCTTTCAGTCTCCTGGTTTTTCTGTCTGCTTTGTCATTTCTCAGTGGAATGACTAAAGCCAGAACCTGCTGGGTTAGTGAATGGAAATAAAGTATTGGTGGATGTACTCTTCCTGCCCTGCCCGTCCAAGACTAGACTGTGGGGTTGGAATCCATGTTTCAATACCCAAACACTGCACCAGCTCACGACTACAAAATTAGATGAGACCCAAAAAAATACAAAGAGTCAATATTCCAAGAAGATACTTGCGGTTACTGGGTCCAAGATGTTTGAATTATAGGTAGACTCTATCTCTGCCAGGGACTGAAATACGGCCAGGGCATAAAAAATAGCCTGTTTAAAAAAAAATCAATAAAAATCTCAGAAAGAGCACACTGTCCCTGGACCATTATATACAAAAAGAAATGACAAGTAAATGGAACAAAACAAAAGAAGTTTATAAACACAAATGCTTTTATTCCTCTCTCTGAAAATACAGACTGACACTGTACACTTGGCAGCTGTTTCCACAGCAGGGAAGCAGGGTCACAGGTCTGAAGCATGAGTTCTCTTCTGGAAACCACCTACTGATTATAGGTGACAGTTGCATCACCTTGAAATGGAGGAACAAAGACTTTTTTTTGCCAGAATTTGGCATTGCTAGCACAAAGTGTTAGAAAACGGTGACACACAGAGTGGCTGGTAGAACTGCAGAGGAATTTCTGAAAGTGAGCCTTAGGCAAAAGGTTGGAAACTTGTGCTGGAAACTTACCTTATGATTAAGCATGTGACTCCCACCTGACTTAATTCTCTTCCAGTCCCAAGGGTTCCAAGGCCAGAGAGAGGTCCTGGTCTTGATTGCTGGCATGTTTACTCTTCCAAGTACACTGAGATCAAATGCAAAGACAAACCATCAAAGGTAATTCTTTTCTTTGACATTGAATATACCTGGGATGGATTTTAAAGTAAAAATTTTTATTTCCTAGTGAAAAATAACAGATATGTAATCTTTGTATTTGGATTAAGTGTGAATGAAGGAAATAATGATCGAGGAAAGAACAAAGAACTGGGTGGTGGTGATGCAAGCTGAGTCCTGGTTCTGGCTTTGCTACTAACTATAACTTGGGCAAGTCTGTACTTCTGCTGCATAGAATATATTTACTTATTTCTTTTTTTGCTTGTTTGTTTTGATTTTATTTCGAGACAGAGTTTCACTCTGTCACCCGGGCTGGAGGGCAGTGGCACGATCTCGGCTCACTGCAACTTTCGTCTCCCAGGTTCAAGCAATTCCCCTGCCTCAGCCTCCCGAGTAGCTGGGGCTACAGGTGAGCACCACCGCAACTGGCTAATTTTTGTATTTTTACTAGAGACAGGGTCTCACCATGTTGGCCAGGCCGGTCTCGAACTCCTGACCTCAAGAGATTCACCTGTCTTGACCTCCCAAAGTGCTGGGATTATAGGCGTGAGCCACTGCACCCAGCCAACTTACTTCTTTACTTGTGTAAATGAAAGAAGGTAGAACTACATGGCCTCTGAGGGCCTTTCCAGCTCTGTTCTGTGAGTCAGTTTCTTATTTTTTATTTTTCATTGTTTAGGCAGTGCCAAAACAATAATGTCAGGTGGGTTAGGGTACAGATTTGCAAGACGTTCATCCTGAGGCTGGTAGCAGGCCCCAAAAAACTCTTACCTCATCCATCATTTTTGCAAAGATGAATTCAGAGTAAGACAGACATCAAGGTAGGCATTCAGTATATATTTGTTGAATGAATGAATGAATGAATGAATGAATGAATAACTCAGGCAGCCTTGAGGAGGAAGAGAAAGGAAACATTCTGCCAGAAGAAATACAAGAGGAAATGTATTTGGGACAGGGGATGGATTTGCTTGATGATAATGGTTGGGGGGCAGTTTTATAGACATTTTCAGCTGCAGCTGAACTTTAGGCCTGGGCAGTGTTAGGGTTAGGGCTAGTTTACAGAGCACTCCTTATCTATAGAGTAGGGTGAAATGATTGCTGGCAAGGCTGCCAAGAAATACAGTTCTTCCAGGTACAGGTGGCTTAACTACAAGATAATGGTACTCTTTTTCTCCTCAATTTAATAATGAGTATTAATTAGGATTTGATCTGGCTGAGTGTCATAGAAACTCAAAATAATAGTGACTAAATGATATATATGTTTATTTTTCTCTCCCATAAAAGAAATCTGGGCCAGGCTTAATGGCTCATGCCTGTAGTCTCAGCTATTTGGGAGGATGAGGCAGGAGGATCACTTGAGCCCAGGAGTTGGAGGTTGCAGTGAGCTATGATTACACCACTGCACTCTAGCCTGGGCAACAGAGTGATACCCTGTTAAAACAAAACAGAACAAAAAAGAATTCTGGGTGGGCAAGATAGGGCAGGTTCAGAGCCTCCATGGTTTCAGGGATTCAGGCTCCTTTAACCTCAGCACATGGCTTGTACTTCAAGATTAATTATGGCTGCTTGACGACTGGTCCGAAGGTAGTGAGTTATGTCAATTGATTGTCCACAGTCAGTTACAGATCAGACTCCTTATTCTACTCTATCCCCCTTCTCACTAATGCACTCGACAGGTCTTGAAAAATAGTATGTGGCTGCTTGAATTCAGCGATCCCATCAGTATCACAGCCAGCAGGGAAAAGAAAAGACCAATAAAGGGCTCACCTCCGCACTCCCCATTCATGACACTTCCTGGAAGTTGAACTTGACACTTCTATTTTCTTTTTTCCTTTTTTTGTATTTTTAGTAGAGACGGGGATTCACCATCTTGGCCAGGCTGGTTTCGAACTCCTGACCTCAGGTGATCCACCCGTCTCAGCCTCCCAAAGTGCTGGGATTACAGGCAGGAGCCACCGCACCGAGCCTGACACTTCTATTTACATCCCATTGACTAGAACCTAGTTACTTGGCCAAACTTAGGTGTCATGGAGACTGGGAAATGCAGCTTTTCTTCATAATAGCTGTGTGCCTAGCTATCAGGGTTGGGTTTTGTTTATTTGTTTGTTTGTTTGTTTTACTTAGAGAGAAAGGGAGAAGTGATACTAGGAAATAGTAGCTTCTGCCACTTTGAGAGATGACAGACTTATTCCAACCACATGATGATGCCCCCATTGCTCAATTCCTTTGGCCTGGATCACTTAAAATTGCCCATCAGGGTCCATAGGAACTATTTTCGGTATTCTTTGATTTTAAAAGTAGTTCAAGTCCACACAGGACAGCTGTGATGAGTAGTCGGCCGGGGGTGGGGGCGGGTAATAAAACTGAATATGACCATAAGAATAATATATGGGCTTCTGCTTCTGGGTATTATAGATAATTCTGGGTATTATGACCATTCCTGCAGAAAATAACTCTAAAATCTGGACATGATATACAAAGTGACTGCCTAAAGGAGCTGAAGAGAGGACATAAGTGGATCGCCTCTGCTGTTGCATGTTGGCTTGGAGAACAGAAGATGAGGAGCCAAATAAGCAAGTCCTTCAGCCCCAGGCTTCTAGCACGGGGCTGCATGTAGGCTATGCATTCTGGGGAGTGAGGAGATCATGAATGCTGAAAATAAATGAAGGAATCCAGAAAAGCAAGAGTCAAAGAAGGCATCTGCAGGCCAAATCTCTGATCAACCCCTGACCCACATACACACAAAATACACTCAAAGCAGCTCAGCTAAAGACAAAGATCTGCACTCAGAGTAGAGCTGCCTCCCCAGAAACAGAGCTCGCAGTTCAGGCCCAGCAAGAAAATTACCTGCAAAACAAAGGAAAAACAACACTCATCAGAGAAAAAGAACAGAATCTGGAATCTTCACAACCTAGCATTCATCATATCCAAGATTGAAACCCAAATTATGGGACATATTTAAAAACCAGGAAAATGGAACGTAGTCTTAAGAGAAAAGTCAATCAAATCTGACCTGGAGATGAATAATATATTGAAACTTAAAAGGCAAGGGTTTTAATTTTTGTTTTCTTGTTTTTTTTCTGTTTGTTTGTTTGTTTTTGTTTTTGTTTTTTGAGATGGAATCTTGCTCTGTCGCCCAGGCTGGAGTGCAGTGGCGCAATCTTGGCTCACTGCAGCCTCTGCCTCCTGGGTTCAAGGAATTCTCCTGTCTCAGCCTTCCGAGTAGCTGGGACTACAGGCGCACGCCACCACACCCAGCTAATTTTTGTGTTTTTAGTAGAGACAGGGTTTCACCATATTGGTCAGGCTGGTCTTAAACTCCTGACCTCAGGTGATCCACCTGCCTCGGCCTCCCAAAGTGCTGGCATTACAGGCATGAGCCACCGCACCCAGCCTTGTTTTCTGGGGTTTTGTTGAGATGAGGTCTCACTCTGTCACACAGGCTGGAGTGTAGTGGTGCGATCCCAGCTCACTGCAGCTTTAAACTCCTGGGCTCAAGCAATCCTTTTGCCTCAGCTAGCATGCTCAGTTAATTTTTAAATATTTTTTGTAGACATGGGGTCTTGCTATGTTGCCTAGGCTGGTCTTAAACTCCTGGCTTCAAGCAATCCTTCCACCTTGGCCTCCCAAAGTGGTAGGATTATAGGTGTAAGCTCTCCTGCCCAGCCGGCAAGGGCTTGAAAGTGTTATGTTATTTTATAGTTTTAGGAGGTTTTGTAGCTCTCTATGATGAAGTTTAAAAATTAAGAAAAAAAGCTTGTTTTTGATTAATCGAAATCTCAGCACAGAAATGGGACATTTCATCAGAGAAATAGATACAATGAAGAAGAGCCAAATGGAAAGCCCCCTTTTTTGGTTGCTCTTTTTCTGCTTTCAAGGTTTATATTAGCTTGACTTAGATGTGCCTTGGAGTGGACTTCGTTATGTCCCTTCTGCTTAGTGTTTGTCTAATATCTTGAATCTGCAAATCTCTGACTTTCATTACAGCTGGGAAGTGTTTGGTTATTATTTCTTTAAATATTTTTTCTACTTGAGTTTCTTCTCTCCCTCTGAGATTTCAATTACATGTATGTTTGTTTGATATCATCTAACAAGTCTCTGAGATTTTGTTCATTATGTTCTAAGTCTTTTTCCACTCTGTTACTCATTTTGAGTAATTTTGATTGATCTGTCTTAAAATTTACTCTTTCCTTTAACATGTCCACTTGGCTGTTAACTCCATCTGGTGAATTTTCTACTTAAGAAATTATACTTTTCAGCTGTAGAATTTACATGAAGAAGTACATTATCAACTGTAAATGGGCCATGAAAAGTTAAGGTTGAATTTTGTAATTTATAAATCAACTATTAAACAGTGCAGAATAGCTGTAAAGCATCAGGAAAATTAAAATAGAATATATCTTAAAATATTAAGTAATTTTTAAAGGCGGGAAATAAGAAATGAAGAAACAAATGTCAGAGGAGACAAATAGAAAACAAAATAAAACAAAAATGATAGACTCATACCCAACCATTTCAAAAATTACATTGAACATTTATGAGCTAAACACTCCAATTAAAAGACAGAGATTAATAATTGTTTTTAAATGGATACAAAAACAATTATAACATCTCACCAAAGAAGATACACAGATGCCAAAAAATTTGAAAAGCTGTTTAATAGTATATGTTATTAGGTAATTACAAATTAAAACAACAATGAGATACCACTACACATCTACTAGAATAGCCAAAATTCAAAATGCTAACAACACCAAATGCTGGTAAGGATGTGGAACAACAGAAACTGTCATTCATTGTTGATGGGAATGCAAAATGGTTTGGCCACTTTGAAAGACAGTTTTGACAGTTTCTTGCAAAACGAAACATACTTTTACCATATGATTCAACAATCTTACTCCTGGGTATTTACCCAAATGAGCTGAAAACTTATGTCCACACAAAACCCTGCACATGGATGTTTATAGCAACTTTATTCATAATTGCCAAAAGCTGGAAGCAATCAAGATGTCCTTCAGTAGGCAAATGGATAAACCGTGATATATCCAGACAATGGAATATTATTCAGTGTTAAAAAGAAATGAGCTGTCAAGCCATGAAGACATGGAGGAATGTTAAATGCATATTACTAACTGAAAAAAGCCAATTTGAAAGGGCTGTGTACTGGATGGGTCAAACTATACGACATTCTGGAAAAGGCAAAACCATGGAGACAAAAAGATCAGTAGTTGCCAAGGGTTGGGCAGAGGCAAGGATGAATAGATGAAACATAGAAGATTTTTAAAGGAGTGTAACTATTCTATATGATACTGTCATGGTGGCTATATGTACATAAATACATTAGACATTTGTCAAAACTCATAGAATGTATAATACCAAGAGCAAACTCTAATGTAAACTACGGACTTTGGATAATAATGATACATCAGTGTAGGTTCATTGATTGTAGCAAATGCACCACTCTGGTATGGGATGTTGATAGTGGGGAGGCCATATGTGTAGGGGTAGGGGGTGTGTGGGAACTGTCTGTACTTTCATCTCAATTTAGCTGTGAATCTAAAACTGCTCTAAAAAAATAAAATCCATTTTTTAAAAACCTAAATATAAACTATGTGCAAAGACATACTTTCAATATAAAGACAGAAGGAAACCAAATATAGATGGATAGAAAAAGATATATCATGTAAATAGTAAGCACAAGAAAGCTGGAGTGGCTACATTAGTATCAAATAAAAATAGATTTCTAAAAAAAAGTATCATAAAAGATAAAGAAGGGCACTTTAGAAGAAGAAAAGGAATAATTGATCAAGATGACATAAAATTTACAAATTTATTTGTGCCTAATAATAGTCTCAAATTACATAAGGCAAAAACTGATAGAATGAAAGGAAGAAATAGGCAATTATAATTGGAAATTTTAATGTCTCTCAGAAGTTGATAGAGTAACCAACAAAAAATCAGCAGACAGAAAACCTGAACAACATTATCAGTCACTTTGACCTAATTAATATTTTTAGAACATTTCACTCAGCAATAGCAAAATGCACATTCTTTTCAAGTGCACATGGAATGCTTACCAAGATAGACCACATTCTGGACCATAAAAAAGTTTTAATAAATATTAAAAAGGTTGAAATCAAATAGTTTGTTCTCTGACCACAATGAAATTAAATTGGAAACCAAAAACAATAAGATAACTAGGAAAACCCCAAGCATTTGGAAACTAAGCAACACACTTCTAAATATTTATTGGGCTAAAGACTAAATCACAAGAGAGATTGAAAATATTTTGCCCTGATGATAATATAAATACACATTTCAAAATTTGTGCAATGTAGCTAACATAGCACTTTGAGGGAAATTTACAGTTTTGAAAGCCTATACGAAGTGGGGAAAGTTCTTAAATCAATGATCTTAATTTTCACTGTTAAAAAATAGAAAAAAAAGAGTAAATTGAACTCAAAGCAAGCAGAGGAAGAAAATAATAAAGATAATGACAGACATCAATGAATTAGAGAACGAAAAAAAGAGATAAAAAAATCATTAAAAGCAAAAAGCAGTCCTTTGAAAAAACTAATAAAATTGATAAATCTCAAGACTGACTGGCAAAGAAAAAAAAATGAACAATATCAAGAATGAGAGAAGGGACATTATTACTTTGGATATTAAAAGAATAACAATTCTCTATTGTTATGAACAACTTTATGACATTAAATGTGTCACAGATGAAATGAACACATTCTGGGAAATACATAAATTATAAATCTAATCAAAGATGAAATAGAAAGCTTGAACAGCCCTGTATCAATTAAAGATATTGAATTTGTAATTAAAAACTTACTGAGAGAATTCTGGGTTTAGATGCTTCATTGATGAATTCTGACAAACATTTATGAAAAAATAATACCAATCCTACAAAAACTGTTTAAGAAAATAAAGGAGGAGGCATGATTTTATGATGCAGTATTATTCTAATTCTACAGCCAGATGAAGACATCTTAAGAAAAAAACTACAGTCCAATATCCCTCATGAATATAAATGCAAAAATCCTCAACAAAATATTAGCAAGCCAAATCCAGCAGCATAAAAAAGGTTATACACTATGATCAAGGGGCAATGCAAAGTTTTTTTTTGTTTGTTTTGTTTTTTGGGTTTTTTTTGAGATGGAGTCTCAGTCTGTCGCCCAGGCTGGAGTGCAGTGGTGTGATCTCAGCTCACTGTAACCTCTGCCTCCCAGGTTCAAGCGATTCTCCTGCCTCAGCCTCCTGAGTAGCTGGGATTACAGGCACGCACAACCACGCCTGGCTAATTTTTGTATTTTTAGTAGAGACAGGGTTTCACCATGTTGGTCAAGCTGGTCTCGAACGCCTGACCTCATGATCCACCCACCTCAGTCTCCCATAGTGCTGGGATTACAGGTGTAAGCCACCGCGCCTGGCCAATGCAAAGTTGTTTTAACAGCTGACAGTTAATCAATGTAATTCAACAAATTAATAGAATAAAGACAAAAACACAGACACAGTGGTGCAATGTAGCTAACATAGTACTTAGAGGGAAATTTATCATTTTGAAAGCCTATAAGAAGGGGGTAAAAGGTCTTTTAGTCCTAGCCACTCAGGAGACTGAGGCAGGAGGTTTGTTGGAGACCAGGAGTTCAAGGCTATAGTGCACTATCATTGCACCTGTGAATAGCCACTGCATTCCAGCCTGGGCAACATAGCAAGATCCTGTCTCTTAAAGAAAAAAAGGAAGAAGGTGAAAACAATATGATCAGTTCAATAGGTGCAGCAATAGCATTTGTCAAAATTCAACTCCTTTTTATCATTAAAAAATCTTTCAGCAAATTAAGAATAAATTAAAACTTCCTCAACCTGATTAAGGGCATCTACAAAATCTGTCAGCTAACATCCTACTACAATGTGAAAAATCAATGCTTTCTACCTAAGACGAGGTAGAGGGCAAGGATGTTGGCTCTCATCATTTTTATTTAACTTAAATTGTATAGGAGTGCCTAGTCAGTGCAACAAAGCAAGGGAAAAATAAGGCATACATGCTAGAAAGAAATAAGTAAAATTGTCCTTATCTACAAGTGACATTGTATAGAAAACCCTAAGAAACCCACAATAAAAGCTATTAGAGGTACAAGGTTGCAGGATAAAATATACAAAAATCAATTCAAGGTTGCAGGATAAAATATACAAAAATCAATTCTGTCTCACATACTAGCAACTAACATTTAGAAAGTTAAGTTATAAGACACTTTGTTTACAATAGCATAAAATACTTAGCAAAAGACATGTATGACCTGTAGGCTGAAAACAATAAAACATGACAGGAAGATCTGCATAAATGAACAGCTATACCGTGTTCATGGATTCAAAGTCTCAATATTGTTAAGCTGGCAATCCTTTTTGAATTATTCAATAAATTCAATGCAATTCCCACGAAAATCGTAACTTTTTTTTTGAAAAAAATTTGCAAGAGTATTTTAAATTTTATATGGGAAGTCAAAGGACCTAGTATAGCCACATCGTTTTGAAAGAGGAGAACAATATTGGAACACTTCAGCTACCTGATTTCAAGAACAATATGTGGCTCTGAAGGAATGAACCAATTTTATTCTTTGATCTATAAATTGGCATTTAAATAATTTCCAAATGAGGAGAGATGGGTAGCTCTGAGATAAGCATGTGACTTCCCAAGGTGGCCAATTTGAAGGGTAATTCTCCTTTGGGATGATTGCTAAGGGAAAAAAAAAATCCATGTTGAACATAAGGTTTGTAATCAAGACAACTGGATTTAAATATTGGATGCACCATTCAGCTCTCTAAAACTGAGTATCTTCATCTTAAAATGGGATGTGCAGTGTAAGGATTAAGGCAGTAAAGTATAGAGGCTAAGCCGTGTGCTATAGCACTGGAGCTATCTTACCCAGGTTTGAATCTAGCTTGGCCATTTTCTAGCTATGTGGCCTTGGGTATGTTTAACCTTACTTTGCTTCATCTTGCTCATTTGTACAAGCACTGCTCGTTTTATTGCATTTCACTTTATTGCACTTCACATATATTGCATTTCTTACAAATTGAAAGTTTTTGGCAACCTTGTGTGGGATAAGTCTATTGGTGCCATTTTTCTAACAGCATGTACTCACTTCATGTCTCTGTGTCAGCATTTTTTAGCAATAAAGTATTTTTTAAATCAAGGAATGTACATTTTTTGGACATAATGCTATTGCACACTTAACAGACTATCATATAGTGTAAACATAACTTTTATATGCACCGAGAAACCAAAAATTTTGTGTGATTCGCTATATTGCAATATTCACTTTATTGCAGTGGTGTGCAATGGAACCTGCAATATTTCTGAGGTATGCCTGTAAACGAGAATACTAAAAGTGCCTAGCCATAGGGTTGTGGTGAACAGTAAATGAGTTAATAAATCTAAAGCACTTAGAACAGAATCTGAGCACATAAAAAGTGCTCTATAAGTATTACCCACTGTTATTTTTTTCCTGGTGCTATGAGGCCCGAATGTGGTTACTTTCGTTAACCACCAAGCGTAGTTCCTAGTATCCAACAAATGTTAGTGCCCATCCCTCTGCAGAGCATAAGTAGCATTCTGGGGGTAGCGTTTGACACTGAAGGATGTATTTCGCAATCTTATAGGCAATCTTGAGTTTCAACAGCTTAAATTTTCTTTCCTTGCTATTTTTCCAATGTTTAAAGAATACCTTCTTGGCCAGGCACTGTGGCTCATGCCTGTAATCCCAGCACCTGACAGGCTGAGGCAGGCAGATTGCCTGAGCTCAGGAGTTCACAACCAGCCTGGGAAACACAGTGAGACCCCGTCTCTACTAAAATACAAAAAAATTAGCCAGATGTGGTGGCGTGTGCCTGTAGTCGCAGCTACTCGGGAGGCTGAGGGAGGAGAATTGCTTGAACCCAGGAGGCGGAGGTTGCAGTGAGCACAGATTGCACCACTGCACTCCAGCCTGGGCGACAGAGCGAGACTCTGTCTCAAAACAAAAATAAAAACAAAAACAAAACCCCAAAAACCCCAAAACCAAAAAACAACAAAAAAAACCTTCTTGACCGAATTGTTATGTGCGAGTGGAAACCTTAACCACGGACATGAAATTCTACCCCACTTGGACTCCATCACAGGCCATGTGTCCTCTTTGGCTCCAGCTGGTCATTGTATTCAGCAGCCCACTGACCCAGAGACTAACAAATAAGGGCTGCCTCCTTCCCTCTCTTTTCATTCTCCTCCTCCTCCTTCTTGTGTCACAGGCAGGCATAAATTACAGGGCACCAAAAAATAGTAGATTTTATTCTCTCTATGTTCTGTATCAAATGCAATACCAAGTAGTGTCCAACTATGATCCTCCTGCCCTCTGCTTGAAGGAAAACTCAGTTCTGTGAACGATTCTGAGCCCCAGAATTGGCATTACGAAATTTCTCAGTCACTGGGGACAGACAACAGCAGGGTTGCCCATAACTTACAGCTGGCCTCTGAGTGTACCATTTTAGAACCACACCAAGGGAGAGGACATGTTTCCATTTCTTTAATAACTTTCATCAGAGCATAAATTGTGATTGCATAATAACTATTCATATCATCATTAGGGATGCTGAAGTGTTGTGTTTTGTTTTGCTTTGTTTTTTGGAGACAGACTATCGCTGTGTCGCCCAGGCTGCAGTGCAGTGGTGTGATCACAGCTCATTGCAGCTTTGATTTCCTGGGCTCCAGTGATCCTCCTACTTCACGCTCCTGAGTATCTGTGACTGCAGGTGAGCCCCACCATGCTCAGCCAATTTATTTTTTATTTTTTGTAGAGACAGGGGACTCTCTATGTTGCCCAGGCTGGTCTCAAACTTCTGGGCTCAAGAGATCCTCCCCTCTTGGCCTACCGAAGGGCTGAAATTACAGGTGTGAGCCACCATGTCCAGCCTTTTGTTCTTAACTGAAATACAAAAAGCAAGAAAGAGTTTAAACCCAGTGACATTAATCAGAGGAACTGCAGACATCCCACAGTCTATGCCTTTCTTGGAGATCTGCAGCCAGGCTCTGAGATGGAGAAACAGATCTTGGTTCTGCTTCCATGAGAGGGACAAAGCATTATATGTTGTGGGGTAAGATGTGTCTGGGGATCTCTGGTCTGTCTTGGACATTTTTCCCTAAAAGCCCTCATAAGTTTACTTCACAAAGACAACACTTCCCTTCACTGTGTCCACTCAGCCTGGCCCAAAGCCCCAGCTGCCATGCCAGTCAGGGCAGCAAACCCAGTAAACAACATAAAGCAAAACCAGCCAACACACAAGCATCTTTGCAGAGATGCCCTTTGGGTCCCATATGTTAAATCTTTTACATTATTTTACAGAGTTCCTTTTCCCCTTGTCTCAATTTCTCTGCAACACAAGAGGGTGTAGGCTTCACTCTTTCCTCTTTTTCTTTTTCTTTCTTTCTTTCTTTCTTTCTTCTTTCTCTCTCTCTCTTTCATTTTTTGGGTTTTTTTTTTTGAGGCAGAGTCTTGCTCTGTCGCCCAGGCTGGAGTGCAGTGGCACGATCTCCGTTCATTGCAACCTCTGCCTCCCGGGTTCAAGCGATTTTCATGTCTCAGCTTCCCAAGTAGCTGGAATTACAGGCACGCACCACCACACTTGGCTAATTTTTTAAATTTTTGGTAGAGACAGGTTTCGCCATGTTGGCCAGGCTGGTCTCAAACTCCTGAACTCAAGTGCCACCTGCCTCAGCCTCCCAAAGTGCTGGGATTACAGGTGTGAGCCACCGCGCCCGGCCTTTTTCCTTTACTTTCAACCATTTTAGTGGCCCCACCCTGTGCCTTTCTGCACTAATAGTAGTAAGATTCTTCCCGGCAGCCCGTCCTGTCTACCAGAGAAGGAAAACTTTCCCATTCTCACCCTTTTCTCCTGCCTCTCCCGCTCCTGTCTTCCCTCAGAATAACCGACTGGGAATAAAGACCTTTCTCACCAGCAGAGGCTGAGCGTTCCTCTGAAGGGAACCGCAGCTCTGACAGGGTTATGTTTGCATTATCAATGACACTTCAATCACATTGCCATAGTGTTCCAAACAGACTGTGGGAGGAACTTGAACTTAAAAGAAAAATTATCTCAGGAGTTCAAGGCTGCAGCAAGCTATGATCATGCCACTGCACAGAGCAAGACCCTGTCTCTTAAAAGAAAATTATCTGCCAAGAGTCAACTTTTCTTTAGCTATTTGAAATTCTTCATAAAAGAATCTCAATTCCAGCCTCAGTATACTTTTACTAATTGTTTATTTTCCCACTTCAAAATACTGTTTATGTCTACCATGTGTCAACATTCTGGACCCTGGGAACTTTCTGGCTAAGTAGACTAAAGATAATTTATAAAGAGGTAGTCGAAGTCTGCTACATAAAAGAGAGATCTGGCCGGGCACAGTGGCTCACGCCTGTAATCCCAGCACTTCGGGAGGCCGAGGCAGGCGGATCACAAGGACAGGAGTTCAATACAGCCTGGCCAACATAGTGAAACCCTGTCTCTATTAAAAATACAAAAAATAGCCAGGCGTGATGGTGCGCGCCTGTAGTCACAGCTACTCGGGAGGCTGAGGCAGGAGAATCATTTGAACCCGGGAGGCAGAGGTTGTGGTGAGACAAGATAGTGCCACTGCACTCCAGCCTGGGCAACAGAGCGAGACTCCATCTCAAAAAAAAAAAAAAAAAAAAAGATCTGTTGTCAATGTAAATCTCCATTATGCGTTTTCTGATTCTTTCTGGAACAACTAAAATGTAGTCACATATATCTTTATTCCCCTACAGCTTCAAGAATGAAGTTAATGTTGAAAACAATTCTGTGTGCTTCACCACTGGCTCTTTCATTCATTCAGCAAATAGTTATTGTATATAAAACAAGAACCAGGCACTGTGCTGGGCACTAAGCTAGAATACAGAGAAAAGGAGCATTCCCAGCTGGGTGTGGTGGCTTACACCTGTAGTCCCAGTGCTTTGGGAGGTCAAAGCAGGAGGATCACTTGAGGCTAGGAGTTTGAGACCAGCCTGGGCAACATAGTGAGACCCCATCTCTACCAAAAAAAAAGAAAATTAGCTGGGTGTGGTGGCATTCACCTGTGGTCCCAGCTGCTGAAAAGGCTGAGGCAAGAGGGCTGCTTGAGCCCAGGAGTTCAAGGCTCCAGTGAGCTTTGATCGCACCACGGCACTCCAGCCTGGGCAACAGAAAGAGAC
Source organism: Homo sapiens (assembly GCF_000001405.40). Lineage (NCBI taxonomy): Eukaryota > Metazoa > Chordata > Mammalia > Primates > Hominidae > Homo > Homo sapiens. The sequence continues at coordinate 38,755,696 of NC_000008.11, forward strand.
ACGGTCTTTCAAAACAACAACAACAACAACAACAACAACAACAACAACAACAACAACAGAGTGTTCCTGCCTTTAAAGAACTTATATTCTAGTGAAAGATAGACAAGTGAAGAGATCATTATTATTATTATTATTAGAGATGAAGTTGTGCTCTTGTTGCCCAGGCTGGAGTGCAGTGGCGCGATCTCGGCTCACTGCAACCTCCACTTCCTGGGTTCAAGCGATTCTCCTGCCTCAGCCTCCTAAGTAGCTGGGATTACAGGCGTGTGCCACCATGCCCGGCTAATTTTTGTATTTTTAGTAGAGACGGGGTTTCACCATGTTAGTCAGGCTGGTCTCTAACTCCTGACCTCAGGTAATCCACCCCCTAGGCCTCCCAAAGTGCTGGGATTACAGGTGTGAGCCACCGCGCCCGGCCGGGAAGAGAGAATTATAAAATAAGATTGGTAAATGCTTCGTTAGCAGAGTTAACAAGTGCTATAGGAGCCCTGGGAAGGACAGCGATAACATGGGTGTAGGATGCCTGCATCCATCACCAATTGTGAGCGCCCACTGTGTGCCAAGCATGTTGGAGGAACAGTGAAATCGAAACAGATTCCCTGTCTTCATGGAGCTTATGTTCTAGCAAGGGAGACAGGCAGTAACAAAGAAGATGTAACATCAAGATGCAGGATGGTGTCATAGAAGGGAGGTTTGGAGAAGGATTCCAGTCTGCTGGAAAAAGCGCTAGAATAAGGACAGGTGGCTGGAGAGGAGGTGGGTGGGAGGCAGGAATGGGTGAGGAAGGGCATGAGAGATGCTCTAAAGGGAGTTGCTAGGTGTAGCTGGATCGCAGATGAGATGATAGGGATAGGTGTTTGTTTGTTTGTTTGTTTTTTCCTTGCGACAGAGTTTGGAGGAAAATTCATTGCCTGGTTGTCAGAGCCTAAAGGGACATTAAAAGCTAAAGATGAACATACTCCCTTGTTTTATGGATAAAGAAAACAAGACTCAGAGAGGGTGAAATAACTTGTTCCAAGTTACTCAGCTAGTTGGAGGCATAACCAGAGCCCAGTTTTCTGTGCAGCGCAGTCCAGGCCTCCCCTAGTCTCAGGAGGCAGAAGCGGTTTAGGGGAAAGAGCATGCCCTTTGCAGGGCCGCCTGGGTCCCCTGACCCCGTCACACACCGCCCCCTCCTGCTGCTTCTCTGAACAGCAGCTCCCGGGGCCTCTTCCCGCGGCTTCCCTTCCAGCCCCGGACCCAGCGGGCGGAGAGGGCGACGTCCGCGGATCGCGGAGTCCCGGGGGCGCCCGCAGGCCTAGCGCCCTCCACCTGCTGCCCCGTGCCACCTAGGAGTTTCCTTGCCGGGCGAGGAGGCGCCGCTGCCCGGGCTCCCCGCAGCCCCGCACGCCCCAGGGGCTCCGCATCTCCAGGCGGCAGCACCCGCGGGGCCCTGCAATCCGCGGAGAAGTTGGCGGCATCTGAAGCCACCTCCTTCCCCGCTTTCCCAGCGGCGGGGACCCTACGGCCGGGCGCCCCACCCCGCCCTCCCTCGCCCCACCCTTCCTCCCGCCCCACCGCCTCCCCGCCCAGGGTCTGGGCACAGCCGCCCGCCGCCCAGCACAGGAGGGTGCAGCCCCGGCCCCAAGTTCTGCGCCATGGGAGGCTCCCACTCTCAGACCCCGAGGGGCCGGGAACCCGCCGGGGAGAGGCACCCGAGACCCACGGAGACCGCGTGAGTCCCAGAGCCCTCTCCAAGGGCCGCCTTTGGGGGTTTGCGTGCCAGCCCGGGATGGAGCGCGCTGGGGCCCGTCCCAGAAAGGCTGGGAAGGTGGGGTTCCCGCTGGCGGCAGCGGGGCACGAGCGCTCGGCAGCGGGGCACGAGAGTTTGGCCAGCAGGGCCCCAGGGGCGTCCGGCTGGGAGCGTCCTGCCAGGACCCCACCGCGACCGGATCGCGTCCGGGCGTGACCGTGGTCCTGCCCCAGTACACGCTGTACTGGGGAGACAAGGGGACCCCGGCCTCGTCCAAGCAGAAAACGCACGTGTCCTAAAGAGCTCTGAAACATTCACAAGACAGAGTTATTTGTAGGGAGGTGAAACTATGAGAGAGGCACTCAAGTCTCAAAACGCAATTGGCGTTGGCCCTCGGGGTCCAGGAATTTTGACGCAGTGCTTGCTGCTTGCAAGAACTCCCTCTCTTGTTTGCTCCAAGGGTTTCATGATGATCTCAGAAAAAAAGGGCAGTATTGTAGCAGCAGCAATTAGGCTTTTGTTCTGGGACAGCAACAATTGGGGACACCAAGTACTGTAATGAAAGCTGTGAAGGGAAAGTTTTAGAGAAAGTGATTAGGAGCAAGTCCTACGGTTTGAAAGATGGCCAATGCTTATTGACAGAGAGGGGATAACAATTTATTTGGAAACCAAATAGTCTTTAAATATTTATTTATTTATTTATTGGAATGCATGCGTGTTTTGGAATTGCAGCAGTGTCAGGGAATCCATACTCTTTATTTTAATTCAGCCCATGTCGAAGCTATTTAGTTTGAGAAAGATACACTTAACCATCACAAAAGCAGCCTGGACCGCGGGAGGGCTTTTGAATCATCTTTTCAAGGCAAAATAGCTTTCGGAATATCCAAATGGCTAATTTTGTCCCTAATGTTACCGATGTTCACAAATATAAACTTACTTCAGGCAGCTTATTAATAAGAATAGCTGACGCCGGGCGTGGTTGGCTCACGCCTGTAATCCCAGCACTTTGGGAGGCCGAGGGGGGCAGATCCCCTGAGGTCAGGAGTTCGTAGACCAGCTTGACCAACATGGTGAAACCCCGTCTCTACTAAAAATACAAAAATTAGCCTAGCATGGCGGTGCGAGCCTGTAGTTCCAGCTACTTGGGAGGCTGAGGCAGGAGAATCACTTGAACCCAGAAGGCGGAGGTTGTGGTGAGCCAAGATCGGGCCACTGCACTCCAGCCTGGGCGACAGAGGGAGACTCCATCTCAAAAAAAAAAAAAAAAAAAAAAAAAAGCTGAGATTTACTGAGCACATGACATGTGCAAAACACTTCTAAATGCCCCACATGTTATTTAACCCCCAAGAGCCATTGAATTACTATAGTTCTTGTTACTGTCTTCATTTTACTGGTGAGGGAACTGAAGCACAGAACGATCAAGTAACCTCTCCAAGGTCACACAGCTAGAAAGTGGTGGACCCCAGAGCTCATGCCGCAGCCGCCTCCCACCCAAGAGTTGGAACTATCCTAGGAAACAATCAAAACTTGTCTCAACTGGCAGAGCACACCATCCTTTTTCCTTTAATTTTGTTTGAATAAGGAGTAAATCTGCAATAGCAATGCTTAATAGCTAATTAGACAAAATTGCCAAAGTCGATTTAACTTTCAAAAAACAAACAGGAGAGGCAATATAACATTGAGATGAAGTTAAGAGTTTGGGAGGCAAAGAGCCATGGGTTGAATTTCTAGGTGCTGCTCCTTAATGCTGGAGATCTTTTATCTGTTCCTTAACTCCTCTGTGTCTGTTTCCTTATGTGTGAAACAGGAATGATAACAATATCTACTTCACAGGCTATTCTGAGGTTGACATAAAATCAGTATATATGAATAATAAGTTATAGTTTATCTCTGAGCAATATACTATTTTAGCTGAGGATGAAAGTTGACTATTTTTTGTAAATGTGTGGCCAAGTTTACTGTGTAACTTGAAAGTAAATAATGGAGTCTTTCACTGACTGTATGCTGAAGAAATGAACTCAGGATGTGAGGTAGGGTTCAGTTGTTAGGGTGTTAAATTATCCAGTGGCTTGGCAGCCTACTTGTTTTACCCGTATAATATAAACATGCATAAAGGATCTCTCTCTTCATTGAGGCTCTGCATGCACCTTGAATATTTTACAATGCTTGCCTAAAAGCAATCAACATGAAAGCCCATCCTTGGTCTTTGCCTAGGAATACAGTCCCTCCCTACTCAAGTGAATACATGAAGCACATAAACACATGCAGTCAGTACTGGGATTACTGGCCTCATCTGTATGTGTAGACTCTGCTCAGTGAGGCAGCCTCACAAATCATTTGGCATGTCCAGGTGAAAGACTCTAGAAATGCAAGATTCCAAACTGTAATATACATGAAAAGCAAAAAGGATGCTTTTTATCCAAGTTCTGCCTTGTTCAGATGTACAAGCGACAAGTCTCTCCAGGATACAAGAAAGTAGGAGGTTCATTGTTAATGTTACCCGGCTACAGACTTCCTGCCGAACATATGGCTGTCATGGATAACGCTGACCTCAAGGAAGTTCTCCTACTGAGGCTGTAGCCTTTTCAAAATCTATTGTTCTTTTTTTAAAAAAAAAAAATACATGAAAGTCATATGAATAATACATCAATGCTGGCATTTGTCTTTTGAGGGAGAAAGTATGTTTCACAATGTTCACAATTTGTATTTCAGAATAATCTAATCAGGTACTAAAAGTAACTAGATTAAATCTCTCTTACAAGAGCTCTATTGTGAAATATAAACAAGCATAGATGTACATGAAAAGAAATGTCTGATTTTAAGATACAATTCATTATTATTGAGAATTGTAGCTGCTAACCTTCTCCAAACCCAAGAAGCCAATGAGCCAGCTTTGGTAAAAGCTAGTGGAAATTTCACTTCATTTATTCAAGGAGGCCGTACAGGAAGGTGATTAAGAGCAGAAATTGTGGAGTCAGGCAGACCTGGGTTGTAATCCCAGCTAGATCACTTAGGAGGTTAGTTTAGGAAACATTGGAAATACAGTTATTTAACTCTTCAGTTAGGCAAATTTCTGCATCTGTAAAATGGCAATAATAATCAGACCTAATTGTTTTTTTTTTGAGATGGAGTCTCACTCTGTTGCCCAGGCTGGAGTGCAGTGGCACATCTCGGCTCACTGCAACCTTCAGGTTCAAGTGAGTCTCCTGCCTCAGCCTCCTGAGTAGCTAGGATTACAGGCGCATACCACCATGCCCGGCTAGTTTTTATTTTTAGTAGAGATGGGATTTTGCCATGTTGGCCAGGCTGGTCTCGAACTCCTGACCTCAAATGATCCACCCACCTCACCCTCCCAAAGTGCTGGGATTACAGGCGTGAGCCACTGCGCCTGGCCTCAGACCTAATTTTTGAAGTGGTGTATATTAGTAACACAATGGCCAGCACTTAGTGAGTGTGCAATACGTAGTTATTATGAACACATTTGCACATGTATGTACCCATGAACCAGATGCCATGCTGGGCTCTTTGGAAGGTATATTCATGAGTAAGGCAGGGTCTCTTCTGCAGGGAAGTTTGATTTGTGTGCTAATTCTACAAGGCCTCTGAGAAAAGCAAGGCAATAACTTTTTTGAGTTAATTTTTTCCTCATTTTTCACTTCCATTTTCCAGAAAGTTGTACTACCAAGAGGATGGAAATGCATTTGGGAATATGATAGTTTGATGAAATGTTTGAAATCACTCATTCCTTAGTTGTGTATTTTTGGCGATGTGGCCAAGGTAGGTTTTCTACGAGTAGTGGGGAATTTGTGGAGAGATTTGAAGTATGAGACAAAGCAGAACCTGTGATTCATTGGGGAATATCATCTGGTGTTTGTTGTTTAGCTTCTCTGCCTGGAATGTAAGATCTACACCTGTTGTCAATTCTTACTAGTTAAGTTTCCAGACCAATCGTTTGCATTTGGAATTTAGCATAAGGTCAGTAGCAAAGTCAGGAGGAGTTTCTGACGTCTTCATTGATTTTGCCATGTGAATTTCTGATCAATTAGGTGCTGGCTATGTGATATTCTAGTGAACTGCAAAGTCAGCAACAGCTAGGGTGAAGTGCCTTTTAATGAGCACATCACTGTGGGACACATGTCCCTGACACCAAGAGGGAGGTGCTGGCTTGGAGGTTTTAGACACAAGAAAACATGAATTAAAATAACTAAACTTAGGGAGCAACATTTGTAAATTCATTGCTTTCAAATTTATAATATTGTTTACCACCTTCTCAACACAAAATATTTGTTGTCATTAAAAGCATGTCAGTTCCCATTTGCTATAGAAGTTTTTTAAATGTCCATGTGAAAATGTCTTAGTATAAAATTAAGAGAGAGATTTAGAGCAAGTTTGTGGAGAAGACCCAGAGCAACCAGCCCTGTGATGAAAAGGTAAAAGAATTATAGTATTTAACTTGGAGAAGGGACCCAAGACATGTGGAAATATGTAATTTTTAGGAGATGTTGGCTGGCTCTATCTCCCGTGAAGCCAATCCCGAAGGAAATGATTTGAATTGCATGACAAGGGAATTATTTGTATCTACTGAATTTAGATATTGCAACTTCTAGACTATGAGGGTAGTTGAAATAGAAAAAAGAGTTAATAATGGGAAGAAAAATCCCTCTCTGCAAAGCATTAAAAAGTAAGATAGATACTCTATCAAGAGTGCAACTCTGAGGGAATTCAGGCACAGTTTTTAAGTATACAACTCCGTGGCATTAAGTACATTGGACAACCATCACCACCACCCATTTCCAGAACTTTTTCAGCATCCCAAACAGAAATTCTGTACCCATTAAACAATAACTTTTCACTCCTCCTTCCCCCAGCCCCCGGCACCCACCATCCTATTTTCCGTCTCTACACATTTGACTACTGTAGGTACCTCATGTAAGTGGAAATGTACAGTATTTGTCTTTTCATGACTGGTTTATTTCCCTTAGCATAATGTCCTCAAGGTGTGTCCATGTCGTAGCATGTATCAGAATTTCTTTATGGCTGAACAGTATTCCATTGTGTATATATACCACATTTTGTTTATTCATTCATCTGTGAGTGAATACTTGAGTTGTCTCCACCTTTTGGCTTTTTTTTTTGTTTTTTTTGGGGGGACAGAGTCTCACTCTGCCACTGATGCTGGAGTACAGTGGCGTGATCTTGGCTCATTGCAACCTCCACCTCCCAAATTCAAGCGATTCTTCTGCCTCAGCCTCCCTAGTAGCTGAGATTACAGGCATGCGTCACCAGGCCCGGCTAAATTTTTTATTTTTAGCAGAGTCAAAGTTTTGCCATGTTGGCCAGGCTGATCTCAAACTCCTGACCTGAGGTGATCCACCCGCCTCGGCCTCCCAAAGTGCTGGGATTACAGGCATGAGCCCGGCCCCACCTTTTGGCTCTTGTGAGCAATTCTGCTTTAAGCATCGTTATACAAGTACGTGTGAGTCCCTGCTTGCAGCTCTTTGGAGTATAAACCTAGGAGCTGGATTGCTGGATCATGTGATAACCCACTTCACTTTTTGAGGAACCACAAAACTGTCTTCCATAGTGGCTGCACCATTTGTCATTCCCACCAACAAATGCATGAGGGCTCTAATTTTTTCACATTCTAACACTTGTTATTTTCTGTTGTTGTTTTTAAATAGGCATCCCAATGGGTGCGAAGTGGTATCTCATTTGTTGTTGTTGTTGTTGTTGTTGTTTTAGACAAGAGTCTAGCTCTGTCACCCAGGCTGGAATACAGTGGCACAAACATAGCACACTGAAGCCTTGAACTCCTGGGCTGAAACAATCCTCACACCATAGCCTCTCGAGTAGCTGGACCACAGGTGCACACCAACATCCCTAGCTATTTGTTTAAAAAAAAAAATTGTGGAAATGGGGCTCTTGCTATATTGCCCAGGATATAGTCTCAAACTCCCGGCCTCAAATAATTCTCCCCCCTCAGCCTCCCAGAGTGCTAAGATTACAGGTGTGAGCCACCATGCCCGGCCTCATTTTGTTTTAGCATAAACAAGACATCACTTTGGAGATCTAAGGATTTTAGGAGTTGCATGCCAGGAAATGGAGTCAGAAACCAAATACAGTATTTACAATATCACAATTGTAAAGAAAATAAACTACCCATAATCTCATCATCTGGAGATAATTGTTAACATGCTGGGACATTTTTTATAGTCTCTTTTTGTCCACCAAGTATATTTTTCAAAAATGGGGTTCTGCTATGTCTTCTGTATTCTCATGTTTTACTTAACATTATAAACATTTCTCTATATTACTTTACTGAATTCAAAAATATTGTTTTAATGCTTGCTTAATGGTTCATTATCTGTATATACCATAATTCATTTTTTTCTACATGTTTGATATTTAGGTTGGTTATCATTTTTGCTCATATAAACAACACAGTTAATAAACATCCTTGTAATTCTTTGTACATTTCTGAGTAATAACTTAGGATACATTCCTAGAACTTCAATTACAGGGTCAAATAATGTATAGCAAGATTCTAAAAGTTGCTACATATTACTATATATTGCCAAATTTCCCTCCTCCCCACAATTAATACCAAGTTAGAATCCTCCCAACACTTCATGACAGTGACTGCTCAGCATCCTTTTCTTTTCTTTTTTGAGACTGAATCTCACTCTGTCACCCAGGCTGGAGTGCAATGGTGCAATCTCAGCTCACTGCAACCTCCACCTTCCTGGTTCAAGCAATTCTCCTGCCTCAGCCTCCTGAGTAGCTGGGATTACAGGCGCCCACCACCATGCCCAGCTAATTTTTGTATTTTTAGTAGAGACAGGGTTTCACCAAGTTGGCCAGGCTGGTCTTGAACTCCTGACCTCAGGTGATTCACCCTCCTCAGCCTCCCAAAGTGCTGGGATTACAGGCATGAGCCACTGCGCCTGGCCCAGAGCATCCTTTTCAATGCTGGGCACTATCATTTTAAATCAATTTGGTAAAAAAAAAAAAAAAAAAAGCAATCCTGTTTTAATTTTTTAATTCATTAGTAAGGGTTATGTTTAATTCATTAGTAAGAGAATGTTATGTTTATTAGCCATTTTGAATTCCTTAATTTCTTGTTATTTCTCCTTGCCTGTTATGGACTGGTATATTAATTTTTCCATATTTATTTGTAAGAGTTCTTTATCTTTATATGGTGAGGCCAGCTAGCATTTATTGAGCACTTACCACGTGCTAGGAAAATGCTAAGGTCTTGGCCGTGCGCAGTGGCTCATGCCTGTAATCCTAGCACTTTGGGAGGCCGAGGAGGGCAGGTCACCTGAGGTCAGGGGTTTGATACCAGCCTGGCCAACAACTTTGAAATACCATTTAAAAAATTTAGTATCAGGCTGGGCACGGTGGCTAACACCTGTAATCCCAGCACTTTGGGAGGCCAAGGCGGGTGGATCACCTGAGGTCAGGAGTTTGAGACCAGCCTGGCCGACGTTGCGAAACCCTGTCTGTACTAAAAATACAAAAATTAGCCAGGCATGGTGGCAGGAGCCTATAATCCCAGCTACTCAAGAGGCTGAGGCAGGATAATCGCTTGAACCGGGGGGATGGAGGTTGCAGTAAGCCGAGATCACACCACTACACTCTAGCCTGGTTGACAAAGTGAAACTCCGTCTCAAAAAAAAAAAATTCCGTATCATAACCTCTCTTTCTTTCTGTTTAACTCTTGATGGCTTTGTTTCTTTTTTTTTTTAATGTGTAATTTTATTTCTGCCTCATTAAACCTCCTCTTGGTCTAGGCCAACAAGAGTTTCTTCCTCCTCCAAGCACACATGTATTGGGCACTTGATTATGAGAAAATCCTCAGATTATTGGAACTTGGTATGGAGTACATACCTGTCCCTCCCCTCCAACCTGTGTGCTAATTATCTTATGGAAAATAACCTTTTTCTTGCCTTTTTCTCCCAAGAAAGCCTTGAGTCTCATCCAGAAGTCAGATAAGTGCTGGATCTCTTCTCTTTGCTTGAGTGACAAGTTGTTTTTTTCTGATTCTAAAGAAGGAGATTGCTGTCCACACATGAATATCCACAAGGCTAACACTGCCCCTTTATTATTCAGGAAGATATTTGGTTTTCAGCTTTCCCTTGATGGTTTTTGTCTTTTTATTCCCATTCATTGAACAAATGTTAATTTTTTCTTTTCACTCTCTTTCATTCAACAAGTATTAATTGACTGCCTTCTTATGTTCAGGCACTGTGAACATTATTATGTATGTGGGAATTTACATGAGCAGAAGAAAGCATTTCTAAATGCATGAAATCTGAATATTTGTTTATAATACTGCGGACGGGACATATGCCGAAAAGTCAAACAAGAGGAAATGACCTTGTGAATGGAGGGGGATGTGTGGAGCTGAAAAAAAATAGGACATCTATAACTGAGCTTTTCTCATAGATTTTTTTTTTACCAGCCTAGCCAATTTTCAGTCCATCTTAAGGTTGCATTTTAAGCATTTTCGCTTCCTCTGCTGAAATAGTGGCACCTTCAAATGCTCTCGGTCATCAGTAAGCTTTGTCAGGCATACATTTTTCAGGGACAGTCTTTAGAGTTTATTTTTTGTAATAATAGGACATAAAGCACAAACAGATTTAATATAAGGAATGGCAAATGATGAACCACTGTTCTCTGCTCTTCCTTTATCTTCCAGCTCCTTTACTTTTATTTGTGGAGACTTGGTACCCTTGATGAGTGACTATCCACAAGGATCCCTTACTTTGACATTGCTTCATTCCCAGAACACTTACTGTTACAGATACTTTGGATGTAATTTTTTCATTGTTTGTACAATTGTACAATAGTACAGTTTTATCTTTATCAATCTTATATGTCTGCTACATATGATATTAATGACACTTCTAGGCAAAATACATTATATTTAGCCTCCTTAAATTTGGGAATGTTACACAGAAACTTTAGAGTCCTGTCTATTTTTGGAGGTAGAGTAGTTCCATTTCTGAGAAAACCCATCCTGTTTATCTGTCTTATACTCTGCATGTTCTCATAAAAACCTGACGGCATAGAATGTCACTGGTAAAGATGGGAGCTCCCAGAAACCTTACAAAGATGCTTTGCTGTACAGCAATAGTTCTGAAAACTGTTCAGAGATCCCTTGATAATATGATCGAACTTTTAGGGATCTTTCCCTGTGAAAATACACATATACACAATATGTGAAATGAGGACTGTCAGAGACCCTGAAATCTGTGCATTATCCCATTTAATCCTTTCATGGATCCCATGAAATAGACATTATTATCTGCATTTTACAGATGAAGAAACTGAGGCCTGGAAAAGTTGAGAAACTAAGGCCACAGAGCTAGGTTTCAGTCCTGATGAACCTGGCTGAAGCAGAGGACACAAATTACCAGTCAATTCCAGAGTGTTTCTGCCACCCAGGCAACTCATTAACCAGTGGAGGCTTCTGTTTATCTACTAGAAAAGGAGTTTTTATGGCTATTTCCTACTGATAAGATAGTTTCAGGGAAGTAAATGTTTGAGAAAACATCGCCCAGCCCATTCTGTAGCTAAATAGCTATAGAGAAATCCTGTATTGCATTTACACAGAGCCGACAGAAGACCTCTGTGTAAATTTCCTGGGTTTCTGTGCTGAAGTATTTTTGTCTATGAGTCTTGCTTTCCTAACAACGGCAAAATGTTATGTTTCTATGGCTACATCAGAATTGTTCTTAAATAGGGGTTTGAGAAAACAAAACTAGGAAGGCTTGGGCAAGATACGAAGGTAGGAAGATGACTGACGTTTCCTCTGCCTTTTCACACCTGTGTATCCATTGGCCTCAGAAGGCCCTTGAACCTCTTGATGATATTCAGGCTGTGGCACTTCTGGGCAGATGTGTGTGAAGCCATGATTCCTAATAAGTGCCCCGTGGGCCATAGTAATGGCACTTGGGACCACAGGTCAAGTCCTTATAACCTGGGCCCTTTACAGTTGATACCCAAAGCAGAGATTGGCAGGTTCTCTTGAGGACAAGACTAGAACCAAGAGATGTGTGCAAATTTCAGGAATAGCTGGCAATAATGGGGAAGAAGAGAGACAGAGAGAGTAGAGTCTAGAGTGGGCTTCTTTTACCTGTTTTCCATCTCCTTCCTGCTTCTTGCCAGGTGGAGGGCTCTATCCTCCCACCAGGGGATGCCAGCCACCATCCACTAAGTTTTTGGCTTGGGGTTGGCCTGGTGGGGAGCAAGAGTTTCTTCAATCAACTCCTTTGCTGGGTGGAATAAAATGAGAGGGCCATTCAGATACTAATTTATAGTACCCGTAGGATAAAAGAAAATAGATTAGGGGCCGGGCACAGTGGCTCACGTCTGTAATCCCAACACTTTGGGAGTCTGAGGTGGGAGGATCATTTGAGCCCAGGAGTTTGGGACCAGTCTGGGCAACATAGCAAGACTCTATCTGTACAAATAATTTTTTTAAAAATTAGCCAGATGTGTTGTCGGCGCCTGTGGTCCCAGCTACTTGGGAGGCGGAGGCGGGAGGATCTCTTGAGCCCAGGAACTCGAGGCTGCAGTGAGATGAGATTGTGCCACTGCACTCCAGCCTGGGTGACAGAGTGAGACGCTGTCTTGAAGGAAGGAAGGAAGGAAGGAAGGAAGGAAGGAAGGAAGGAAGGAAGGAAGGTAGGGGAAGGGAAGGGAGGGAGGAAGGGAAAGAAAATAAAGGAGGACAAAATTGACTTTTTGACACCCCATTCCTTCTGCTGGTCGGGATCCTGCCTCTCAGGGGTGTGTCTTCAAATCCTGTGATTCACAGAGAACTTTCTGTAGCTTCTGAGAAGTTGGGAGTCTCCCTTCTGCAGTCGTTCAGTGCTTGTTCATTTGTATCTGCTGGTTAAACTGCAGTATAAACACCCTGCATTGGATGCAGAGGGGACTCATTGTGACTTTTTGTATTTATAGAAGTACAAATGTTGAAGAAATTCTCTTCACACACAAATGTGTTGATGGACGGTGTGATGGAACGTTCTAGTGCCCTCTGGTGGCTACTGCGGCTTCCGGCTGGTGAAGCTGCACAGCAGAAGGAACGGGAGTGTCAAAAGTTCAATTTTTTCCTCCTCCATCCTTGATAATTGTGTGTCTTGTTTGATCGATTCCATACCCCTGTATGAATGGTCCAGGGGCTGAGCAAGAAGCTGTGTCTTAGGACTGAAGTGCTTGAGGAGTGTGTGTGTGTGTGTGTCAGACAGAGAGAGACTTTGAGGGGTATATGTGCAATGTGTGTGTGTCACCATATATATATGTGAAACTGTGTGTGGGAGGTATGTGTGTGACTGTGGGCTTATGTGAGAGTTGGGGGTAGGTGTGGTGTGTGTGGTTATATGTGTACCAGAGACTCAATGTGTGGGTGGGGGTGTGTGGTGTGTGTGAGACTGTGTATGTAAGACTGTCGGGGGAGGTGTGTGTGTGACTGTGTGTGGTGTGTGTGACTATGTGTGTGGGGTGTATATGTGTACATGAGACTGTGGGGATGGGAGTGTGTGATATGTGTGGTGTGTGTGAGACTGCGTGGTGCGTGGATATGAGGCTGTGGGGGTGGAGGTGTATGGTGTGTGTGTGAGACTGTTGTGGGGAGGTTTGTGTGACTGTGTGGTGTGTGTGTGTGTGAGAGACTGTATGGGTGGGGGTGTGTGTGGTATATGTGTGACTAGGTGTGTGGTGTGTGTGTGTATGAGACTGTGTATGGGAGGGTGTGTGTGGTGTGTGTGATTGTGTGGTGTGTGTATGTGTATGAGACTGTGTATGGGTTGGGGGTGTGGTGTGTGTGACTACATGTGTAGTGTGTATATGTGTATGTAAGACTGTGTATGGTGGGGGGTGTGTGTGGTATGTGTGTAACTAGGTGTGTGGTGTATGTGATACTGCATGGGTGGGGGTGTGTGGTGTGTGATTATATGTGTGGTGTGTGTATGTATATGAGACTGTATGAGGTGGGGGGGTGTGGTGTGTATGTGACTGTGTGTGGTGTGTGTGTGTGAGACTGGGTATGGGTGAGGGTATGTGGTGTGTGTGTGTGGTGTGTGTATGTATATGTGAGACTGTGTATGGGTTGGGGGTGGGAGTGTGGTGTGTGTATGACTGTGTGTGGTGTATGTATATGTATGTGAGGCTGTATGGGTCAGGAATGTGGTGTGTGTGACTACGTGGGGTGTGTGTGTGTGAGAGAGAGACTGGGTATGGGTGAGGGTGTGTGGTGTGTGTGATTGTGTGTGTGGTGTGTGTGTGAGACTGGGTATGGGTGAAGGTGTGTGGTGTGTGTATGTGTATGCGAGACTGTGTATGGGTTGGGGGTGTGGTGTGTATATGACTGTGTGTGGTGTGTGTATGTATGTGAGGCTGTATGGGTTAGGGGTGTGGTGTGTGTGACTATGTGGTGTGTGTGTGAGACTGGGTATGGGTGAGGGTGTGTGGTGTGTGTGTGATTGTGTGGTGTGTGTGACTGTGTGTATGGTGTGTGTGTGTGAGAGAGAGTGGGTATGGGTGGGGGTGTATGATGTGGGTGTGAGACTGCTGGGGGAGGTGCATGTGTGACTGTGCATGCGTGTGGTGTGTGTGTATACATGAGACCCTGTGTGGTGTGGCGTGTGTATGTGAACATGCGTGCTCCCTGCGCTGCCGGCTCTGGCTCTCCCCCATCCTTCCTCACAGAGCAGCGCAGGTTTGGCCACAGATGTCAGGAGCCCGCGGCTTCCCTGCTGAGCTAAGAGCCCTCTTCAGGCCTTGTGGTGTCACTATAGCTGACAGTGTCAAGTCTCACGCCCTTTACGAAGCAGAGAGGGGTTTTGATGCCGCATTGTTTAGCAGTATGCAGACCTCTCCCTAGGGGCTGTAGATTTCCTGCCTTCTGAACAATCTCGAGGGGAGCGTGGATTTCCGTCCCGGCGGCACCCTCGGGTTTTCCCTCCCCTGCCCCCTCCGCCGCGCTCTCCCCCTTCGCACATTCGGAAACCCTCTTGGGAGCTGAATCATGTTCTCGCCTTTTTTGGTCCTAGTTGAGCTCTCTTCCACTTTCATCACCAGAGGCTTGAGATCTGTGAAAGAATCAGTTCCTCGCAGGCTGCGGTCTGCGCCGCGCCTCCTTTGTATGTCACGCTCAGAGAGGAGCAGTGCCCTTGGAGTGCCCTGCTCTTGCTGAGAGCCGCACGATAGATGTCTTTGAATGACTGACTTTAATTAAAGTGTGGCGGGCTGGAGATAAAATGATTCTGAATATCTTATTTGGGGGGAAAAAAAAGCCAGCTTCTTTCTTAAGGGAGAAAAAAAGGACTCCAGCGCCAGGAGTCTCTTCGGTATCCCTGAGAGTCGGGGGAACTCTTTAAATGCGGCCCTTGATGGTGTTGTGGAGGGAGAGTGAATTCTGGGAATCTCTCAGCAGCTTTTTGCCAAACAGATGGGCCAGGAGCCGCGGAACCAGGCTGAGGAATGTTGCCTCACGATCTCACATATCCATTCCTGGCACCCACCAGCCCAGGGAATGCCTCTACCAGTTGTCAGCGAGAGGCTTACACAGCATCTTAAATAAAAGGGATTATTGAACCAAGAGGCCAGGGACTGATGGAAATGCCCACCTTGCTGGCTCATTGAAAAAGTTTGGCAAGGTTGTCAGGAGACATGAATTAGATGGGCTTGGGTCTTGTGCCCTTTGCTAAACCAAGTGCTGTATTGGGAAAGAGACGGGGAGAGAAGTGTTGGAGATGCTCTTTAGTCAGGCCTGAGTCACTTGCCCAACCCTGGAGTTGGAGTTGGGGATGGAGCCAGGATCTCCAAACCACATGCCCCTAGAGTTTCAGGGAAAATATGGATTGTGAATTGAAGATGGGGGGTGATGTAAGGCAGACAAGGACAGAAAATCCCTCTTCCAGCTGTGATTTGGCTGTGAGTTTGGCGCTCGAGACACCATACGCTCCTGAGGTTTGTTAAGGGGTTTCAGGATATTGTGGACAAAAGGGAATAGCAAACGATGTTCAGTCCATAAGTACCATTTGGAGGAGGAAATAATTGAAATTGCTGCTGATCAAAAAGCTTTTTGTCTCCAGTTTGGATGTTGGAGACAGGTTTCTGTGTAAGAGAGTGAGGGTGTACAACATGACTGAGAAAGAAAACAATGAGTTAAGGCACATAAGTGCGCATGGGTGTCACCTGGAGGCCTTCTTATAACACAGATGGTCAGGCCCACCCCAAGTTTCTCATGCAGTAGAGGTGGAGCTCAAGAATTTGCATTTCTATTTTACTTTATTTATTTGCTTTATTTATGTTTGAGACAGGGCCTTGCTCTGTTGCATGGGCTGTAGTACAGTGGTGCAATCATAGCTCACTGCAGCCTCCAACTCCTGGGCTCAAGTGATCCTCCCAACTCAGCCTCCCTCCCAAGTAGTGAGGACTACAATCACACGCCACCATGCCTGGCTGTATAATTTGCACTTCTAAGGTGTTCCCAGGTGATGCTGATGTTGCTGGCCCAGGGACCACACATTCAGTACTGCTGTTAAGGCAAAAGACTTAAACACTCCATATATGAAAGAAAGAAAAAGAGAGAGAGAGAGAGAGAGAGAGAGAGGAAGGAAGGAAGGCAGGCAAGCAGGCAATGCTTCAATAAATCCATTAAAACACATTCAAACTTCAGAAATAAACGTGTTCAAATAAGACCAGCAGTCCTTGGTGGTGGCTTATCATTTCACCCATTTGACAGTTTTAAAAGATTGACCGAACTCAGTATTGATTAAGGTTTAGGGGAAAGGCTGTCTCATATACTGTGTTTACAAATGTGAATGAGTACAGCCTTTCCAGAGGGCAGTTTGGCTATGTGTATCAAAATATAAAATGTGTTTGTTTTGACACTACAATCTCACTTCTAGAATTTTACTCTAAGAAAAGATAAGTGTGTGAAAAGAAATTTAAGTGTGTGAAAAGATGCATATGCATGGGATTGCTCATCACGGTTTCATTTATAATGAGGAACAGCAAACCCGTTAAATATCCCTCCATGGGGAGCAAGTCAGGCAAATTCTGTACAGACACACAAAGGCATGTTATGCAGTGAAGAGAAGGAGGCACATGTGGGTTCTGCAGAGAGGCAGATCCCAATGAGGGGTCAGGACGGGTCTTGGCTGCACATCCTGGTTTCCTCTTCATCCATGGGGAGCAGCACCTTATGAAGAAAACAAGCGGCATAATGAATAAATACTCACCTCTAGCAAAAGATAATATGTATAATTAAATCAATAAATATTAATTTGTTAAATGTTAATAAATGTAAATAAATATTCATATATATTAACGTGTTGATTTAAATATTACTATTCATTAATATAAACAATAAATTGATACTTGTTAACATTAAATATCAATAAATTTTATGTATTAATATAAATAAACACTAATAAAACAAATATTTAAACATGCATAAAGTACTCACCTCTATTGATTAAGGTTTGTATTAAGGTTTATAATATTAAGGTTTAATAATTAAGGTTTATTGTTGTATTAATACTTAACCTGAATAAGTACTCACCTCTAGCAAAAGACAAAACGTATACTTAATAAACACTAGGCCCGGCGCGGTGGCTCACGCCTGTAATCCTAGCACTTTGGGAGGCCGAGGCAGGTGGATCACAAGGTCAGGAGTTTGAGACCAGCCTGACCAACATGGTGAAACCCCATCTCTATTAATTATACAAAAATTAGCCTGGCGTGGTGGCGGGCACCCGTAATTCTAGCTACTCAGGAAGCTGAGGCAGGAGAATTGCTTGAAATTGGAAAGTGGAGTTGTGGCGAGCCGAGATCATGCCACTGCACTCTAGCCTGAATGAAAGAGTAAAACTCCGTCTCAAAAAAAAATTCATTATTTTAAATATTGACATAAATATTAATATGCATATCAAATAAATTAAAATATTAATATAATATAAATTTTTATATTTAAATATTAATATTTATATTAAATAAATACTAATATAATATAAACATTAATATTTACACTGGTAAATATTAATAAAATCAATAAATATTTAAACATACATATTGTCTTTTGCCAAAAGTACTTATTCACTATTTGTGTAAAAGTATCTATCTATCTAGCTAGCTATCTATCTAGCTATCTATCTATCTAGCTATCTATCTAGCTATCTATCTGTTGTTCCATTTGTCCAAATAAGTACATGCTTGTGTATATGTAAGAGAGAGATTTGCAATCTTTATTCAGTCATCAAATATTGAGCAGAAGAAACAAGATAGGTAAGGTACTCTGTGTTCATGGAGCTTATGTCTAGTAGGGAAAGACAGATTATAAATATTAATAGAAAAACATAAATATTTCAATTCCAGATGTAAAAAGTACTTTGAAAAAGAGGGAAAAAAGGGTATATCTAGCTCACCAACATTTTAACAGTGGCTATTTATGAAAGACAATACTATGGGCAGGTTTTTCTTTCTTCTTTGAACTGCCTATGTAGTCAAAAATTCACTTTTTCAGAGACAAGGATGCTTAACATGGTCTTCTAGGCTGTCATGCCTTGTGCCTCTCCCACTTCACCAGCCTAAGCCCCTCTCCTCCCTCCAGCAGCTGCTCTTCAACCACGCTTACTCAAAACTGGAGGCTGCTTCTGTCCTTAGTGTCTTGATGAAGGAACGCTGTTACCCTACACTTCACCCAGGCAGCTTCTGCCTATCCCTGAGGCTTCAGTCTGTCACTCCTTCAGAGCAACCTCCCTTGACATCTCCACCGATGCCGTCCACCAGCCATTCTCAGAGCCCCCTGCAGTTCTTATATTTCATACATGACAATTTATATATTACATATTTATTTGTTGGCTTACTAAGCTCACTAATATGCAAGTTCTATGAGGGCAGGAACTGGGTCTCTTTTGTTCAACACAGTGTTCAGCAGAGGCTGGCAAAGCTTGGTCATTTGTCAAATTTGTGGAATGAATGAATGAATGAATGAATGAATGAACATATGTATTATTTTGCCTTAAACACTAAAGGTATTTAAAAATACATTTTTTATTATTGTTTTGAGACAGAGTCTCACTCTATAGCCCAGGCTGAAGTGCAGTGGTAGCATCACAGCTCACTGCAACCTTGAATTCCTGGGCTCAAATGATCCTCCCATCTTGGCCTCCCAAGTAGCTAGGACTACAGGTGTGCATTGCCACACCAGGCTAATTTTTTTTTGTTTTTGTTTTTGAAGGGATGGGGTCTCACTATGTTGCCTAGGCTATAAAAATATTTTTAAAGGCCAGCCACGGTGGCTCACGCCTGTAATCCCAGCACTTTGGGAGGCCGAGGCGGGCGGATCACGAGGTCAGGAGTTCGAGACCAGCCTGTCCAACATGGTGAAACCCCCTCTCTACTAAAAATACAAAAATTAGCTGGGCATGGTGGCACATGCATGTAATCCCAGCTACTCGGGAGGCTGAAGCAGGAGAATCGCTTGAACCCCAGAGGCAGAGGTTGCAGTGAGCGAAGATCGCACCACTGCACTCCAGCCTGGGTGACACGGTGAGACTCCGTCTCAAAAAAAAAAAAAAAAAAATGAAAACCAAAAACTTTTAAAACAAAGTACAAGACTATTTGTATGTATTTGCTTTATAAAACAATTTACAGTGCCTTTTAAAATGAGGTGAATTTTGGGGAGAAGTCATATCTCTATTATACATACCAAGTGGGCATATCTTTTGGGGCTGGGGGGAAACTCCAGAATTCATACCTTCATACCTTCCTTGCAAGGGTTATGAATCCTAGTTGTGCACTTTGGTGCCTGAGTAAACCTTCTTCCAAAAAGAATGATATTCGACCCAGTGATCTTTGGCAAAGGTCCTTTCCAGCTAAAAATTTCTGTGGTTCTATGAGATCTGAGATGGATGCTTAGGTTAGGAGTCAGTGATTATCTTAGTCTGTTAAGGCTACTATAAGGATATAATTGCCTGGGTGGTTTATAAACCAGTCATTTATTTCTGGAAGTTCTGGAGGATGGAGGTCCCCATGATTAAGGGACCAGCAGATTCCACATCTGGTGAAGGCTGACCTCCTGGATGTCTTCTCCCTGTGTCCTCATTTGGCAGAAGAAGGGAGAGGGAGCTGTCTGGGGTCTCTTTTATAAGGGCGCTGACCCCAGGAAGAACCCTCATGACCTAATCACCTCCCAAAGGCCCCACTTCTTAATATTCTCACATTGGAGTTTAGGTTTTAACCTATGAATTTTGGGGGGATATAAACAGTCAGTCTGTAGCAGTGATTTATCATTTGTTCAGAAAATAATGTAAAACAAATATATTCTGCTCAGTGTCTATGCCTTGGCCAAAGGAAACAGAAAACACATAAGATATTCCTATATCATACATGATGAGGTACAGGGAAGACCGGTAAGGATAAACTCGCTCTTGCTTGTCATAGTTCTATAAAATAATACAACAAAATAACTTGACTAATTGAGCCCATAAGAAAACAATTTCTAAAAATATTTTGTGTGTGTGCTAGAAATCGTCACTAGCACCAGTTAGTGTTGAAGCCAAAGAACAATGATTAATTCACTTATAGGATTTGGGTCAGTTATTATTTATTATTGTTATTATTTATCCTTAGAATTGGGCAAATATTGGAGTTATACAATCATATTATTTCAAGGAAATCTCCCCAAAGAAAATAATAACCTTCATCAATATGTAAATCCATTCTACTTGGCCTTTGTGAAATCTAAATATTGACTCCCTCCTTCTTCAACGTTTTTGTCCACATCAGTCATCTTTAAAAATGCAACTGCCTAATTTCTAGAAAGTCAGTATCACAGCTCAAGTCATTACGGCAGAAGGAAGGGTAGTCTCAGTCCTGTTTTTAGGATAATTAGGACATCATCCACGGGGCAGGCTTGAGTCTTTTGGTTCGGGAATTTTCTGCCCTGAGAAAAGACATCATTGAGATACAGGTAGAGTGTTCCTTATCCAAAATGCTTAGGACCAGAAGTGTTTCAGATTTTAGATTTTGGAATATTTGCATATACATAATGAGATAGCTTGGGGATGGGACCCAAGTCTAAACATGAGATTCATTATGTTTCATATACACCTTCTACACATAGCCTGAAGGTAATTTTAAACAGCAGTTGTAATAATTTTGTGCATGAAACAAAGTTTTGACTGTGTTTTGACTGTGACTGGCCACATGAAATTAGGTGTGGAATTTTCCACTGTGGTGTCATGTTGACAAGCAAAACGTTTTGGATTTTAGATTGTTGGATTAGGGATGCTCAACCTGTGTAGATTTATCATTTTTAAAAATGCTTCCATCTTTGAAGGAACTTTCATGTAATCCTGTTCAGAAGAATGTAGAACGAAATTTAAGGCAGGTTCTTCCCATACCTTCATCTAAGGAAGCTTAGATGCTGAAATCCCCCAGAGGAGGTTGTAATGTGAGGGTGGAGATGAGGCTGCTGTTACAAAGGGGCCCAGTGACACAGTCTGATAAAGAAGATAGACTTTTAGGCTGGGCACGGTGGCTCACGCCTGTAATTCCAGCACTTTGGGAGGCTGAGGCAGGCGGACCACCTGAGGTCAGGAGTTCGATACCAGCCTGGCCAACATGGTGAAACCCCATGTCTACTAAAAATACAAAAATCAGCTGGGTGTGGTGGCACGAGCCTGTAATCCCAGCCACTCTGGAGGCTGAGACAGGAGAATTGCTTGAACCCGGGAGGCAGAGGTTGCAGTGAGCCGAGATCACGCCACTGCACTTCAGCCTGGGCAACAGAGTGAGACTCCATCTCAAAAAAAAAAAAAAAAGAGAAGATAGACTTTTCTCTCTCATGGAACAGTCCTCAGGCAGCAATTAGTCTAGGGCCGCAGGCTGCTCTGCTCCCCAGTCAGCCTGGTGCGGGTTCTGTCTGTTCTGTGGCTCTATCCTGTCCAGAGTGTGGTCCTCACACAGCAGAAGTTGTGACACGCAGTTCACAACTTTTCGGCCGGGAGAGGCTGGACATGCAGTTTTCTTTTTAAAGACATTGGCCCAGGGGCCAGGCACAATAGCTCATGTCTATAATCCCACTGCTTCTGTAGGCCAAGGGGTGAGAATTGCTTGAGTCCAGGAATTTGAGACCAGCCTGGGCAACACAGCAAGACCCTGTTTCTACAAACAAAACAAAACAAAACAAAAAACATTAGCTGGACATGGTGGTGTGCACCTGGATTTCCAGCTACTCAAGAGGCTGAGGTGGGAGGATTGCTAGAGCCCAGGAGCTCGAGGCTATAGTGAGATATGATTACACTACTGCATTTCAGCCTGGACAATAGAGCAAAACTCTGTCTCTAAAAGAGAAAAAAAAGACACTGCCCCAAATTTGCACTTACCCCTTGTGCTCACATCCCATGGGTGAGAACTGAGTCACAGGCCACACCTAGTTGTAGAGAAGGAAACGTGGCCTCTTGCTGTGTGACCATGTGCTCAGCAAAAATTCAGAGGGTTCTTTTGCTAGAAGAAATAAGGAAATGATGGATACAGATGGATACAGGATGTGGGGTGAGGGAATTAGGCTCTACCATGGTGATCTTGTGGAAATTCAAAGAGTAGAGGTGCATAGACACACAATGTTAAAGAAGCATTATAGTTTTTCTTTTTTATCTTTGTGTGTGTGCATGTGTGTAGAGATGGGCTCTCACTGTGTGGTCCAGGCTGGTCTCAAACTCCTGGGCTCAAGCGATCCTCCTGCCTTCGTCTCCCAAAGTGTTGGGATTACAATCATGAGCCACCACACCTGGCCTTTTGCTTTTTTATCTTAATAATTAAAATTGTGTGTGTGTGTGTGTGTGTGTATGTGTGTGTTTACAATGGGTACAGAAGGAACAGAGCCATGAATTATGTTTCACAATCTGTGTAGGAGATATCTTTTGACAGTTTTATCCAGTTTCCAACAGTTAAATATTTTTGTTTCCTCTAAGAAGACAGAGGTCAGTGTGACCCCCTCGCTCCATAAATGGACATTTCACTTACTGAGTTGAGGCCAGCTGAACCACTCCTGAGCCACAGGCAGGAATCTCTTTTGTTCTCTGGGCAGAGCTGAATTTACTATGAAGCTGAGGAAGCCTAAGCTTCAGTCCCCTCCCTTGCATGGGCCCCTTCATACTAGTGTGGCCCTAGCACTGTGTTCATGGGGTCCTTTAGCATTTTTCTTAAAGAGTGCTTCCCCAGTTTTTAGGCTTCCTGCTTCACAAAATCAGGCCTTGGCAACCTGTTTGATGCCTCCTTTCTTTGCTGAGCCTTGCTACTTTTTCCCAGATGGGGAGAGGCTCCTGGGTGTCATTTCCCTCATCAACATAGTTTCTTGGAAGAAACCACCCTAAAAGGAAGTATAGCGAAAGAGCATCCCAAAGAAAGAGATGTTAAAATTAATCCTTTTGCACCTCCCACATAAAGTATGCCTTTTATGCTCTGGCCCAATTTTTTGTGCCTTTGAGGATTCTCATTTGTATCAGTAGGGGTCCTTGGGTTTTTTTTTTTTTTTTCTTTTCTTTTTAGACAAGGTCTCGCTCTGTCACCCAATCTGGAATGCAATGCCACAATCACGGCTTACTTCAGCCTTGACCTTCTGGGCTCAAGCGATCCTCCTGGGCTCAAGATTAGCTGGGACTACAGGCGAACACCACCACGCCTGGCTACTTTTTAATTTTTTTATAGAGATGGGGTTTTGCTATGTTGCTCAGGCTGGTCTCAAAGTCCTGGGCTCAAGTTATCCTCCTGCCTCAGCCTCCAAAAGTGCTGGGATTATAGGAAGATGCCACTATGCCTGGCTGAAATGCTCTTTTTTTATGGTACTTTGGCTCAACTGGCAAATGCCTTCTTGAAATGAGCATTTCACACTTTGGTCACCACACAGTCACTTAGATGAAACCCACAGGCTGCCCAGTAACATGGGCTCCCACTGGGCATTTGGGGAAGGGCACACCCTGCCTGGAGTGGTGAGCACTGCTAGGCCTGCTCTCCGCCCTTTTCCACCCTCCGGGTGTCTTCAAAGCTGGCTGTTTTCTACACTAACTTCTGGCAGGTCTGGATTTTCCGTATAAGGGCTTTTTTGGCCAGTACTTCCTTATACTGAAGAATTTTATATTAGTTCCCTTTCAGATTCGAAAATCAATCTTTAGTCAACCTAAAACATTATTCCTGGAGTGGGGCTTGACTGTATGTGGGGAAGAGGAGAGGGAGAGACTGATGCAAATATGCACACACACATACTTTTTGCATACAATTTCAGGGAGGCCAGGACCTTCTGAAACCCTTCCTTGCTAAGCCTCTGCTGTAGAGGGTGAAATGCAGCCAAGTTAACTTGTTAACAACAACAAAAAGGCCGTAACAATACTTTCCTCCTGAGATTGTAGGAGTAAGTGGGGGAGATTAAATGAGACGATTCATGTAAAGTGTAGTGTCTAACACATAGTAAGCAGTTATAATTGTTCACTTTTCTTTTGGGGCTTAAATGATCTTACTTGTTTTCACGAGTTCCTTAGGTAATAACAATACTAACAGCCTTTGTTTTTCCATGGCCTGTTGTTTGCCTTTTAACTTGAAGGCACACAGTCAGAAGCTTCATTTTTTTAAATGTAACCAAATCTATCTTTATTTTGTGTCTGATTTCATTAATTACTTGTAAGTTGGATCCTCATCCTTCCTACAGAGCTCTGATAGATTCTGTTGCTTGTAGACTGTTTTCTCCCAATGGTTCGATTTTTATTATTTAGTCATCTAATCCATCTGGAATTTATCCTGGTATATGCTCTGAGGTAAGGGTTTAACTTGATCTTTTTTCCCATTGCCAGCCAACTATGCTCCAATCATAAATCTTCCTTCTCCTTACATATTGTAACATGTTCTTTATATTTTTGTTGTTTGTTCTTTTTTTTTGAGATAGAGTCTCGCTCTGTTGCCCAGGCTGGAGTGCAGTGGCACGATCTTGGCTCACTGCAACCTCCGCCTCCCGGGTTCAAGCCATCTTTTTTGGTATATAATAAATTCCTGTATCTTGTAAGATCTTTTCCTGGGCTTTCTGTTCTGTGTTACAGAACAAAGATCTGGCTATTTTTGCATAAATGTGTCTCAATGTCTTGTAGGACTAGTCTATTCTTCACTCTTCTTGTTGGTGTTGTTTTTTTTTGTTTTTTTTTTACAAAATCTAAAATATGTTCACCAGTTTATTTTTCCAGATAAACTTTTAAACATTATTGACGAATTCTAAGAAAAATCCCCTCGGAATTTTGATTGAAATCAAATTAGCCCTGTAAGTTAACTGGGTGGTATTGCCATCTTAGCAACAGTGTTTTACCAACTTGGAGTTTCAGGACCAAAATACAGTAATCAAAATTTTACTCCAAAGAGATAAAAGCTGGAGTTTACAGGATGCTGTGTATCATGTCACAGAGTTGGCTGCTTATTTTCCCATCTTTTTATTTCTTAGAAATACAGGAAGATTATTGGTCACAAACACATGAGTTACTGTAATGAAATTCCCCCAAATCCCTAGACTAAGGAATTAAGTTGGAGTTGGTGTCACAGTTATTTTTGAAAGCTTTTTGTGATTTTATTCTTTTCTTCTGGGTGGACCTTTTCTCCCCACATCCTCCTAGCAGTGAATCTGCTTTTGCCTTTCACTGCCCCTTCCAACCACCATCCCAATCTGTTACCTTGTAACTTCTTAGTGACAAGAAGACGTATGGTCTCCTGAAGATTCACAATATATTTATGAGGATAGTGAGTAGAATATTTTATATTAGGGTGATCTCAAAACATTTGGGCTATATGATTAATGTTCTACTAATCCATAAGGATGCATTGTTTAGGACATTTATTTTATTTTGGAGGTGGGGAAAAGAAGAAGGAATAAAATGGCTGTAGGAGAAGAAATATTCTTCTTTTTTTTTTTTTTTGAGGCGGAGACTTGTTCTGTCCCCCAGGCTGGAGTGCAGTGATGCAATCCTGGCTCACTGCAACTTCTGCCTCCTGGGTTCAAGCGATTCTCTTGTGTCAGCCGTCTGAGTAGCTAGGATGACAGGTGCGTGCCACATGCCCAGCTAATTTTTGTATCTTTAGTAGAGACGGGGTTTCGCCGTGTTGGCCAGGCTGGTCTCGAACTCCTGACCTCAGGTGATCCACCTGCCTCGGCCTCCCAAAGTGTTGGGATTACTGATGTGAGCCACTGCGCCTGGCCAGGAATATTATTCTACTTAAATGTCCTGAATTCCTTCAGCCTCTTTAATTCAAGTCTTAAATTCCACCCTCCCCACAAACAGGTAAGTGTAGTAAAGCAGATATCTCAAATTTGAAGTAATGTCCTTTACTAGAATCTTAAATTTATAAACAACATAGAGGAAGTTTCAGATGGTTTTCTTGTCTGAGCTCTAGGTATAAAACTCTCAGACTTGGAGTTGGACTTGGACAGCCCTCTTTTTTATTTTTTATTTTAATTTTATTTATTTATTTATTTTTTACATTCTTGTAAATCTTTATTTTTTTTATTTTTTATTATTTTTTTTTGCAGATTTCTTTTTTTTTCTTTTATTATTATACTTTAAGTTTTAGGGTACATGTGCACATTGTGCAGGTTAGTTACATATGTATACATGTGCCATGCTGGTGCGCTGCACCCACTAACTCGTCATCTAGCATTAGGTATATCTCCCAGTGCTATCCCTCACCCATCCCCCCACCCCACAACAGTCCCCAGAGTGTGATGTTCCCCTTCCTGTGTCCATGTGATCTCACTGTTCAATTCCCACCTATGAGTGAGAATATGCGGTGTTTGGTTTTTTGTTCTTGCGATAGTTTACTGAGAATGATGATTTCCAATTTCATCCATGTCCCTACAAAGGATATGAACTCATCATTTTTTATGGCTGCATAGTATTCCATGGTGTATATGTGCCACATTTTCTTAATCCAGTCTATCATTGTTGGACATTTGGGTTGGTTCCAAGTCTTTGCTATTGTGAATAGTGCCGCAATAAACATATGTGTGCATGTGTCTTTATAGCAGCATGATTTATAGTCCTTTAGGTATATACCCAGTAATGGGACGGCTGGGTCAAATGCCCTCTTTTTTAATGCCTAGTCTGCTCGAAAGGAATCTGAGTTCAACAGAAGGAAACAAAATGTGCTAAATCAGTAAGAGTAATCCTCCAAGATGATATTCCTGTTTAACAGGCTCTGTAAATACAATAGTGTTGTTTAGCAGGAAAGACCAAACATATCTATTGGAATAGAAGATATTTCTAAATTTAAAGATAGTTCACTGCTTTAAGTGGAGCTTTGTGTTTGTTTTTGGTTTGCTTGTTTTCAACTTTGGATTTGTGGTGGTTGGTGGGAAGAATTAGGGATAATGTTGGGGTTATTTTTCTTCACTTAGAATAAACAGGCTGACCTAATTCTGTTTATATCTTTTGCACTCAACAACTGCTTCTTTAATATGTTTACATCACAGAGTAGAGAACTAAAGTGAACTTTCTTATAAAGTCAATAAACATATAGTCATGAATATTTGATGGGAATGAGAGAATCTCACAGAACTGGCTCTTCAATGACACTAGTGTAGTGTAAATATCTATCTATCTATCTATCTATCTATCTATCTATCTATCTATATATATATATATATATATATATATGTCCCCCCAGCTTCTCTGAAAGCTGACACAGTGTAACTCTTCTGTGTGGCAGTTCTGCTATAGGTTTGACCTGTGACCTAGGTTGAATGGTATACTTCCTGGGGAAAGCAAACTTTTCTTCTGTGATACAGAAGAAAACAGATCAATGGGTGGATATGACAAGAGTTGTTCACCAGAGCAAAGTCTGGGCAAGGGTCTTTCAGCAGACCCCAGGTGGGGGGCTCAGCCAAGTCTTTAATAAATGCAGTTTGGATCTTTGTTAATCTTCCTGGAACTCTGAAAGAGTATTTTCTTTTTTTTTTTTTTGAGATGGAGTCTCACTCTGTTGCCCAGGCTGAAGTACAGTGGCATGATCTCGGCTCACCGCAATCTCTGCCTCCCCGGTTCAAGTGATTCTCCTGCCTCAGCCTCCCGAGTAGCTGGAATTACAGGCGCCTGCCACCACACCTGGCTATTTTTATATTCTTAGTAGAGATGGAGTTTCACCATGTTGGCCAGGCTGGTCTCATACTCCTGACCTTAAGTGATCTGCCTGCCTTGGCCTCCCAAAGTGTGGGATTGCAGGCATGAGCCACCGCACCCAGCCTGAAAGAGTATTAGCTATGAACATACCCTGACACCTCTCTTTTAAAAAATTAGAAAGGAGCTTCTCTTTATAATTTTCTGTATAAATGCATTGTACACAGTCCTGATTTCGGTGTTTGGGTAGTGGAGGGAAGATTGTAATTCTATAGATGTTTGTAGTCTACAGGTAAAGGATAATTAGGTAAATATCTGATCTTGCAAGGTTAAGACTGTCATGTTAACATATTTGAATGCGGTCAGATGCTGTTATTGGCAATGTTGTCTTGATTAGACATCATCATGCCCTTGCCTGGTTAGACTGAGGTAGGGCAGAAAAGCAGATAGGGTGGCCACAGCCTCCTGTTGGCAATGGCACGTCTTCACTGACAGGGCTAGAGTGTTCCTAGTTGTGACTTTGCAACCTGTACCAGGTAAGAACGAAGCCAGGACTAGGAGCAGCAGACTGAGAGGAGTGGTCCAGCTAATGGACTCATATTCATTACTGCTTACACTAAGTTCAAGAACTTGCAGAGGAGTGATTTTCAGAAACCTTAGGCATTTATTTGCTAGTCCAGTCTCAAGAAGTTGCTGCAGGCCGGGTGCGGTGGCTCACACCTATAATCCCAGAACTTTGGAAGTGGGTGGATCACCTGAGGTCAGGAGTTCAAGACCAGCCTGGCCAACATGATGAAACCCCGTCTCTACTAAAAAATAAAAAAATTAGCTGGGCATGGTGGCAGGAACCTGTAATCCCAGCTACTTGGGAGGCTGAGGCAGGGAGAATCGCTTGAACCCAGGAGGCGGAGGTTGCAGTCAGCTGAGACTGCACCACCGTGCTCCAGCCTGGGTGACAGAGTGAGACTCCATCTCAAAAAAAAAAAAAAGTAAATTGCTGCATAGGTGAGGCTTAATCTTACTGGGGCCATCACTTGGTCCTGGGTTCTGTTATTTTCTGGCCCAGAAACTAGATTTCCCCAGGGGGAGTCAGGCTTTAGGAATTTATGTCACCTTAGCCAAACTCACAAGGACTATTTGTAAACTAGAATGTTTGTTTTTTCTTACATATATATTGAACACCTACTGAGTGTGTGGTTCTGTCCTAATTTCTGGAGGAAGTCCCAAAGGGGGGTAAAGTCCCTTTAGAAGCTTGTGGGACAGATATGTAAATAAATATGTTATATATGGTGTGCTAAGTGTAGAATGGCCTTACATCCTGGTCTTCTGGAGACAGTCCTGGTTTATGCCTATAGTCCCTGTGTAACTATTAAGAATGCTGTCTTTCACTTTCAGATCTAAGGCCACAGGAAGTGTTCTTTATGGATGTTCGGGGTATAGAAATGATAGAAAGGAAGGACAATGAGCCTGCTTCCCCCTGTAGACACTTGAGCTAAGTGCTGAAGGACGTTCGAGCAGCTGAAGCCTGGGAACTTGGGGTGGGCTGGGGTGGGGGAGGAGGTGTGTTCCAGGAATTCGCAAAGCTCCCTCTGCAGGCAAAGGGAGACTGTTCCCGAAGCAGTAAGCAGTTGGTTCAAGCTAGGCACTGTTTCCCAAATTTACCCTGTGATAACAGTTCCCCAGGACACTTAGTGAACACACAGATTTCCAGACTCTGCTGGCAATTTGGATTTTTTTAAGAAGGCTGGCGGATGATTCTTGGGCATATTAAAGATTGACAACGAGTTCTCTACTCACTGTGGCTAGGAATACAAAAGGATGGGCATAGAGGGGAATGGGAACCGAAAGATTAGAGCACGAGTCACTGATCAGCCAGGCAGGGGTGACCTCAGGCAAGAAAACCTTCAGAGGTAAAACCAGGTGGGAGTTATTTACAGTAGATCATGAAAGATGGGGAGTGCGGGAACTATGTCAGTCACCACAGGGATGCAAAGGAATGAAAAGATAAGAGAACTATTCAGGAGGAAGAACAGGTCCTAGTGTATGCTAGTTACTGATTTGCTGGGGTAATATTATTTCCCAGAAACAGAACCCTGTGTCAAATCCAGGAGCCTGGGGGACTGTAGAACCTGAAGTTTTACTGGGTAAGCATAAACCTAAAACTACAACAGTTGGATAAGTGGTGTGATATATTTCACATGGACCTCCTGCCTAGTTCACTTCTTTATAGTCGCTAGAACACTCATGACAATTTATTTCTGGGAAGAAGCCAGGATGAATTCGAAAGCATCCTGACACCCCACCCCTTTCTTTTCTCTAGACTTCAGGTTAACTCCTGCCCTTCGGTTTTGGTAAAACTACCCTGCCAAGCCTTATCTTGTATTTTGCTCCTGTTTTTGTTATCAAATGTGTAAAACAGTCACGATGAATATACATGCCAACTGCTTTCAGAGGCAACGGTTAGTCTCTTGCAAGTTTCAACGTGCACATTTTGGAGCTGCTGTCTCTGTGGGAACCTGCAGGCACCTCATGGATGCACCACAACTCGGAAATTACAGTACCACCTGGAACACCTTATCCAGGCAAGGAGATCATTAAGCCTGGTGTTTGAGGCAATCGATTCACTTGGAAGAAGGTGCTTTGGTGGTTTTGAGAGGAACAATCCCTACATGAAATCCCTCCATGGGAAATGGAGAACATCAGCTATTTCCCATTGCCTTCAAACCTAAAGATGTCGCCAGGCCTCTTGGCTTGTTACTGAAGCAGCGAAATAAGTCAGAAATCAAAGACTTAGAAGTTACGAAAAGAAAATCTCAAAAAGGAGAATGGGGTCAGGCGCGGTGTCAGGCCTGGAATCCTAGCATTTTGGGAGGCAGAGGCGGGAGGATCGCTTGTGGCCAAGAGTTCAAGACCAGCCTGGGCAACATATCGAGACGCCTGTCTGTATTTTAAATAAATAAATATGGAGAATGGGAAACCCATCAGGCTGTAATCTCACAGGGAATTTAGTACCCTTTACCTAAGACAAGACCTGGGCACTTGGGAAGCCTCCCCGAGTGCGGTTTGGGGAGGGGGAGGGCATCTTAAATTCCAGTCCTCGGTCACTCTTGTGGCTTTGCCAAGGGATTTTCAAATCCCGGGAATGCCAGGGATGGAGATGAACAGGCTGAAATCCCCCACGCTGCCAGGGTTAGGGAGGGGAAAACAACAGTCCACAGCGGCCGCGAAGGTTTGTATTTTTTTTTTTTTGGTAACAAGGGGCTTGTGTGCAGTCCAATATCACCATCGCCGTGAAGTCACAGTGGCAAGATGAAAATGTTTAAAAAAATTTTAAAAAGGAATAAGGAAAGAGGAAGAGGACAGCGTGCCCCGGCTCAGAAAACGGTCCTCCTCTGCCCCGGACGCCGGCGGACCTGTGGGGTATGACCGAATCTCCCCGCGCAGCCGGCAAGCCCCGGCCCTCAGTCGGGCCGCGACCAGCGTGACGCCGCGGTAGGGGGATCCGGCGGGCGCGCGGCCGTCTTCAAAGCCCCGGCGCCGCCGCCGCCCCCGCGCGCGCGCGCGAGTAGTACGGTCCGAGGGGGCGGCTTCTGGGGCGCGGCTCCGGCGGCAGCTGATGCGCGCCCCGCCGGCCGGGAGGCGGGAGTCCGCGAGCCGGGAGCGGGAGCAGCAGAGGTCTAGCAGCCGGGCGCCGCGGGCCGGGGGCCTGAGGAGGCCACAGGACGGGCGTCTTCCCGGCTAGTGGAGCCCGGCGCGGGGCCCGCTGCGGCCGCACCGTGAGGGGAGGAGGCCGAGGAGGACGCAGCGCCGGCTGCCGGCGGGAGGAAGCGCTCCACCAGGGCCCCCGACGGCACTCGTTTAACCACATCCGCGCCTCTGCTGGAAACGCTTGCTGGCGCCTGTCACCGGTTCCCTCCATTTTGAAAGGGAAAAAGGCTCTCCCCACCCATTCCCCTGCCCCTAGGAGCTGGAGCCGGAGGAGCCGCGCTCATGGCGTTCAGCCCGTGGCAGATCCTGTCCCCCGTGCAGTGGGCGAAATGGACGTGGTCTGCGGTACGCGGCGGGGCCGCCGGCGAGGACGAGGCTGGCGGGCCCGAGGGCGACCCCGAGGAGGAGGATTCGCAAGCCGAGACCAAATCCTTGAGTTTCAGGCAAGTACACGGCGTCCCCGCTGAGATGCAGACGCGCTTGCCTCCATCCATCTGCGACTCCCTCTGTGTGCGTGTGTGTGGTCGCCACCCGCGAAACCGTCCTCACGGCCGTGCCGCGTCCCTGCCCGGAGCCGGGTCCCCGTGTGCGTCCGAAAGTTCAGGATCTTCTGTCCTCCCGTGGGGTTTCTGGCCCCCGTTTCGCTAGGAGAGTTCCGCACCCAACCCAGAATCTGCAGTCTCTCCGCATCCCCGCTGGCCTCGGTCACTTTCTCTAAGCTTCGACCCCCAGCCCCCGCCCCTCCACACTGGAGCAACGTCACTGATCTAACCCAGTGCAACTTAGGGCCCCCCCGTGGGGAAGAAGTCGCTCCCCGGCCCTTCCCGGGGCCCTACCGTGTACCCAAAACGCAGCCGCGGTGAAGAAGGTCGCGTGATGACAGGCCCCTGGCAGCTGCTGGGAAATGGTGGTCTCTGCCGGGCTGTCATCCGCGTGATTGCGGAAGGCAGGTGACACCATTCTTAGCCTCGGGCCCAGGGAGTTCCAGCAGGTAGAGGCCTACCGAGCAAAGAGGAATGCCTAGCATCGGCCTAACTCGGGGGTGGGACCAGTATTAATTGTTAAAGCCTCTGGGAAAGGGCTCTTGTGACAAAAGGAGTCTGTTGGAAAAGCGCATTTTTCAGGTGTCTGAGGGAAGGATGACCTCGAAAATAAATGGTGCTGGAGAAAAGCTCCAGGGAATGGAGGAGCTTTCAGAGAGACAGGATGCCAGCCTGAGAAACCCAAGGAGGGCACTGCTCAGAGACCGCAGTTGCCTCCCGCAGGTCAGACCCTGCTGAGGACCGGTTGGTTGTGAAGTTAGACAAAAGTGCTGGACTTTTAGCCTCTGTGAATATGTAGATTTCAAAGGGTGTCGGAAATACCGTTGAAAGTGGTAATTCCTCATTTTTCCTCCTTGGCAGCTCGGATTCTGAAGGTAATTTTGAGACTCCTGAAGCTGAAACCCCGATCCGATCACCTTTCAAGGAGTCCTGTGATCCATCACTCGGATTGGCAGGACCTGGGGCCAAAAGCCAAGGTAAAGAAAAACTTGCATTTTTCCTGCCTGTTTTGTTTCAAAAGTTTTGAAAAATATCAATGAAGGAAGGAAAAAAGTGTAAATTTAGGACCATTTAAGAGAGTTTGACTAAGAAAGAGCTGTTTGAAACCTCCTGGCTTATGTATTTTTAGGGGTGTGGTGATCGAGGCTTTCTCCTCTGAGTAGAGTTTGTGCATTTGCAGTATAAGATTATCATTATCAAACATTCCTACTAGGCCTTTCTCCTCAGCCCCTAAAAAAATATGTATAGTAATGAAGTAGGAAGATCATGTTTATATTTGACTTCACAAATTCCTCAGGCTAAGTTGCTTTCTACTGGGGTGTGGCTGGAGACAAAAATTACAGGTAAGACTTGACTTAATTTTTGATAGGGAGGTTCTTAAGAGGCTTTTTCGGAATCACTCACCTCGCCCACTTCCATGCAGGGATGTGGTGAGAGCCCTTCAGTCTACTTAGGAAAACCTGGCACATGGATTCCCTCCCAGCCCCTCAGAGCCCAGCCCTTCATCTGCAGGAGCTTCCGTTGTCTCACTTAATTAGTAGAAACCTTTTTTGTCACACAGCCAGTTCAGAATAAAATTTCACCTATCCCAACAGAATTCATATGCTTATTTACTAAATAGAGTGCACTGTGATTCAGCAGTGAAGTCCTGCTCTCTCGAGCTAACATTGTGGAGGGAGAACCTGTGAAGGGTTAAGCAAAATATCTATGTCAGCTTGTGTGAAGCACTGTGGAGAAAAATAAAGCAGGGGAAGAGAATAGGGAATATGGAGTGGGGATAGGGAAGGCTGAAGGGGAGTTAGTGGGGGCATTCATGATTAGGTGACTTGAACAGAGACCTGAAGGCAGATTGAGGGAGCAGGCCTTGGAGGTTCCTGAGGTGGGAACCCTTCCAGCAGAAGGAGTGGCATCTGCAAAGGTCTGACAGCACCAGCCTGCTGCAGGGAGGCCGTAAGGTGGAGGGTTCATGGTACAGTTTGAGGACCAGCCAGGAGGTCAGTGTGGACTGACTACTCAGAGAGCAGGAGGAGCTGAAGTCAGCGTGGTCAGAGGAGGTCCAGATGCTGCTGCAGTGAGGATTTGGTTTTCAGTAAGGTGGAAAGCCACTGGAGGGCATATGCATTTCCAAGGGCTGCCATAACAGAGTAACTTAGCGGCTTACAATAACAGAAATTATTCTCTCACAGTCCTGGATAATTGAAATCAGAACCAGAAGTCTCAAGTCAAGGTGTTGGCAGGGCCTTGCTCTTCTGAAGGCTCCAGGAAGTCTGTCCTTGCCTCTTCTAGCCTCTGCTGGGTGTCTGCAATCCTTTGTGTTCTTTGGCTTGTGGCAGCAGAACTCCAGTCTCTGTCTCAACACATGGCCATCTTCTCCCTATGTATCTGTCTTACCGTGCCCTTCCTGTGAGGACACCAGTCGTTGAAGTTAGGGCCCACCCTAATCCAGTTTGACCTCATCTTAACTTGGTAACATCTTCAGAGATACTATTTCTAGATAAGGTCACATTCATAGGTACTAGGAGTTGGGACTTTAACATATCATTTTGAGAGACATAATTCAGCCCACAACAGAGAGCTTTGAACAGAGGGATTGTGATTCAGCTTCTTTTGTAAAAGGCTCCCTGGGCTGCTGTGTGGAGAAGGGACTCTAGGATGGAAGTCCTTTTTATGTGGTTTCTCTGTTCCAGTATCTGGCACTGTCACCCTGAAGTGGCAGCGCCAGCTTTCAGTTATCTAGCTACCTAAACTTTGTGCTGATTGTGACTTTCTCCTCTCCCTAATAAGTATTTTTATTGCTTAGCAACTTCTTCGTAGGTTGCCTAGGGAAGTCAAGTTACTCTGGTAATAGACTGCATGATGGAGCTGGAATTATTGGTAAAATGACATCAGCAAAAAGCTGATTTGGTTTTGCTTTAAATTGATAGCTCCATGCTGTGCTTACCCAGCTGAGAATTCAGCAATACCCTCAACTTGCCCTAGGCTGCATTTTGCCATTGTTCTAGGCAGGGACAACATGGGAATAGGCAAGCTTATATACTGGAGAATTTGTGTGCGACGCATAGCTGTGTAGCACTCTCAGTGATGAAGATAACACTTATTCCTCATAGCTTCCCTTTTCTTCCGTAAAGATTGGCAGATCAGAAGGGAGATTTTGAAGCTTGAAAGAACTATTTGGTGGCCTTTCCATCAAATTTAAATAAAGCTCATAAGACACATGTTAAGGAGCTGTTTGAAAGCCTTTTTGAATTGCCATCAGCTTGGGCGGCCCTTCCTCATCGTTTTGTCAGCTGCTAGACTGATTCATCCCGCCAGATTCTTTGCCAATTGAATAGAGGCCTGGATGACCTAGGCCCCCAAAACCACAGAGACCCAATTGTTTGGTCCTTCCTGTACCAGTGACTCTCACATTTTTTTCATTCTCTCTAAAAGGAAAACTTTTAAATGTTTATGGATCATGAAGGCTCTATGGGGTAGTTCATGAATGCAGACTGTAATTGTAGGGGTAGAGGAGTGTCCAGTCCAGGAAACAACCCTGCATATTATGAAGGCTTTCAGTTTAGGGTCTTTAAACAATAGGATGATTGCTCATCAACCTGGTCGTACCCTGACTTCCAGGGTCCTTGGGTGCAACATCCGGAGCTAGTCCAGAGTACCGCCAATGGCCTTGTCACACATACACAGCAAATGTGCAAAGACAGCCAGAGCACAGGTCTGCCTGGAGAGGATTTCAGTGGGCAGAAAGCCCTTCAGAGTCATTTCATATTGAAGTTTAATTTCTGGGACTGGATAAGTTCCCTTTCTCCCAAAATTATTGATTGTTTTGTTCCTGGTAAAGATAGTCTTTCATACTTTTGTGGTTCCAAGACATGGTTGGACCGCAGTTATAAATTATATAAGACTAAATCATTCTGGAAGAATGATTTACGAGGAGTTAGTCAGGAGTTGGAGTTGAAATATGTAAACATTCTGGCTTCCTGGTACATAATGGCCCTCAAACGTGTGGGCTACATTTACCATACCCATGGCTCCTGTGCTGACTTCTGTATAGTTCTTTGAACTCAGGGAAACATCTAAGACTATTTTGAAATGACTTTTCTTATACTGGAACTGCTTTAGGAACTTGCAGTATCTAAACTCTATAATGACTCTTCCTAAGAGTTGTATGCCAGGAGTTAAGTGGCGGATAAGGTTGTAGATTTTTTTTGAAGCCACATATAGAAGCAGGTTTTAGGCTTACTGGTAAAATAAAACTCTAGCTAAAGATATTTCCTGGAAATAACCAGACTGGTAGCTGTAAAGCTTGGGCTGGTCTGTATTTGCTATCTGTCTGTTTTCTCCCACTAAAGTTGTTTAATGCTGCTGCTGTTGTGGTGGTCTTTCTCTTTGCTGGGAAATATATTGGTGAAGAAACATCCTCTAGGAATGGACTTTTGAGGAGGTACAATCTCAAGTTCATCCTCTGTTTTGTTTTGCTTTGAGACAGGATCTATGTCTAGACTGGAGTGCAGTAGTATGATCATAGCTTACTGCAGCCTCCAACTCCTGGGCTCAGATGATCCTCCTGCCTCAGCCTCCTGAGTAGCTGGGACTATAGGCACACACTACCATGCCTGGCTAATTTTTTGTTTTGTTTTGTTTTTTGAGATAGAGTCTCGCTCTGTTGCCCTGGCTGAAATGCAGTGGTGCGATCTCGGCTCACTGCAAGCTCCGCCTCCTGGGTTCACGCCATTCTTCTGCCTCAGCCTCCCAAGTAGCTAGGACCACAGGCGCCCACCACTACGCCCAGCTAATTTTTTGTATTTTTAGTAGAGACGGGGTTTCACCGTGTTAGCCAGGATGGTCTCGATCTCCTGACCTCGTGATCCGCCCGCCTTGGCCTCCCAAAGTGCTGGGATTACAGGCGTGAGCCACCACGCCTGGCCAGTTTTTTTATTTTTTGTAGAGATAGGGTCTTGCTATGTTGCCTAGGCTGATCTCGAACTCCTGGCCTAAAGGGATTCTCCTGCCTCACCCTCCCAAAGTCCTGGGATTACAGGCGTGAGCTACCATGCCTGGCTTTTGTGTTTGCATGTGTGTTTATGGAGGACTTAGGGGTTGTGGCTTTGTGTAGCTGTTTCAGTCACAAAAACTGCAGTGGGTGCCCTCTGCCCCTTGAGTTTCTCCTTCACCAACATAGCCCCCCTTCCCCAAACACACACACCTTTATCTACAGATTGTTACCTCTCTCTGAGAAAGAGAATCTTAATTAGTGTAGAAGCTCTCACATCACCCTTGGAACAACTCGTTAAACCTCTCCAGTTTGATGTGTTAATTAAATGCCTAGGTATTTCAAACACAAACTGTAGTTCTCTGGACTTTTCCCCAGAATAGAAGAAAAGAGATAAATGGGATCTGTGCACAGATATTTACTGCCTCAGGCCTGTGAGGGAATGCCAAGTTGTTTGTTGACACAATTTTGGTAGTCTCGATCAGAATCAGCAAACTGTGACTCATAGACCAAGCCCTGCCTGTCCTGTTTTTTTGCATGGCCCTGAACAGAAGAATGAGTTTTACATTTTTTGATGGTTTAATGGTGATGTGTGAAAATAATGTGAAATCCAAATTTCAGGGCCCATCAATGGTCACACGATTATGTGAATTTACTAAAAACCATTGCATCATATATTTTAAAGGGTGGACTGTATGGTTTGTGAATTATATCTCAATAAAGTAGTTCTTAAAAAAAAACAAAACAAAATTTCAGGGCCCATCAAGTTATATATATATGAAATATATATTTTGGTAGATATGGGGTCTTGCTATGTTGCCCAGGCTGATCTTGAGCTCCAGGGCTCAAGTAAGTGATCCTCCCACCTCAGCCTCC
Organism: Homo sapiens; assembly: GCF_000001405.40. Classification (NCBI taxonomy): domain Eukaryota; kingdom Metazoa; phylum Chordata; class Mammalia; order Primates; family Hominidae; genus Homo; species Homo sapiens. The sequence continues at coordinate 38,793,706 of NC_000008.11, forward strand.
CAAAATGCTGGGATTTCAGGTTTGAACCACCACTGTCATCCCCATAAATAAAGTTATTGGAATACAGCCATACTCATTCATTCATGTATTGTCTATGGCTGCTTTTGCTCTACAATAGCTGGGTTGAGTACTTGGAACAGAGACCAAATGTCTGGCAAAAGTCTAACATATTTACTATCTTGTACAGAAAAAAAATGTCAACCTACATCTATACTTATTACAATTTCAGTAAAAATACAGAGTTTAAGTAATTTGGGAAAATGGCTTTAAGAATGAAAAGGTGCAAGGTTATACCTGCTGAACAAATGAACTGTGGGCGTGAGGTGCCATTAGTCTAGGCCTGCATGTTCAGGGAAGGCCCAGGGGAGAGCCTGATGTGGCCTGGCTATTTGTCATATTTGCAAAGGGGAAGTGATGTAATTGGTCTGCAATGAACTTGATTTTCAATTGACTCAAAGATCTAAGGAGGAATAAAAATTATTTAAAAAGGAAATTAGGGAAGAATGGGGAGAATATTGGAATCATTTAATAGAAGTACAAACACATAGACTTTTAACTTTTGCCCATTAAATTTTTTTTAACATTTTATTTTCTTAAATTTTTTTTAAAAAAATAGTGATGGGGTTTCACTGTGTTGCCCAGGCTGGTCTCGAACTCCTGGGCTCAAGTGATCCTCCCACCTTGGCCTCCCAAAGTGTTGGGGTTACAGGCATGAGCCAGCCTCACCCAACCCATTAAATGTCTTTAATGTAACTTCGGGTGTATGAGAATTTGTAAGTTGACTGTGCAGATCTCTTAAAAGGTTGATATGGTGTATTTTTAGAATGTTTTAGACTGCACGTGTGTGTGTGTTTGTTTGTGTGTGTGTGTGTGTGCGTGCTATAGAAAACACAGCATGGAAACCTTGTTAAAATCAGAGGCTTTGATTTTTTATTCTAAAGCTTTGAGTTATATGTTTAATCAGATACTATGTGAAAAATTTTCATTAGGTACATATTGAAGTGTTCCATTCAAGTCTACAAGTATATCCTCCTAAGGATTTAGTTTAACATCCTTTCCCTGCTCCAACAAGGGAATGCTTTATTAGAGTTTCCTAGAAATAATGGGACTAATTAGGACCTTTCATATTACCTAGTCCAGCAGTCCAACCCATGTGGCTCCTTCAACAGCATCGCAGCCTAATGCTTTTAATTTAATTTTAAATTTTTAATGTTTTGCTGTGATTGCCTCTTCCACAGTTTGATTTTTTTGTACTGTATAATTCCATGTTAAGGTATTTAAAGCTTGAAAATCTTAGCATGATATAGCTACTTTGTTTTTTCATGTATTTTTAGCTCTGAAGTTGGAGATTCCAACCAGCTAATAAATGAGATCAGAGTCATGTGTTTTTTTGTTGTTGTTGCTCTATCACAATGTAAATGTGCCCCTAGGAAGCACCTGCTTCTATATGGTGCCTTACCCAAGGGAGTGTCTTCCTGGGGAAAAAAGTGTAGTTTTTCCAGCAGAAACTTGTGAGAGTGCAGAACCACAGAGGAGCAACAGTGTCTGAATAAAAAATTCCAGGGCAGGGAAGCAAAGTCTACCTGCAGAAAGGAAAGATTTTAGTAACTATCAAATCACAATTTTTCTTTTAAGATGAGTGACAAAATCAAGACCTTGCACTCCCCCATTTTGGGCTTACCCAAGCATCGAATAAAGCAGTAGAACTTACTTTGGTACTTGCGGGTGGCAGAGACACTTTCTACCTGTGTATGTGTTTTGGGAGCCGGCAGTCCTTCTAAAATTATATTGCTGCCATGTAATGTCCCACCTACAAAATGGATGTGGCCTAAAGCCATTTAAACATTTAAATGAAAGAGCAGTTGCAGTGTCTTTTTCAGGTTACCAGTTATACTGCCCAGAGGAAATCTTGGAGGGTATAAACCATTTTGTCACACTCTCCTAAATCCAGAGTAGCGATGGGAGATAATGGTTTATCCACCCAAAACAACCCTCTCAGTGGAGATTTCATAACCAAGGTTGCTAAATTGCCTGGTGACTATTAAATCTGGGCTTAGAAAGGCTTTGCTACTTGTGAGTTCAAGATCTCACCCTCACCTTTGCATGTACATGACCTAATTTTATGAGTTCAAACAAACATGATTAGATCCCCAGGGTTTAGATTGATGATGGCCAGACTCACAAGGGAATAATAATAATGGCATGGAGTATTTTATTAATTCACAAATGAAAAATGTATCTTGACAGTTTGGCAGATGCAGATACTCTCCTAGCCAGTCGAGGACCCTCTTTCTTATATCATAGCTGGAAATATGACAATAAATGATTGATCTCCAGCTTTCCCATTACAATATTCCCACCTAGCAGATCACCAGCTATCTGTTTCAGCCGTATTTATTTATTAGATGTGTTGGGAACAAGTAATCTTTGTTTGCAGCATCTTGTTTGATTTTTATGACCATGATTCTGCGAGATAGGACACAAGTGATTTCCATTTCACAGATTGGGAAATTGAGGCCAGAGCCTTTACTGCTAGTAGTGGACCTGGGTTTTGAATTCAGCTTTTAAGATTGCAGATCCAGAGCTCTTTGGAACATATTATACAGCTTTTCTCTCCAGGAAATTTGTGAATCCCTCTCTGTTGTTCACTATCTGAAGAGAAGACATATCAGAGGAAATAAAGGGTCTTAAAATGTTGCCAGAGCAGGGTGTGTGATGGGGGAAAGCATCGTCTTAAGTATCCTGTCATGTGATAGTAGTTTAAAAAATCAAAAAATACATCTTCCACATGTGTGAACTTGGCACATATTATTCTGAAGTATGAAATGTATTTTAGGAAGTTGAAACATCAGAAGTTTGGAAGCTTGCAGCATGATTTAGATATAAATTAATAGTCAAGCAAAAATCATCACTGGATAAGTGCAGTGGGATTGAAAACATTTTGCTTCCTCAATGCCTAGCTTCAGCTCATCAGTGAAAAATAAAGAAGGAGTAGACAAATTCAGTACTAGCCTTTGCATTCTGTCTCCACCTGAGTCATGCATGGTTGAGAAGAGGCAGGTGTGTGGAGGTGTGTGCGGCTGCCAGGGGCTCTGCGCCTGTTTTATGGTAGATAGAGGAGTTTTTAAGAGGCCTTTGTTGGTGATCTCTGGCTGCATAACAAATTACTCCAAAACTGAAAACAACGAACATCTCACATAGTCTTTGTAGTTGGGAAATTTGGGAGCTGGGTGGTGTGGCTCAGGTCACTTTTGAGAATGCTGTCAAGATGTCGGCTGGGACTGCAGTTGTTTAAAGACTTGACTGAGGCTCAAGAATCCTCTCCTAAGGCGGCTTACTCATTTGCCTGGGCTGTGAGTGCTGGCTGTTGGTGGGAGGCTGCAGTCCTCACCATGTGGACCACTGCTGGGTTGCTTGAGTATCCTCACAGCATGGCAGCTGGCTGCCCCAGAGTGAGTGATCCAAGAGCAAGCAAGATAGAAACTGCAGAGTCTTCTGTGACTTAGCCTCAAAAGTCACACTTATTTCCACAGTATCCTTTTGGTTACACAGGTCAGTCCAAGGGCATGTGTACCAGGAGGTGAGACATATAGGGGCCGTCTTGGAGGCTGGCTACCACAAAGCCCTTTTCCACTTTTTAAAAAACTTGCATGAAAGGATATACAAGGGTATACATTCTTAGATGGCAAAGCTTTTCCCATTGCTTTCTTCCTTTGGCGTCTCTTCACTATGCCCTTCCTAACCCCACTCCTTCTTGCTGCCCTCTTTCTTAAACAGGAGCAGAACTGGCTGAAGAAATTATATAGCCGCCTATTGGCTTGTGGTCCTGCCATGGATGTGTCTCATGCACCCAGCATGCTGGCTGAGATTGCTCTGTCTGGAGGCCCCTCTCTTGCTGAACATTCCTCCCTCTTCTTCTTTATCCAGCATCAGCTTCTCAGCTCCATGTGGGTGGTTGCTACTTTGTGAGAGAGGCAGTTGGTATTTTGAATTTTCCAGTAATTATTTCTGAAGAGATGCACATTATGGTTGTTTGGCAGCAACAGATTGAAGTTACACAATCCCAGATCTCTGCACAGGAGCCCCATCTGTTAGCACGTGCTCTTTCCCCCCTTGCTCTTCCTGCCAGAATAGGTTGGGGATGGGGGAGAAGTTTTGTGGGGAGGGCCTTCTATGATTTCTGTCTGTGGAAGGGGATTTCTACTCTGTCTAAAATATAACCTCAAACAAATCCAGATGGTTCCAGAACCCATGGGCATCTCATGAGTGAGAAGAGAAGACACATTCATTGCTGGATTGGCTTCTCTGGAGGAGGCTTTGGCTTCCTGGTGGGTGGACACTTCCTGATAAGCAAGTCCCATCCTCTTACCTTATAATCTTGGCCTTTAGAGATACGGTTTGGGTCTCTTTTTATTTTTCTTCCTTTTTTTTTTTTAGAGACAGGGTCTTGCTGTGTTGCCCAGGCTGGAGTGTGGTGGTACAATCATAGCTCACTGCAGCCTCAACTCCCAGTCTTAAGGGATCCTCCTGACTCAGCCTTCCGAGTAGCTGGGACTACAGGCGTGTACCACTACACCTGGCTTGGGTGTCTTTTTAAATAAAATAGCATAAAGTGCTGTTTTGGAAATTTGAAGTGCTTTCTTCATCCTTAGTACAAACTTTTTTCAGTTTACCAAGTGGTTTTCCAGATTATTCTTTACCTGTAGAGTCTTAGGTTTTAGGGGGAGCCTCTCTCAGGAGTTAGAGGCTTATCTCAGGAGAACAGCAGTGTAGCTGGTGCCCTGTCTCTTAAAAAAGCAATGAAATTTGCCCTACCGTGACTTCTGGGTAATGTTTTTGTTTGGGGGTTTTTTGGAGGTTAGGAAGGGGTTTAAACAGGTAGTTTGTTGTCTGGGTTCTGCGTGTGTGTGTGTGTGTGTGTGTGTGTGTGTGTGTATGTGTATTTTTCTGCTTTGGTTGGTGAGACAGCTTAAAACTATGATGTACCTAAGAGGATGGTCTGCCTTGACTCACCCACTCAGAATCCCGCTGACCCACCCCTCTCCCATGCTTCCGGGGATCCTGGGCCCCAGCAGTTGTTGGGGAAATGTGAGCTATGCAGCCCATACCCTTAGATTGTATCCCGCATTCCTGGAAAAGGGCCTATTGTACGGTTGTTCCAACCCTGGACAATAAATTGTGTACTTCTCCATTTTAAGGCTGATGACTAAGTGAGAACGAACATATATAAAATACACTTCAACTTTGGAGGAATCAGAGAGACTGGGAACCCAAAGACATGAAACTGGGGGAAAAAAACACTCAAATTTTGGACTTTTAGCATTAATGCTAATATACATCTGATTAACAGTCTCCTCAGGGCAGACCACTTGAGCAGAAAGGGTTGGTGCCAGAATCACGCTTGTTTCCCTCCTGAAGCCCTTGATTCAGTGTGGGGGAGGAGAGCTGGGAGGGCAAGACCAAGGCACGGAAAGGAGGAGTGGGACCTTCAGGGCAAAGGGCCAAGGGAAGAGCTATGCCAAGCCATCCCCCAGCCGTTAGCCTAGAGCTGAGCTGCGGCATCACTGAACAATTAGCTAGGCCTTCTCAGTATGCGACAGATGAGGTGAGGAGGAGTCCTTTATGTATCAGACACTTGCCCTGCAGTGGGCACTGATTGAGCATCAGCTCTGTCTTGGACGCTCAGTTTCTGCTCCCAGGGATACAAAGAGTAAGGCCCCTGTGGGGCTCCGAGTCTGGAGGGAGCTAGCCCTGTCCTGTTTCCCAGACCTCTTGGCCGCCTTGGCATCCCAAGAAGTTTTAGCAGCAAAAGATAGGGAATTTGTGAGGGAAGAAATTCCCCCGCAAATCTGGAGGTCAAATGTTAAAAGGAAGAAGGCAAATGTTAAAAGTTAGAATTTTAAAAATCCCCCTGCCCACAAAGTAAAAAAAGCCTTTTGGGCTTGACAATTATAACTCTAGGATGTTTCATATACCATACTTGGCTACATCTGTTGTGGAAAAGAGGGATGATGTCATTTTTTTCACCTCTTTCTGTAAATAGAATTTATGTAGCACATGTGGGCTTCCTCAAGAGAAATTTAAAACCCCAAATTGATGGGATGGTGAGACCTACCACCTCTCTCAAGCATGTGTCTCTCCAAGTGACACACATAAGACACTATTTAAAGCATGTACTTTGGATGTGTGTGCTGGCTCACTCCTGTAATCCCAGCACTTTGGGAGGCCAAAGCAGGAGGATTGCTTGAGACCAGCCTGGGCAACAAAATGAGACCCCGACTCTACCAAAAACAAACAAACAAAAAATTAGCAGGGCATGATGGCTTGTGCCTTTAGTCCCAGCTGCTCAGAAGGCTAAGGTGGGAGGATCACTTGAGCTTGGGAGGTTGAGGCTCCAGTGAGCCGTAATCGCCCCACTGTACTCCAGCCTGGACAACAGAGCAAATCTGTGTGGTATAGTTGAACATTTTACTAGAAATCACAGGACATTCCTCCTGCTCCATTTCCCTCGGGTCTGAGCCTCCATGTTCTTTTTTAAAAATAGTTTTATTGAGATATAGTTTACCTGCCATACAATTCACCATTTAAAAGCTTTATGATAGTTTTTAATTTATCGACAGAGTTGTACAACTATTATCTCAATTTAATTTTTAGAACATTTTATCACCCCCAAAGGAAACCCTATACCCATTAGGTGTCACACTCCATTCCTCTTCCTTCCCACCACCAGTCCTAGGTAACTGATGATCTAGTTTGTGTCTCAATAGATTTGATTATCTAAACGTTTCATGTAAGTGGAGTAGTAGAATATGTAGTCTTGTATGACTGAATCAGTTCACTAACCATGTTTTCAAGGTTCAGCTATGTTGTAGCAAGTATCGGGACTTTATTCCTTTTTTATTGTTGAACAATACCCCATTTTATTGATATACTATATTTTATTTACCCGTTTATTGGTTGACGGACATTTGGGTTATTTACACTTTTGGCTATGATGAATAATGCTGCTATGAACATTCACATCATGGATTTATGTTTTCATTTCTCGGGTATATAACTAGGAGTAGAATTGCTAGGCCATATGGTAACTTCATGTCAAACATTTTGAGGTACTGCCAAACTTTTTCAAACTGGCTGCACTATTTTACATTTCTGCCAGTAGTATTTGAGCGTTTCAATTTCTCCATATCCTCTCCAACACTTCTTATTGTCTGTCTGTTTGGTTATAGCCATGCCAGTAGGTGTGGAGTAGTTTTGATTTGCATTTGGTTTTCATTTGCATTTCCCTAATGGCTGATGATATTGAGCAACTTTTCATGTAGCTATTGGGTATTTGTATATATTCTTTAGAGAAATGTCTATTCAGATTCTTTCCCCACTTTTTAATTAGGTTATTTATCTTTTTTATCACTAAGTTATATATTCTAGATGCAAATTCCTTATTAGATATGTGACTAAATATTTTCTTCCATTGTCTTTTCATTTCTTGATGGTGTCATTTGAAGTGCAAAAGTTCTTAATTTTGATAACGTTCAGTTTACTTGTTTTGTCTCTTATGCCTTGATGTCATGTATAAGAAGATTTTGCCTAACCCACAATCACAAAGATTTACTTCTTTGTCTTAACAGTTTTATAGTTTGAGCTCTTACATTTAGATTTGTGATCCATTTTGAGTCAGTTTCTGCATATGGTGTAAGGGAGTAGTCTAGCTTCATTCTTTTGCATGTGGATATCCAGTTGTCCCAGCACCATTTGTCAAAAAGACTATTCTTTTCCCTATACAATTAACTTTGCACCCTTGTCAAAAATCAGTTGGCCATAGGTACAAGTATTGATTTGTAAACTCTTAATTTTGTTTCTCTGATCTATATGTCTCTCGTTATGCTGGTACCACCACACTGTCTTGATTACTATAGCTTTGTAGTAAGTTTTGAAATCAAGAAGTATGAGGCCTCCAAATTTGTTCATTTTTTCAAGATTGTTTTAGCTATTCTGAGTCCATTGCATTTCTATATGAATTTTAGAATCAGTCTGTTAATTTTTGCAAAGAAGGCAGCTGGGATTTTGATATGGATTGTATTCAATCTGTAAATAAATTTGGGAAGTATTGCTGTCTTAACAATATTAAATCTTCCAATTCATGAACATGGGGTGTCTTCCATTTATTTAGGTTTTCTTTAATTGCTTCAAGCAATGTTTTTTGTTGTTGTTGTTTGTTTGTTTTTTGAGACATGGTCTTGCTGTGTCACCCAAGCTGGATTGCAGTGATGCAAGCATGGCTCACTGCAGCCTCAACCTCCCAGGCTTAGACAGTCCTGCCCAGCCTCTCTAGTAGCTGGAATCACAGGCGCATGCCACCACGACCGGGTAATTTTTAAATTATTTGTAGAGAGAGGGTTTCCCTATGGTGCCCAGGCTGGTTTCCAACTCCTGAGCTTAAGTCATCCTCCTGTCTGCTGCTCCCAAAGTGCTAAGATTACAGGTGTGAGCCACTGCTCCTGGCCTTGCAGTTTTTATAGTATAAGTTGTCTCAGTCCGTTTTGTATTGCTGTAAAGCAGGGGTCCCCAACCCCTGGGCCTATTAGGAATGGGCCACACAGCAGGAGGTGAGCAGCAGGGTGAACGAGCATTACTGCCTGAGCTCCACCTCCTCTCAGATCAGCGATGGCATTAGATTCTCATAGGAGTGCGAACCCTGTTGTGAAAGGCACATACCGGGGATCTAGGTTTTGCACTCCTTGTGAGAATCTAATGCCTGATGATCTGAGCTGGAACAGTTTTATCCCAAAACCATACCCCTACCTCCCATCTCCCCGGTCCATGGAAAAATTGTCTTCCATGAAACCGGTCCCTGGTGCCAAAAAGGTTGGGGACCACTGCTGTAAAGGAATACCTGAGGCTGGGTAATTCTAAAGAAAAAAGGTTTATTTGGCTCACAATTCTATAGGCTGTAGTAGAAGCATGGCACAGGCATCTGTTTCTGGTGAGGGCATCAGGGAGCTTCCAATTATGGCAGAAGGCAAAGGTGGAGCAGGTGTGTCACATGGTGAGAGACGAGAAGGAGAAAGAGAGAAAGAGAAAAGGAGGCGCTGGGCTCTTTAATAATCAGATCTGAGGAGAGCTAATAGAATGAGAACTCACTCATTACCTTCAGGACAGCAACAAGCCGTTCATGAGGGATCCACCCCCGTGACCCAGACACCTCCCACTAGGCCTCACCTACAACACTGGGAATCAAATTTTAACATGAGATTTGCAGGGGACAAATATCCGAACTACATCAACATCTTATATTTCTTTTGTTAAATTATTTCCTAAATATTTTATTTTTTGATACTGTTATAAATGGAATTGTTTTCTTAATTTTTTTTGGAATTTTCATTGCAAGTGTGTAGAAATACAATTGATTTTTACACATTGATCTTGCATCCTATAGCCTTGTTGGTTTCATTTATAGTTTTTTGGTGGATTCCGTAGGACTTTCTATATGAAAGATTATGTCATCTGCAAATAGAGATAGTTTTACTTCCTTTCCAATAGGGATACCTTTTATTTCTTTTCTTGCCAGTTACCTTGGTTAAAACTTCTAGAACAGTGTTGAGTAGAAGTCGCAAGAGCTGACATTTTTGTCTCGTTCTTGACCTTAGGGTGAAAACATTCAGTCTTTTATCATTAAGTATGACGTCAGCTGTGAGTTTTTCATAAATGCCCTTTATTGAGGAAGTTCTCTTCTAGTCCTAGTTTGCTTAGTGTTTTTATCATAAAAGAGTGTTGGATTTTGTCAAATGCTTTTTCTGTGTGTATTGAGATGATCATGTGTGTTTTGTCCTCTGTTCTGTTGATTGTTGTGTATTATATTAATTGATTTTCAGATGTTAAAGCAACCTTGCATTCCTGGGATAGATCCTGTTTGTTTGTGGTGTATAATCCTTTTTATGTGTTGCTGGATTTGGTTTACTAGTATTCTGTTGAGGATTTTTGCATCTATATTCAATAAAAGATGCTGGTCTGTAGTTTTTTTTTCCCCCTTGTGATTCCTTTGTTTGGTTTTGGCACCAGAGTAATATTGGCATGATGGAGTGAGTTGGAAAGTGCTTCTTCCCTCGGTATTTTTTGGAAAAGTTTACAAGCAATTGGTATTAATTCTTTAAATGTTTGGTAGAATTCATCAGTCTGGTCCAGGTCTTTTCTTTGGAGGAAGTTTTAAATTTACCAGTTTAATCTCTGCCTGTTTTAGATTCATTCAGATTTTCTGTTTCCTCTTGAGTTGGTTTCAGTAGTTTGTGTCTTTCTTGGAATTGATCTATTTTATCGAAATTGTCTAATTTGTTAGCTTACAGTTACTTATAGTATTTTTTCTTATTTTTTAATGGCATTAATAAGCCCTACTGTGCCTTTTACACAGGGTTGATTTGAGGATCAAGTTAGGTAATGTTTATGGAAGTGCTTTGAAGGCTATATAAGTATGAAGTATTTTATTTGTTCTAAATTTTTAATTATAGGAAAACAGTTGTTCTAGAACAAATTTTCATTAAATTTCTTTGCATTTTTCACACTCAATGTCAAGAGTAGCCCACTGTTAGCACTGTTGCAATTTTTTTTTTTCTTTTTGGGATGGAATTTCGCTCTTGTCACCCAGGCTGAGTTCAGTGGCGCCATCTTGGCTCACTGCAACCCTCCGCCTCCCGGGTTCAAGCAATTATCCTGCCTCAGCCTCCCAAGTAGCTGGGATTACAGGCACCTGCCACCATGCCTGGCTAATTTTTTGTATTTTTAGTAGAGATGGGGTTTTGCCATGTTGGCCAGCCTGGTCTCAAACTCCTGACCTCAGGTGATCCACCAACCTCGGCCTCCCAAAGTGCTGGGATTACAGGCGTGAGCCACTGTGCCCGGCCTGTTGCAATTTTTTATTTTTCAGATGGGTTCTCACTCTTTTTCCCAGCCTGGAGTGCAGTGGCACTATCACAGCTCACTGCAACCTCAACCTCCTAGGCTTAAGCGATCCTCCTGCCTCAGCCTCCTGAGTAGCTAGGACTGCAGGCAAACACCACTGTACTCAGCTAATTTTTAATTTTTTTGTAGAATCAGGGTCTCCCTGTGTTGTCCAGGCTGGTCTCAAACTCCTGGGCCCAAGTGATCCCCCCTACTTAGCCTCCCAACTGTCTACAGTTTATGAAGTTAACATTTGTGATTTGCTCCTCTTTTGTGAGTTGCACTTGAGGGGAGAGATTATTGCCCTTGTTACCAAAGGAATATGAACTAAGATTGAGTTGAAAGGGCAATTAAAGTGATTTTTGGACCTATTTCCCTATTTCTTGAGAGATAGCAGAACATAGATCCTATAGTATCAGGCTCAAAGGGCATCAGTGCCCCATTAGAAAGTCATCTTTGGGCTCTGACCCATTTGTTCCTGGCTAGCATTGAGAGCAGCTGTTTCCTTTCCTCCCTGAGGAATCACTGAGCGTGGTCTATTCTTTGGCTTCCTAACCTCTCTCATAGCACATACCTTAGATGAATTATCTGCATTCCCACCTCTTCCCAGCTTACTTCTAAGTCAATAATAAAGGTCCTTTAAAAACACAAATCAGTTGGCTTTCAAAAATAAAGCATCATTTTTTCTAGAGCTTTCTTCTTTTGCTGAATACGAAAACAAATGTAAAAAGGAAGTAACTCATTGAGAAAGGGAAGCTGGTGACACAGGAAATGACTCCTTTAAAAGCAGAAGTCCAGCTGCAGGGTTTTCTGTGCAAATGTGTTGTGGGCCTTGAGGTGGCAGTCCTATGAGGCGGTGGTAGGGCTTTCCCCTGATTCAGTACTCAGCTGGTCCCAAGGGGCTTTGAGTGTGGCTTTTGCCTCCTTAACTGGATGCTGAATAGGCTCCTTGCACTTATTTTGGGACTCCGTTGTGCCTGTGCCCAGCACAGGGTGTGCTGCTGGTGGTAAGGACCTGTGCTTGGTTGGTTGGTTGCTTGGTTGGTTGGTTGGTTGGTTGGTGATCTGAGAAGATAACTCTGTGGTTCAATTTTAGGGCTTCAGGTCCTGGCAAAACTGCCAGTTTAAATGAATTACAGAGTGCCGACATTGAACATCTGGTTTGGATCTTTATTAGAATTTCTTAATACTATGGCTTACAGTCAATTGCTTTTATATGTTTGTAAAATTTCACCATTAGTGCTGAGCCTTCCAAATTTGTGGCATCCTTTGTGTGTCTTATGTGGCCCTTAGTGGCAGAGATGCACACTTGGGGCTTGGATTCAGCAATCTAGGCCACTGCCTTGGTAACCAGGGCTTCTATTCTCTAGTTGTCAGAGGCTTGCTTAGTATAAGACATATTGCAACCTGGGCAGTTGTGTGAAGCTGTGAGGTCACCTCCACTAATGAGGACAGAGTAGAGGAGCGAGGGGATAATTCTATCTGTTTGAGATACCTGGCCCCAGTGTGGTCGTGTGGGTTCCCTGTCTGACTTCTGGGTGCTCAGAAGCATGGCCCCGGGGGTCTGTAGAGACATGCCATCTGCTTCCATCCTGGCTCCATGCCTGCCTGCTCTCAGTGGTGTGACAGTACAGAGCAATGACCTTGACTCCGTCATGCCATCAGCAGGAACCCTGGAGCCCTTCCCTGGTTTATGGTCCACTTGGGTTTTCTCAGGTTCATCCTGTGAATGAAGAGAAATTGGATGAACGAAGATAGCTCTAGAATTAATTGAGGGGGGGCTCTCTAGCATGATTGAGTCATGGTCTGCCTGTGTGTGTGTGTATGTGTGTGTGTGTGAGAGAGAGAGAAAGAGAGAGAGGGAGAGAGAGAGAAAATAAATTCCATCCCTCTGTCTTGGGAGGAGAAAGAGGGATGGGGCTGGCTAGGTTGAGGATGGGGTCCTGTGATGAAATGGAAGCAGAGGAGAAGTGGGTAGAAGGGGACTTGGTTTTGGGTAAGAAGATATTTTTGTGCTTGCTAAGAAGGATTCTAGGCCTGTTTCTTACTGCTCAGTAGACTGTGTTCATGTATCAGTGGCTAACCTGTACTTGTGGAATATGCGGTTCTCTTCTATACCAGTTCTCTGATTCTCCAGCCCCAGCTGGGTTTTCAAAAACTCAGTTCTATTCTGATACTTACTTTCTCGAGTTAGCCTCAGACTCCACAGGCTTAAGGGCTCAATCTCACAAAACTGCTCTCGCTTCAGATGCTAATTGCAAGTCCCAGATCCCAGTCATCTGCACTTGTGTCTGACTTGGCTACAAATTTTGGAGTTTTCATACCCTCGCCCAGGTTTGATAATTCATTAGAATAACTCCGAGAATTCAGGAAAATGCTAAAGTTTACTGGTTTGTTATAAAGGATACAACTCAGAAATAGCCACATGGAAGAGCTGGGTGTAAGGAGTGTGCAGAGCTTCCATGCCCTCTCTGGGAATGCCATTCTCCATGCACATCTAAGCGTTTGCCAGCCCACAAGCTCTCTGAAGCTCATACTTCCGAGAGTTTTTATAACTTGGTCTTCAGCCCCCTTCCCTTCCCCAGAGATGGAGGTGGAGAGGGCTGAAAATTCCCATCTTCTAATCATGCATTTGGTCTTTCTGGTCGTCAGCCCCCATCCTGAAGCCACTTGGATATGAGATATTGTTTATGTGTTTTGAGGTCAGAAAGAGAGCCAGCGTGTGTATGTGAGAATACAGGAGACTTGTCCAAATTCTGGCAGCTTTCTCAATTATATGTCAGCTGTCTAGAAACCCGTAAAAAGGGCTGTCTATCTAAAGGAGAGGAAGTGGTGGACGAATCTGAAAGGAGCTCTTAGACAATGTTTTGCCATACAGTTAAAATCTGGGAGGGAAAAGTCAAGCATAGCTGAGAATAATGCCAAATCTGAAGTGTTAATGCACATTGTTTTCCAAGTGGTTGCTGTTTTATCTCTTCTTAAATGAGATTCTACATGTAAAAGCAGCTAACCAGTTGATTCTCAGTATGTTAGCTGAATACATTTCTCTGAAGTTTCAAAAATATTTTGTGATAACATTTCCCCTCTTCTAAGACTTTCAAGTTTTTTCATAGATTTGAATTTTAACCCAGTATATTTTCAACATAACAGGGTACAAACTAGAATATTAAGCTGTTTCCCTCAATCCTTAAAATTTTGCATTCCATACCTTTTCTTTTAAAAATACAGAGAGGGAGAGAACTCTTTTTACTGCAAATAGTCTTTATCCTGAATAAGCATAAAAAGCATCTACTGTTTAAGATCACCCGTGGGCGATTCACACAACCTTTTAGATTTAGGGAAGGCTGACTATTGAAAGGAAGAGTTTCATTAACAGCAACAAATGGGCCAGAAGTGGAAATTTTGGTCTATTTGTGGATTTCCTCTGTGTTTGCTTTTAATTCATCTACTGATCTAATCTCTGTCTGTATTCACCAAGCCGCCAGGCAATGCTGTGCTTGTCAGAATCAAACTCATCAAACTCCTTCTAGAGAGAGAGCCTTTCAGTGCCCTGGAAGAAGGTTTTTAGGGAACACAGGATTTCTGTAAAAATGGAAAGGCACATGAAGGTAGGTTAGTTACATAACAGTGCTTTCAGATGAAAAGCAAGGCCTGACAGCTGTGGCCCAAACTCTTCATTATGGGAGATTGGGACCTGGAGCCTACTGAGGATCTGGGTATGTAACTTCTTATAAAAGTGACTTGTGGTGTGATACTTGAAGTTTAGGTTCTTTCCTTTCCTTTTTCTTTTCATTTCCCAGGGACTTGCTCTGTTGTCCAGGCTGGAGTGCAGTGGTGTGATCATAGATTACCGCAGCCTCCAACTTCTGGACTCAAGTGGTCCTCCCATCTCAGCCTCCTGAATAGCTGGAACTACAAGCATGTGCCACCACACTTGGCTAATTTACTTTTATTTTTTGTAGAGATGGGGTTTCACCATGTTTCCCAGGTTGATCTTGAACTCCTGGGCTCAAGGAACACCCCCTACTTTGGCCTCCCAAAGTGTTGGGATTACAGGCGTGAGCTGCTGGTCCTGGCCTAGTGTTTTAGGGCAGCACTAGGTATATGGGGTTAGCTGGTACTGAGACACTTGCTGATAGTGTAAATGCAAATAGAATCTTACCCAAACATACCTTTTCAAGTTATGTGGTTAGTTTGTTTTTCTCTTTTTTTTTATTCTCAGGGCTCCCCAAACTGGTTTAAGTAAATGAGCATTCTTCTCCCACCCACCGCCTCTGCTTGTTTGGACCTTCTCTTGGTGACTGAAGATGCCAGACTGAGATATGGGGTCTGCAGTGACTTGGTATAGGGCTGGGCAAGTTTATTTACCTGGCACCTGCCCCGAGCTGGCCAAGAAATGACTGGGCCGGGGGTGTATTTTCAGTGGAGTTCCTTCAGCCCTCTGCCCAGCCTGGGGACTGAGCGGGGTGGTGTTTGTTTTCCTTCTGCATTCCACCATGACAGGGCCATGCGTTTTACAATGTAGCAGATAAGGCTCCCTATCACTGATGCTAACTTTGCATAAATCTCTTGATTCCCAGCTGCTTGACTGATGTAGGAACACAAGTACCAGTGAGAGGAGCATGTGGGGGTGAAGCCATCTCATACAGTACTACCCTTCCTAGGTGTAGAGTGAGGAGATGTGCCACGGCTGTTGACCCTTCTTAAACTGCAGAGCGTTTGATGTCCAGGGACAGTTGTTGGGGCAGGGTCAGACTTAGAGCTTTTGTCTTGTGCTGAGATGTGCTCCTTTTTCTTTCCTCCCCCTTCCCTAGCTCTTGGACGGCTTTGCCCCATCACTGATTGGTGCACACCCCCTTTTGAGAATCTCAGGGACTCAGTTTGGTAAAAGCAGCTGGTGGAGATGATGGAGAGAGGAGGAAGACTCTTAAAGGAGTGGGTATATGTGGAAGAATGAGGGAAAGGCCCTGTCCTTGTGTTATGGAGATTAGGGTAGAAATAGAAAGCTAGGAGAGAGTTTGGCAAAAGGTGATTCTCATAGACTCCTTTCTTTGGGGGCTGTGGGACTGATGGTGAAGGAGTCTGGGTAACAGGAAAAAAAAGAACCCCAAGAGGTGGATGAGTGTGGGACCTACAGAAGGAGGGGAAAAGGGCTTCTCAGCTCCTGACAGCTGAGTGTTGGTAGCGCTTTACTTCCCTTCCCTTTAACCCTTAGGTTTTCTGGAAGCTGTAGGGAAAGAACACATAGCCCTGGATATTCTGGCTCTGGGATCCTATGAAGGAGAATGGTAGTAAATGTTTAGGAGTCCATGACAAAAAGAGTGGGAGAGAAATTATGTAACTGTAAAAAAACTTTAAAAAACTAGGATCCGCTTCCAACACTACATACAAAAGTAGAACTTCTATTTCCATTGCCCAGATAAAGGACTATCAAGATTTTGCCATACTTGCTTCCACCATCCTCTTTTTCTTTTTTTCTTTTTTTTCATTTTGTTACTTAGGTATTTTTAAAAGCAAATTCCAGATATCATGTCATGATACCACCTATGATCATGTCATTATACCTGTGATGTAATTATCAATAATATTACTCTTTTAATTTAAAAATATATTTAAAATTCAGGTTTTATCTTACATTAGATTCATATTTTTTAGGTAAACTTTTTTTTAAATAAACTTCTGGCTGGGTGCAGTGGCTGACACCTGTAGTCTTAGCATTTTGGGAAGCTAAGGCAGAAAGATCAGTTGAGGCCAGGAGTTTGAGACCAGCGTGGACAACATAATAAGACCCCATTTCTACAAATTCTTTTTTTTAATTAGCTGGGCACACTGGCTGTATGCCTGTTGTCTCAGTTTCTCAGGAGGGTGAGGCAGGAGGATTGTCTGAGCATAGGAGGTTGAGGCTGCAGTGACCTACGAGTGCTCCGTTGTACTCTAGCCTGGGTGACAGAGCAAGACCCTGTCTCCAAAAAATAAATAAATATTTAAAATTTAAAATTAGGATTTAAAATATGTTAAAGCTCAAAGATGAAAGTGTAGAATGGATATCACTTATTATTATGTAGTATTCAGTGTGAATTACGATGATCACATCTATATCCATGGCTCTGGTGATGTCAAATATTATTCCCAGCCCAGATTTCTTCTCTGAACATACTTCTACTTATTCAACATCTCTGCTTCAAAATCCCAAAACAGGCCAGGCATGGTGGCTCACACCTGTAATACTATCCCTCTGGGAGACTGAAGTAGGAGGATGATGTGGGCCCAGGAGTTTGAGACTAGCCTAGGCAACGTAGTGCGACCCCGCCATCTGTACATACAAATTAAAAACTAGCTGGGTGTGGTGGTGTGCCTGTAGTCCCAGCTACTTGGGAGGCTGAGGAGGGAGGAAAAGTTGAGCCCAGGAGGTCGAGATTGGAGTGAGCCGGGATCACGCTACAGTATTCAAGCCTGGGTGACAGAGTGAGACCCTGTCTCTAAAATAAATAAAGTATAACAATGTATTTAAGCTATGTTTAAAATTTTTTTGAAATGAAATATGGAATGATTAAAAAAAAAAAAACCTGAAACAGATCTCAACATGTCCAAGGCTAAACCCATGGCCCCACTCCAACTAGTCCCCAAGCATTCACTAGTATTTCCTGAATCTCACTGAATGGCACTAGTCTTCTAGTTTCAAAGGCTAAAACTTACAAATCATCTTTGCTACCTCCTCCTACTTCAGTCCTGTATCCAGCTTATCACCCAGCCTTATCAGTCTCACCTCATTTCCTCTCTAGAGCATAACTTCTCCTCCTGTTGTGGGAAGTCAGGGACCCTGAACGGAGGGACTGGAAGAACATAAATCGTGAAGATTTCATGGATATTTATCAGTTCCCAAAATTAATACTTTTATAATTTCTTATGCCTGTCTTTACTGCAATCTCTGAACATAAATTGTGAAGATTTCATGGACATTTATCAGTTCCCAAATAATACTCTTATAATTTCTTATGCCTGTCTTACTTTAATCTCTTAATCCTGTTATCTTCGTAAGCTGAGGATGTATATCACGTCAGGACCACTATTGTACAAATTGATTGTGAAGCATGTGTGTTTAAACAATATGAAATCAGTGCACCTTGAAAAAGAACAGAATAACAGCGATTTTCCGGGAACAAGGGAAGACAACCATAAGGTCTGACTGCCTGTGGGGTCGGGCAGAATAGAGCCATATTTTTCTTCTTGCAGAGAGCCTATAAACGGACATGCAAGTAGGAGAGAGATTGCTGAATTCTTTTCCCAGCAAGGAATATTAATAATTAATACCCTGGGGAAAGAATGCATTCCTGGGGGGAGGTCTATAAATGGCCGCTCTGGGAGTCTCTGTCTTATGCGGTTGAGATAAGGACTGAAATACGCTGTGGTCTCCTGCAGTACCCTCAGGCTTACTAGGATTGGGAAATTCCAGCCTGGTAAATTTTGGTCAGACCGGTTCTCTGCTCTCGAACCCTGTTTTCTGTTAAGATGTTTATCAAGACAATATGTGCATAGCTGAACATAGACTCTCATCAGTAATTCTAATTTTGCCGTTTGCCTTGTGATCTTTGCTTTGCCCCTTGCCTTGTGATCTTTATTGGCCTCAGAAGCATGTGATCTTTGTGACCTACTCCCTGTTCGTACACCCCCTCCCCTTTTGAAATCCTTAATAAAAACATGCTGGTTTTGCAGCTCAGGGGACATCATGGACCTACCGATATGTGATGTCACCCCCGGCGGCGGCCCAGCTGTAAAATTCCTCTCTTTATACTCTTTTTATATCTCAGACTGGCCGACACTTAGGAAAAATAGAAAGAACCTACGTTGAAATATTGGGGGTGGATTCCCCCAATACTTCCTATTCATTAGCATCACCCTTGTCAAAGCCCCTAGAATAAAATACTAGCAGTTTCACATGTTCCATTTTTACACTCTTTAATCCTTTTCCACATTGCAACTGGGGTCTGTTCAAAATATAAACCTGAGTATATTCTCTGCTGCTTAAAAACTCATGGCTTCCTGTTGCTCTTAGAATAGAACCAGATTCTTGACAAGGCCTGCAAGGCTCTGTGAGCATGGTGCCTTTCTATTTCCCATCCTCATTTTTCCCCTTCATTCTTTCAGTATTATTTAATCAATATCTCTCTTTCCTGCTAGTCTCTAAACTGCATGAGAACAGAGCCCTCCTCTTTTTTGCTTGCTGTTACGTCCCCAGTGCCAAGCACAGAGCCCAGTACATAAAAATACTTAGGTATTTGTTGAATGACTGAGTGAACATGTGAGTGAAATGGAGGGGTGAACCATTCCTGATGGATAGGGAGCTGGCTTCTCTTTGCACTCATTGCATGATTGTTTGTTTTCTCTTATATTGAGTTGAAATCCACTTTCCTCTTAATAGTTGTGCATATGATCCAAATTTTTTCCCTTTACCTCAAACGCCCTTAAAATTTTTGTAGACTCTATCATGTTTCTTAGTTTTCTAGACTAAATATCTTAGACTAATTGTTTACAGATACACCACCTTGATCCACATTCCTCTAAGGACGTCCATTTTTGTTCACAATTTTTTTAAGATGAGGAGCTCAGAACTGAATTCAGAATCTAACTGAATTCACAATCTCAGATGTTATGTGATCAAGGAGACTACAAGAAACTGTTATGGCCATGAAGAGATGAATTTAACATATGGTTTAGCACCCAGGCCTTAGAGTTTCGACAGATTTGGTAAAATCTGTCATTAGTGGTAAAGACTGATGTCTTGGTTCAATAAGATAGTCCCGGTGAGCTCTTAGTAGCCCATTGCCTAGTCCATCCAAACCCTCAGTGCATTTTACTCAATCCTGTTGTCATTGATGTTTCTGTTTATCTGTTAATAGGATCTGAGATTGCATATGCTTTGTGCTCAGTTATGCCACCATGGGTTGTATTGAGTTGCAATCACATGTTAACTCCAATCACATGTTAGAAAATGTTGACTGGTTGCTCAGGTAGGTCTCTCATCCTGTACTTATATGCAGGTTTTCTCTTCACCTCTGGGCTCCTTGAAGACATTGCATAGGACATGGTTGTAATGCCCATCCTTTCATATCAGAAGGGTTTATGTGTTTGTCTCTCGTTAGGTGACATCAGTTGATCTCAGAATCTTGGGACTTGAGTTCTCTGTGCACTTTAGTTTGAATACATTTGGTCTCGGCAGAAATCCACTCACACTAGCTCAAATATGTATACATCATTGAGAAAGGGGCGTTTCATAGAAATTAAGCTGGGGCAGTGTAGGTAGGCCTTTGTGGGCATTGAAAAGTCCTCAGGTACCTCCATTCTCTATCACTTGTCCACTGGGATAGGATGGTCTTCTGTCTTTATTTTATCCTGACCTCAGCCTCCTACAGATCTACTTACTGTCTTAATTCAGATTCTTGAGAGAGAGAATCTGTTATTTGTGTCACTTGGATAATCAAATAGAACTTATTTAGGAAAAGACTAAGTAGAACAAGGGTCTACTGCAGTATATCTGATGTGATATTAATATTCTGTAGGTCCAGAGGAGCCATTGGACATCAACAGCTTAAATGTTAGGGATGCAAATGGGTACTGAGTTCCCAGGCACAGTCTGATAGTTTCAGGGTCAGAATTTTATGCAGTGATCAGATTTGAATGTTTGGAAGTTAAAAATACAGTCATTCACCATATAATGATGTTTTGATCAACGACTGACTGCATATATGATGTGATCATGTAAGATTATAATACCATATTTTTACTGTACCTTTTCTGTGTTTAGATACACAAATACTTAGCATTGTGTTACCATTGCCTACAGTATTCAGTACGGTAACATGCTGTTCAGGTTTGTAGCCTAGGAGCAATAGGCTATACCATAGGTATGTAGTAAATATACCATCTAGGTTTGTGTCAGGTACACTCTATAATGATCACACAGTGACCCGCACAATGATGAAATCACCTAATGACAGATTTCTCAGAATCCGTTGTTAAGCAACACATAACTGTATTCCCTATTCCACAGAACAGGGTTTAAATAATCAGACTGTTTCAAAAATAAATGGAAAACCTCTCATGTCTGGCCT
Source organism: Homo sapiens (assembly GCF_000001405.40). Taxonomy (NCBI): domain Eukaryota; kingdom Metazoa; phylum Chordata; class Mammalia; order Primates; family Hominidae; genus Homo; species Homo sapiens. The sequence continues at coordinate 38,814,747 of NC_000008.11, forward strand.
AGAATCACCTCTCTATAGACAGAAGTACTAAAAGAACCAAATAAAAAATCCATTGGAAAACAAACCCACAGCAAATGAAAGGAGGTAGTTCTTGTCCTAACATTTAATATAGGCTAATTAGTTTATGGGTAAATACAGTTTATAAATTGTACACAAGAAAATACACATGTAATACCAATATTTTAGAAGTAGAATTTTTATTTTTAGCAAATCCATCATGATTTACTTAGGTAACAAGTTCTTCCAGTATATCAGTTTGATTTATAGTAAAATGTAGTGTAAAATAGTTTTCTAGATGGAGAAACAGTGGCTCCGGACCATTTCTTGCTTGTCAGCATATGGAAAGGGTGGCTCTCCCACCATGCCACACCATCCACTCCTGCTGGGCGCACCAGGATAAAGATGTTAAAATACAACCTCTTGTATAGGGTTTTCAAGATCTGTTACTTAGAGTGGGATCATCTGTGGTACAACTGAGAGATGCTGAAGTTCTCCTTAAAAGGTCACGTGTATTAAGTTCCTAGAACGCCTGTTCATCTCCACTTATTTCCATATCACCATTTTTAGAGATGCACTTCCCACTTTAACCATAGTTTTCAAAATCTTAAGGCAGTGGAACCTTTTCCTCAAAAAACAAAAATTATGTGGACTCTAACATATAATAGATTTTTTGTTTGTTTGTTTGTTTTTGAGACAGAGTTTCACTCTTGTTGCCCAGACTGGAGTGCAGTGGTGCGATCTCGGCTCACTGCAACCTCTGCCTCCCAGGTTCAAGCGATTCTCCTGTTTCAGCCTCCCAAGAAACTGAGATTACAGGCATGCGCCACCATGCCCAGCTAATTTTGTATTTTTAGTAGAGATGGGGTTTCACCATGTTGGCCAGGCTGGTTTCGAACCCCTGACCACAGGTGATCTGCCCGCCTCGGCCTCCCAAAGTGCTGGGATTACAGGTGTGAGTCACCGTGCCCGGCAATGTATAATAGATTTTAAGGTGATATATATTATAGTTGTAAAGATTAAAAACATTAGTTTTAAAAACAGTGGGATTTGTGAGATTGAAACATGCAAAATAACTAAATCAGAGTCTAATTAAAAACTAAGCCGGATGTGGTGGCATGCACCTGTAATCCCAGCTACTCAGGAGGCTGAGGCGGGAGGATGACTTGAGCCCAGGAGTTCAAGATCAGCCTAGGCAACGTAGTGAGACCATGTTTAAAAAAAAAAAAAAAAAAGAATAAAATTTATTTCAGTAGTGTTTGGATTACATGTTATTGAAAGAACCTTGATTTATGCAGGTCAGTAGTTGCAGATAAGTTTTTAAATAATTCAGCTTAGTACCTGAGAGCGTGCCTTAATTAAACTATTCCAAAAGTCTGTAAGAGGAGCAGAGGGGAATTTGTGTTTCAGATTTGAGTTATTAACAATATCTAACAATTCATCCAATTTATTAATTTTATAGATGTAAATTTTAGAAATAGTACATAAAGTGGTTCCTCATGAGTTTAAATCTTTTTGGTAGAAAATACAAAACTAAGATATTTAGAAGTATCATTTTAAAAAAATCTCAGATAATTTAGTGCTGTGTCTGTTAAATAGTCACTGTTAAAAGGCACATTTCCTGTTCTGGATGTTCTCAGATTCTCCAGCACCAACTGGGTTTCCAAAAATTCAGTTCATTTCTTAAACTATCTGTCCTTAGTGCAGACCCCACAAGTTAAGGTCTCAGTCCCACGAGACTGCCGCCACTTCAGATACCAGTCACAAGTCTCAGTGCTTCTGAGCAACTGGCTATAAATTTGGGGATTCTCATAACTCCTCTTCTCAGTTTCAGTAATTTGCTAGAACAACTCACAGAACTCAGGAAAATACTTATATTTACTGGCTTATTGTGAAGGATACAACTCAGGAACTGTCAAATGCAAGGGATACATAGGGCAAGGTATCCCCATACCTGCAGGGGTGCAGAGCTTCCACTCCCTCTGGGCACACCACCCTCCCAGTAAGTCAACATGTTCACCAACCTGGAAGCTCCCTGTCCCTGTCATTTAGGGGTATTTATAGAGGTTTCATCATGTAGGTGTGATTGATTAAATTATTGGCCTTGGTGATTGAGCTCATTTTCCACCCTTTCTCCCCTCCCTGGAAGGAGTGGGGACGGTGCTGAAAGTTGCAACCCTCTAATCTTGGCTTGGTCTTTCTGGTGACCAGCCCATTCCCGCAGCTGTCAAGGGACCCCCAGCACCCAGTCATTCATTAACACACAAAAGACACTCTGACCAGTCAGGAGGTTCCAGGGGTTGTAGGAGCTCTGTGCCAGGAACTGAGGACAAAGACAAAATACGTATTTTTATTATACCACCTGTGTTGAATCTAAAAAGCTGACAATAAGCACCAAAACTTAAAAGGAGTGATAACTATCTAAACCTTGATATAATCAAGACTCATTGTTGTACAACTGGCCTGTCTTTTAACTGAGCCAGTTGTACATGGAAACACATGGATATTTGCAGCCTTAGGGTGCTGATGGCTTGTTTTTAGTTGTCTGCCTCCGCATCATCAGCACAAAGAAACAATAACACATTTATAACAGTTCACATACATGGACAGAGATAATAGACTCTGTACACATAAGTGAAATTGTCAGTACAGTTTAAAATGTTCTTGTTAAAATTTTGTGTGTATTGCAGTTGAGTTTTTAAACTTTTTATTTATGAAAAGTTTCACAACTGTATGACAGAGAAAATAGTACAATGAAAACTCCCATATACCTATTCCTGGACAACAGTTACCAAGATTTTGCCATACTTACTATCTCTTTTTTAAAAAATCCTTTTGAAATATGTTAAACCAAATTCTGATTATGAAGCACTGAGACGTTTTAACACATTTTAGTATTAATAATAGTTAAACATATATTTAAAAGAAAAATTTTAATTGGACATTTGTAGAATATCTGAAGTATGTTTGTGAAGTATAATTTGTAAACCAGTACCCAATAATAATCATAGAAGATTCATGAGAAAGGTGTGTGAATGCTTTAAAAAAGCTATTCCAAATCCCAGCTACTTGGGCAGCTGAGATGGGAGAATTGCTTGAGCCCCAGAGTTTGAGGCTGCAGTGAGCTGTGATCACACCACTGCACTCCAGCCTGGGCAACAGAGTGAGAGACCCCTAAAAAAAAAAAAAAAAAAAAAAAAAAAACAGGCTGGACGCAGTGGCTTATACCTGTGACCCCAGTGCTTTGGGAGACCAAGGCAGGCAGATTGCTTGAGCCCAGTGAGACCAGCCTGGGCAACTTGGCTGTCCTGTCTCTACATAAAAAATAAATTAAAATAAAAATTAGCCAAGCTTAGTGGCTCATGACTGTGGTCCCGGTTACTTGGGAGGCTGAGGTGGGAGGATCACTTGAGCCTGGGGAAGTCAAGGCTGCAGTGAGCCATGATCAGGCCACTGCACTCCAGCCTGGGTAACAGAGACACTGTGTCAAGAAAAACAAAAATAAAAACTATAGCTATGATATTCCAGTGGTACTTGACTCTGATCCTGGATTAGGATTAGGAAGTAGGATTAGAGGGTCATCTTTTAATTTCCTTTAAAATCATGAGATATTATAACCAATTCACTGAGTTTTTCTGTGCTACTCTTGTTTCAGATATCTACGTTAGGAAATCACTTTTTGCTTTAACGAAATTACCTCATTCACACCTTCCTAATATTTGCAGCACTTATCCTAGTAAGACCACAATTAAAAAGGATTTTTATTTTTCACAAGTGATTTAGAGAATTCCTGGTCCGACTTAGAGACAGAGGTTCTAAAGAAAAAATAACTTTATTGTTTTACAATTTGTGTCTTAGTAAAATAAGGGCTATTTGTTTTAAAGCCATTTCCATATCTGGTTTTTCAAATTAGCTTTCTTATTTGGTTCTTTTAGTTTTTAGGTCTACAGAGAGATGATTCTGAGCTGGTCACAGTAGATTTTTTAAATTTATTTTTGAAACAGTCTTTTTAAATTCTGTTCTGTGGATACATGGCTTTTTTTTTTTCTTCTTTTTTTTTTCTTTGAGACAGAGTCTAGGCTGGAATGCAGTGGCGCAATCTCGGCTCACTGCAGCCTCCATCTCCCGGGTTCAAGTGATTCTCCTGCCTCAGCCTCCTGAGTGACTGGGACTACAGGCGTGTGCCACCATGTCTAGCTAATTTTTGTATTTTTAGTAGAGATGGGGTTTCACCATGTTGGCCAGGATGGTCTCAATCTCTTGACCTCATGATGTGCCCGTCTTGGCCTCCCAAGATACTTATGTTTTTAACATTCAAAGATTCAGATCTGTTCACTGCATAAAGTTCTGACCCTGAAGCTGTCAGGCTGTGCTTAGGAACTGTCTCAGCACCAATCTGCCTCCCTGCACCATAGCTGTTGGTTTCTAAATACTCCTCCAGACCAGTTTTACCCTACAGAATGTTAACATCACATAATAATACATTGCAGCAGACTCTTGCTCTATTTATCCTTTTTCTAAATAGCTCTTTTGGTGTACTTACTATTCGTATCACTTGGATAATGCACATACACAACTTGGGATAGGAAAATTCATTTTAGGGTGTTGTGCCAGCTCTTCTCTTTCAGGCTGTGCTGCCATCCTTCCTGAACTTTAGAGATGCTTAATAAAAGCAAAGAGGGAAGAACTTGCTATTTGTTTATATGAATTCAGGTAAGAGAGGATACTTACCAGTGACAGATAATTCTTTAATAGATGGTTTTTGTGTTTCATTTTAGAATCACAAGAAGCTGATGAACAGCTTGTAGCAGAAGTGGTTGAAAAATGTTCATCTAAGACTTGTTCTAAACCTTCAGAAAATGAAGTGCCACAGCAGGCCATTGACTCTCACTCAGTCAAGAATTTCAGAGAAGAACCTGAACATGATTTTAGCAAAATTTCCATCGTGAGGCCATTTTCAATAGAAACGAAGGATTCCACGGATATCTCGGCAGTCCTCGGAACAAAAGCAGCTCATGGCTGTGTAACTGCAGTCTCAGGCAAGGCTCTGCCTTCCAGCCCGCCAGACGCCCTCCAGGACGAGGCGATGACAGAAGGCAGCATGGGGGTCACCCTCGAGGCCTCCGCAGAAGCTGATCTAAAAGCTGGCAACTCCTGTCCAGAGCTTGTGCCCAGCAGAAGAAGCAAGCTGAGAAAGCCCAAGCCTGTCCCCCTGAGGAAGAAAGCAATTGGAGGAGAGTTCTCAGACACCAACGCTGCTGTGGAGGGCACACCTCTCCCCAAGGCATCCTATCACTTCAGTCCTGAAGAGTTGGATGAGAACACAAGTCCTTTGCTAGGAGATGCCAGGTTCCAGAAGTCTCCCCCTGACCTTAAAGAAACTCCCGGCACTCTCAGTAGTGACACCAACGACTCAGGGGTTGAGCTGGGGGAGGAGTCGAGGAGCTCACCTCTCAAGCTTGAGTTTGATTTCACAGAAGATACAGGAAACATAGAGGCCAGGAAAGCCCTTCCAAGGAAGCTTGGCAGGAAACTGGGTAGCACACTGACTCCCAAGATACAAAAAGATGGCATCAGTAAGTCAGCAGGTTTAGAACAGCCTACAGACCCAGTGGCACGAGACGGGCCTCTCTCCCAAACATCTTCCAAGCCAGATCCTAGTCAGTGGGAAAGCCCCAGCTTCAACCCCTTTGGGAGCCACTCTGTTCTGCAGAACTCCCCACCCCTCTCTTCTGAGGGCTCCTACCACTTTGACCCAGATAACTTTGACGAATCCATGGATCCCTTTAAACCAACTACGACCTTAACAAGCAGTGACTTTTGTTCTCCCACTGGTAATCACGTTAATGAAATCTTAGAATCACCCAAGAAGGCAAAGTCGCGTTTAATAACGTGAGTGACAGTGGGCGCTGGGTGTCGTGCTCTGTGTCTTGTCTGTTGAGTTTGGCAGCCAGCTACTTTTGGCTTTGGTGAACTGAATTTACCTTTGAGGTGCACCGAGGTTCATACAAAGCTTATAATGTTATCCTGCAGTCTTCACTGTTTGGCTTAACTGTTGTGTGGAATCAGAAATACCAGAGGTTTCCTTTTCAGATTGTTGTCTTTTTTCTGAATCCTTAGCTTAATCAGCTAAGCTCTTTTCCCTTGACCCTAGAGACTTTTTTATGTTTAAAAAAAATAGACCAGTCACGGTGGCTCACACCTGTAATCCCAGCACTTTGGGAGGCCGAGGCAGGTGGATCACTTGAGGTCCAGAGTTTGAGACCAGTCTGACCAACATGGTGAAACCTGTCTCTACTAAAAATGCAAAAATTAGCTGGGCGTGGTGGTGCACACCTGTAGTCCCAGCCACCCGGGAGGCTGAGACATGAGAATTGCTTGAACCCAGGAGGCAGAGGTTGCAGTGAGCCGAGATCACGCCGCTGCTCTCCAGCCTGGGTGACAGCAAGACTCCATCTCAAAAAAAAAAAAAGAATGGCATGAGATAGACAGGTAGAGATTTGATGGTTTTCAGAAATCCTGGCTGGACTGTTAGGAGTCGTGTTATAGACAATTCAAATGTCACTGCTGGCCACCGTCTTCATACTCTATGGATAAAACAGAAATTCCAGTCCTGTAACTTACCTCTGTAGCGTCAATAACGTGGGAAATGATCCAAAAGGGTCTTGTAGAAAGAAGACTTTTTACATAAACAGAAAGCTGTGATTTTTGTGGGAAACAAACCTACCACTAAAATTGATGAGAATTCTTGTCTCCATGTGTAATTTCTGGCTCATCAGCCAGGAGGTAAAATTTCAATAAGAATCAAGAATATTTTAAATGATCAGTTAAAACTGAGTAAATTAGTTGGTTTAGTCAATCCCCCATCTCTCCTGGGAAATTATCTGACTTTTGCAAGGTCCTTGGTGTTTTCAGTGTAATTACCTAAGGTCCTATTCCATATCAAGTTTCAGTTTAACTTTGCTACAGGATTACTTTATCACAAAACTTGAGTAGATGATAATACAATCATACATCACTTAGCCACAGGGTAAGCCACAGGGAAATGCATCCTTAGGTGATTTTGTTGTGTGAACATCGTCAAGTGAACTTACTCAAACCTAGGTGGTGAAACCTACTACACACCTAGGCTATATGGTACAGCCTGTTACTCCTAGGCTACAACCCTGTACAGCACATTATTGTACTGAATAGGTGCTAGGTGTGGTGGCTTACACCTGTAATCCCAACACTTTGGGAGGCCAAGGTGGGAGGATCCCTTGAGGCCAGGAGTTCAAGACCAGCCTGGGCAACATAGTGAGACACCCCCCCACACACACCGATTCCCTGTCTCTTAAAAAAATTTTTTTTAATTAGCTGGGAGTGGTGGTGCATGCCTGTAGACCCAGCTACTCAGGAGGTTGAGGCAGGAGGATTGCTTGAGCCCAGGAGGTTGAGGTTGCTGTGAGCCATGATTATGCCATTGTACTCCAGCCTGGCTGGCAGAGCAAGACCCTGTCTTTAAAAAAAAAAAAAAAAAAAAACTACTATAGGCAGTGTAACACAATGGTAAGTATTTGTGTATCTAAACATATCTAAGCATAGAAAAGGTACAGTAAAAATATAGTATAAAAGATAAAAAATAATACACCTGTATAGGGCCCTTACCATGAATGGAGCTTGCAGAACTGGAAGTTGCTCTGAGTGAGTCAGTGAGTGGTGAGTGAATGAGAAGGCCTTGGACATTACTGTACACTACTGTAGCTTCTATAAACACGGTACACTTCAGCTATGCTAAATTTATTTAAGTTTTTTTCCTTCAATAATAGATTAAGTTTAGCTTACTGTAACTTTTACTTTATCAACTTTTAAATTTTTTAAGAAGTTTTGACTCTTGTAATAAAACTTAGCTTAAAACACAAACACATGGTACAGCTATACAAAAATATTTTCTTTATATACCTATTCCATAAGTTTTCTTTGTGTAAAATTATTTATTTGTTTACTTTTTAAAATTTTTGTTAAAAACTAAGACACAGACACACACATTACCTAGGCCTACCCATTACCTAGGCCTACTCAGGATCGTCAGGACATCACTAGACAATAGTTTTTCAGTTCCATTATAACCCTACGGGACCACCATCGTATGCATGACTGAAATGTCATTACATGGCACCTGACTGTATATCCTTTTGTGGCCCTAAAAAGGGCCACATTTTACTAAAAAGTTTGAGTAAAATGTAGATATAAAGAAGGACCAATGAGATGCAGGATGAAATATGGGAGTATGAGAAGCACTGTGTTTGTACTTGTCACTGTAGATCAGTTGGGGAAATGCTTCTCAGCATTGCTATGACTTAAAGAAAAACTCCAGATATCATGGTGACTTACAGCAGAAAGGAAGACGCCCAGAGGTTTAAAGAGCAGAAGGATCAACTTCAGTACCAAGAAAGTAGAGAGATATAGGAACCAGTTCCTCAGCAGCCCCGGAATGGCTAAGGGGAGTGAAATGTCATTAGTAGCTCTCGATCTGTTCTTTGATTATATATAAGCAGTTAAATGGTTGTTGGAAAATATTATTGATTGGGTGCCCTCTTTTGTGGCTTTTAAGGTTGGTTACTCCTCTCTAGACAGCACTTAGGGTATGTACTGGGCACGTCACTGCCTAGGTACTTCCTCCCCTAAATGTGGGATGCTTCTGCATACTGAAGTTGATAAGGAGTCATTTGTGAGTCTTTGAGTTGCATGCAACCAATGCATTAAATAAGATGAAATCTGGGCCAAAGAAAGGGTAATTTATTCTACACTTTATATTCGGCAGCAAGAAGCACCGTCTCTCGAGTCCTGCCACCCTCACCCAGTAGCCTTTTTCCCCTATTCTGTTTTTGTTGAATGAACTTCTTGATCTAATACACTTAATAGGGCTTTTTTTAAGGCCTTATGCAATCAAAAATCTTGTCGTCTTGTTCTTTTTAGAAGAAAGGAGTGCTAGACCTCTTGGAAGTTTATTTTTCATCTGTAAATTTGAATTTGTGGCATTTCTGAGTGTTTCTACCAGTCTCCTTTGTAGTTGAGGTCTGTTCATCATTCACTCACTGGTGATAACATTCATGAATACGACATTTTTAATTTGTATCTCACCTCATAGAAAGAATTGTGCAGCTTTTACATCTGCCAGACTAGAGTTGAATATTCCAGTCTTTACATGATTTTTTTCTCCATCTGTCTGTCTCTTTCCTGTCTCTAATTTTGTTGGTGCATCAGGACTACTGAACAAGTGAAATTTCTCTGTTTTCTGTTGTAAGTACTCCTGCTGTTTCTTTAGTCCCTGGGACCGTTGGCAGTTTCCTCTCTCCCCTCCCCCAGCCATCTCTCCATAGCATGTTTGCTTCTAATTCTGAGTTTGATCTTCTGATGATTTTTTTGCATTTCATCAGTCACTTCATGAGTCAGCTTAGCCTTGCAGTTGTCCATACCTAAGGGAGTGGGGCTTGGCCTTTACACCTTAGGTGCTAGAGCTTGCACTCCCTGGCTTGGCAGGTGTCACGTGGCGCTTTGACAATACCAAAAGCTGGCTTGGCCCCAAGATCATCACAGCAGTGGTTTGAGGGACTGTTCTGCTATTTAATATTGGAAATCATTGGCTTTTTTGGTAGCATAAAGCTACTGGCTTGGAACAGTTAATAAATTTTACTGAGTCAGCTCAACTTGAGTTTGGTGGCAGAGGGTAGCACTCAGTAAGAAGATTAGGGAAAGAAGATCATGAACTAGTGATTATGCACATTCCGGTAACTTATGTGCTTGTCTTTGTATTTTTTCTCACAAAAGAAAAAAAGTTGCAAATAATTTTTTCTCTTTTTTTGGTCACAGTGGTGTTTTTCCTGGAAATTCTAAGTTTATTAGAACAGAATCTGAATTAGTCCTGTGATCACAAGTTGTGTGCTAATCTACAAATAACAGATGGTTCAAGCTTCCCCAGTTTCAGGCTTTGTGCAGCGTGTGACATTCATCTTCCATCTTACTACTTAATAGGAATGGTAACAGTTTACTCACATATTTTTACTTTTATACTTTTTATTGATGACAGTTCTTCTCTGTGAGCACACAAGTCTAACTGGAACTGTTTTATGAGACGTCTATGGCTTTTAGTGCAATAAAGAATTTTTAAAGAATTTGGTCCAGCGTGATGATTTTTCTAATGAATGTCAAAGCCAAGCGAGTGAGGCTCAGAGGAACTGAATGTCTCCAGCTGCTAAGGCTCTACTGTCTGCAAAGCTTTTGGTGGCGTGTAATTAAAAACCATAGACATCAGAGTGCTACTGTTTGACAACTCATAGAAGCAAGCTGAGGGGGTCTTTTCAGAGAATGAGCCCCGCTTGTAGGTCTTTGCTTACCCCGTCTCTCTGGAGAAAACTCAGAGGCATAAAAGGTGTCCCTGCCTCTCTCCTGCGGCGATGTATGATTTGTGTGGTGCTGTATGCTTTGGCTTCTATCCGCACACACTGCTGTCTGCTCCATTTCATACCTTGACAATTGTCAGTGTGATTGCAAACTGGCTTGTTTGTGTTTCTTCTCTTTCCAGGAGTGGCTGTAAGGTGAAGAAGCATGAAACTCAGTCTCTCGCCCTGGATGCATGTTCTCGGGTGAGTCTGTGCCCATCTCCAGAATGTCTCTGAGACCAGGGGTCCTCCAGTGGGAGTTTGCATCCCCCTGGCGGGTGGTTCAAAAGGACTTTCCAATGGGTACCTGAGTACTCAGCTTTAAGAAGCCAATTTCCAGATCCTTACTGTCCCTGAAGAGAAGGCCCCTGAAGACAAGGGAACCCTTTCACAATGACTCTTTTTTTTTTTTGGTAAAATTCCCACTTTAAATGCTACAAAGATGCATCACCACAGGGTGTGAAAGTCTCCAGGGCACCGAAGGGAAGATCTGAAATACTGGTGTAGGTTCTAATAAGATAATTGACTCTAATAACTGGATGGTATTTTTCTTAAGTCAGATGGTTTTCTAATTCATTGCTTTCAACAATAGAGGAAAACCTGAGTTGTCAGCTGATAGGTCTAAAAATAATGTTTGATGGTAGATTTTTTTGGGCACATAACTTGGAAAGGGGTTCAAAGAATTGAAAGGCACTTATGTTACAGAACTACTTTCTGTTTCATCTATTGTTTATATAAATAAGGTTTCTTAATGATTATATTGATAAAAATAGAAACCAGGAATAAAATTGATGTTGACCTTTGTTACATTCTAGCAATAAATAATATCCATCCATGACCGTATAAACTAATTGCAAAACAAAGCGAAGCCCAGGCCCATCTGATTGCAATGAGATCCTTTTGTTCTTTTTAAAACTTTCTCAGTATACTTATTACAGAAATACATTCATTGGTTAATAGAGTTCAATTTAACATAACTTTTCCTCTACAATTTGGATCAGAAACTTGGTATATGGTGTAAGATGTAAAAAAGGGGTGTGATGGGGGAAATTTACAATCTGAGTTATTTTTCATCTGTTAACAAATGTGTAACATTCTCCCTCAGATTTTGCTAAAGTAGGCAGCAAGAACTATGAGAAATTTATCTTTGGTTTTCTTTAAAAAACAAAAACAAAAACCCAAAACCCATATATTTAGTGCACTGTAAAAGTTTTTAAGAATTAGTGCAATAAAACATTTTGTAATTGATATAACAACTTACTTTTGTGTCTGATAATACTTATCAAAACTTGCAATATTTTGAAAATAAGTTGTGCATTAATAAATGTGATAAGTCTCCAGCAGAAAAAATTTTAAGACTTAAAGAAAAAAGTTTCACAGAGACATTGGATAGAGACTTTTAAAAAGACTTTCAACCATGCAGATGTTTTTCATTTGGATAGTTTCTTGATGGAAGTGGGATGGAAATACAGATTTAGAGAGGAAAAGGAATAACATAAATTTCTGACTTATTCAGGAACTTGTTCATTTAAATTTACATATGGTATCAAATCACTAAGGTAACTAGATAGCATTAAGTAAATTCAATATTTAGAATATTCCAGATATTACATTCTTTGCAATTATTTAAACTTATGCCAAAAAGTTTTTAGATGTCACTTGAAAATGCAATGGGGGACATAGATTTTCAAAAAAAAATTAGGTATATGAGCAAAAAAATTGAAAACCATTGTCTTAAACCACTGAAACTGCTTGCTTATAAACTTAACCTAGAGAAGATCATTTTTTAAAACCTCAGACTCAAGTTACAGAAACTAGGTTCTATAAAACAGCATCTCACAATTGAAAGACTCCAACTTCCTCCTTGCTTTGTACCCAGGTCTGTGGTTAACCTCTCACATATCTGTATGGAGTTGTGTCTACTTTGTTCCATTCATGGGATGTCACTTTTCCCCATTGCTTGCCCTCCTAAAGGGTAGCATCTTCTCTGTTGTGTTTCTCAGGATGAAGGGGCAGTGATCTCCCAGATTTCAGACATTTCTAATAGGGATGGCCATGCTACTGATGAGGAGAAACTGGCATCCACGTCATGTGGTCAGAAATCAGCTGGTGCCGAGGTGAAAGGTGAGCCAGAGGAAGACCTGGAGTACTTTGAATGTTCCAATGTTCCTGTGTCTACCATAAATCATGCGTTTTCATCCTCAGAAGCAGGTATGGAAGCATATCTTCATCTTTCTAATGTACATAAGCATGGAAATGCCTGAAAGCCTAATAAAGCAGGAGGAGCCTTACAGAGATTAAAGAATTGGGTCACTTGAAGGATAGATTTAGGATGCTGACCTATGCTTTGCTTCTTTACCTGGAAAAGGGACACAAAGTGCTTATTGAAGTACTAGGAACGTAGAGATACTTGTGACAAGTTGTATAGGAGATGCTGATGTATGTGAGACTGCTTGAATTTCTTTATAATTTTATGTGAATATGGCCATATCTTAAAGTATAGTGGTGTGTTAGTTCATTTGCGTTGCTGTAAAGGAATACCTGAGAATGGCTAATTTATAGGAAAAAGAGGTTTATTTGGTTCATGGTTCTGCAGACTGTAGAATAAGCATGGCACCAGTGCCTGCTTCTGGTGAGGGACTCAGGAAGCTTCCAATCATGGTGGAAGGCAAGGGGGAGCAAGTGTGTCACATGGCGAGAGGTGGGAGGAAGAGGGGGCGGGGAGGATGCCAGGCTATTTTTAACAAAGATTTCACAGAAACTAACAGCAAGAAGTCGCTCATTACCACAAGGAGGGCACCAAGCTATTCATGAGGGATCCGCTCCTATGACCCAGCCACCTCCCATTAGGCCTCACTTCCAACTGTTGATCAGGTTTCAACATGAGATTTAGGGGGCAAATATTTAAACTATATCAAATGGCCTATAAATATGTCATATGTTTGACTTTTTTGTGATTGTTATACTCATTGTTTAACTTAGAGAAATAACAACTGACATGTATGGTGCCTTACCATGTACAGGCATTGTTTTAAGTGCTTTGCATATACTCATTCATAGCAAGGTGTTACCCTTTTCTCACTTCTTCAGAGAAACAAAGTAAGTCAAAGAAGTTAAGTGACTTGATTAAAGTCACTTGGCTAGGGTAGGACAGAAAAGTGGTATCTTTTTCCTCACCACAAGGTTCATGGCTGAGACATCTCTAACAAAAGATCAACAAGAGAAAAGTGTACAAATATATTTAATATAAGTTTTACATGACATTAGAGCCTCCAGAAATGAAGACCCAAAGGAACAGGGAAAACTGTACTTTTATAGATAGTTGTGCAGAAGTATAATTGGAGGACAGAAGGGTGTGATCTGTGGTAATAAACCAGGGGAACTTAGCAAGTCCTGTTTGTTCCAATTCCTCTTGGTGTCTGTGTCTTTCAGGATAAGGACATTGTTTTTCTCTGTGTACAGGGAGGACCCCTCTTGTAATGAGGTCTTATGAACTATTTTCAGGGGAAGGTCTGAGGGGTTGCTTTATGGCCTGCTTCAGGAAAGGGGGCAGGAGAGGGGCCGAGAGACCTCCCTGCTTCTGCTGTGTCCTCAAATGCGAAGGCACCATATTTTGGTGAAGTGTGTTCTGAACCTCATCATTAGTAAATGGTAGAACTACATTTGACTCTAAGCAGTCTGGTTCCATGGTCTTTTCGCCACAATGCCAAAGTATGAAGAGATTATTTTCATGATACTAGGCTACTGTAAATTTTCCTGGTACAGATGTGGTAAGTTGAGATTGACCAGTGCACTGTAAAATCTTTCTTAACATGCCAATGAGGAACCTGGGCTAACCAGGGTGGAAGCCTCTTATTGATGGACTCATCAGATCATTCTAGAGCTAAGCCCCTCTTTCTTGGGACCCCAGTTACATCCTTGGCCTTAAACTTTACTTATGAAAAGTTTAGAACCATGTTCCTGACTACATTAAACATTATTAAAAACTCAGATCTTCTTAACATAATTTTATTCATGGGCTTTTATGTATAGAATTTTAAAAGTCATGATCTGCCATTAAGCCAGGGAAGCAGATGGAAAGTCAGGACTTGGAGCAATTTATTCCCCCTGGCCTCCTTCTCATCCCAGGCCTCAGTCTCTCATCTATAAAATAATATGCCAGGCATTGTTCCTGATTTCTTCCAATACTGTCTTCTGCCCTGACATCTTTCCCAAAGATATTGTTCACCATTCCCCCAGTTTCTTGGGGTTAATCCTGAGTATTCTTAACACCTGCCTTGGTTTTTTTCCATCTGAAGTGTCTTCCTTTGCTGCCTCTTACACAGATCTGCACATCCCTTCAGGTCTCTCCAGCATGCTTTTGCTCCCACATTTCCTTTCCCCCTTCCTGTTCCACAGTACCTAGCGCAGTGTGTTAATTACAGGAAGGTAATATTATAAACTTACTGAGGTTAGAGACTACCACTCATCTTTGAGTCACCTTTGACACAGTACATGGTAAACATTTATTGAATTATATTCTTCCTCACTAGAGGAAATTCCTTCAATAAAAATTTATGTAGAGAGCTGGGGCCCTGTACATACAGTGCTGTCTTCAAAGTTAGCAAACAGCAAGGGGAACATATTTAAACAAGTGGTTACATTGTAACTGATCAGCCGCATCACAAGCAAGTGGAGGCTGCGGTCCTGGGTGTGGGAATGGCTACAGGCCCTGTTAGGTGAATCCTGACTGTGTCCTGGTGAGTGTCCCCTTGAAGCTGGGTCCTGATGGATACTTACTAGATGTTCTCCAGGAAATGAGATTTTCACACAGCCATGGGAAGAAAGCTGCCACGTTGGTAAAAGGCCTGGTTGCTTTCTGTAAGTATCTGGCCAAGTGGGAAACAAGGTCATACCGTGGAATCTGGGCTTGATCCTATAGGTAGGGAGGGGGAGGTTGAAGGTTTTTGAATAAGGGAGTGATGGTCACATTTGTGTTTTAAATAATTAGCTATTGACAACAATAGTAGTTAGTGATTGCCATGTGGAGGATTGTAACTTTAAACTTTTGTATGCTTTTCTGTATTTTTATGTTTACTTTAATGAGTGCATCTTCTGGTTATTTTATTTTTTATTTTTCTTATTTTTGAGACTGAGTTTCGCTCTTGTTGCCCAGGCTGGAGTGTGGTGGCGCTATCTCAACTCACTGCAACCTCCAGCTCCCGGGTTCAAGCGATTCTCCTGCTTCAGCCTCCCAAGTAGCTGAGATTATAGGCATGCGCCACCACGCCCAGCTAATTTTTGTATTTTTAGTAGATGAGGCTTCGCCATGTTGGCTAGGCTGGTCTCCTGACCTCAGATGATCCACCCACCTTGGCCTCCCAAAGTGCTGGGATTACAGGCATGAGCCACTGTGCCCAGCCATCTTCTGGTTATTTTAAATGTCATCCTCTACCCTAGTAGAGTAGAGGATAGACCTGAGACAAGGAAGCCCATTTGAAGGGGTGGAGGGGAGAATGAGTTTAGTTTCGCTGCCTTGAATTTTAAAGCTTATTATCTTATCTGCTGCATTAATTAGATCAAGGCCACCCTTCTGGGCTGGAATTTAAATTCACTCCGACTTGATGATTAAAAAAAAGCATTCAGTGTTACACAGTGTCCCCTTTCTGAAATAATGCCACAGTTAGTACGACACATTTTTCCAAACTTTTAATGGACACAAGGGGGCAGCCTTGCTGTTCTTTCAGCCTGAAGGCTGACGACCTGTTTGTGGCTGACTAACCATGTGCTCCTCTTCTGAATGTCATGGACTTATAACAGCACTCAACAAAATGCCAGCGCTCCTTTTAAATAAAATCTTAAAATGCTTTTCATGTGTTCATAAGTCATTCTCGCCTGCACTGGGGTTTCCAAGAGCCTTTCACTAGGGAGGAAAGGAACCGACTTCTTGGGATAACTATAAAAATGACTTTCTGTCTTAGGCATAGAGAAGGAGACGTGCCAGAAGATGGAAGAAGACGGGTCCACTGTGCTTGTAAGTTCCTGAATGTGGAGGGCCGGGTGGACTCAGGTTTCTTTCAGTATTTGTTTTGAAGCCCATGTGAATTTGTTAAATTCTGGTCAGTGTTAGGTGATGAGGATAAAATGTAAATGAGATAGTTTCTTCACTTGAGGAACACATAGTCTCTGCATTGTAACCCTAGCCGCAGGTAGCTGTGGAGCACTTGAACTGTAGCTACTCAGAAAAAGAAGAAGCATAAATGTCTCAACTTTTTATATTAACTACATGTTGAGATGATAATATTTTGGATGTCTTGGGTTAACTAAGGTTTATTATTATCATTATTATTGTTGTTATTATTATTATTATTTGAGACAGTCTCACTCTGTTCCCCAGGCTGGAGTACAGTGGTGCAATCTTGGCTAACTGCAACCTTCACCTCCTGGGCTCAAGTGATCCTTCTACCACAGCCTCCCAAGTAGCTGGAACTAGAGGCACGTGCCACCGCACCCAGCTAGTTTTTGTATTTTTTGCAGAAATGGGGTCTTGCCATGTTACCTAGGCTGGTCTCAAACTCCTGGGCTCAAGCAATCTGCCCACCTCCGCCTCCCAAAGTGCTGGGATTACAGGCATGAGCCCCTGCACCTGGCTGGTTTACTCAGTTCTTTTTTTTTTTTTTGAGACAGAGTTTCACTCTTGTCACCCAGGTTGGAGTACAGTGACGCAATCTCGGCTCACTACAACCTCCACCTACTGGGTTCAAGCAGTTCTCCTCCCTCAGCCTCCTCAGTAGCTGGGATTACAGGCATGCGCCACCACGCCCAGCTAATTTTTGTATTATTAGTAGAGATGGGGTTTCACCATGTTGGCCAAGCTGGTCTCAAACTCCTGACCTCAGGTGATCCACCTGCCTTGGCCTCCTGAAGTGCTGGGATTACAGGCATGAGCCACTGCGCCCAGCCCATTTACTCAGTTCTTAAACTTTAAACTTCCTAATTCCCAACTGATTCATCCATAAAATGAGTAGCACCCATCTGCCTTATCAAAGTGGTTGTAAGGATAAGATGAAATGACAACGTGAAAGATTTAAGCTGTAAAGTGCTAGAATACACTAGTGTGCTAGAATACACTGTTGTGTTAGAATACACTGGTGTGGTGTTGATAGGAAACACGTGGAAAAGAGAGTGGAAAGGAAGAGAGTGAAAAAGAAAAATGGCAAACACTGTCTCTGAAGCCAGCTGGTGAGGAACATATCATATGCTGTGACCTTTTAAAAGCAACTCCTTTTGAACTTCCCAACATAAATTAATTTCTGCTTCCTTAGAACATTGAATAAACATTGTATAAAGAAATTTCACCATGCAAAACATTGAATGAAAAAATCATCTATTTAATCCATCATTCACTTTTTAAGTTTATCTGTGTTGCTCTGAAGTCCATTCTTATGTGGTCTTGTGCCCAGCAGTAGGTGGTGGCTGGACTAAGGCCAGAGTACAATCAGTGGTAGGAGTCAGTCTCTCCTTGCTTTTCAGCTGTTGTTCCACAGCATTTTTCACGTAAGAAGTTAACTTTTCTTTTTAAGTTTTAAATGTTTTAAAAGGTGAGTTCATTTGGCTTTTTTGGGCACGTCTCTGTTAGAGTACGGCAGGGGCTGATACTGCTCTCTTGTGATTGAGGACAAATGAGCACAGTCAGCACACTGCCACAGATTAGTGATGCGAATTCTCCACAGCCACGGGAATCAGTGGCATCTGTGCTCACTGTAAATTTGCAACCGGGAGTCCATTGAGTTCTGTTGTCTATAGACTGGTCTTTGTTGGTCCTCAATTGTGAATGTTTTGAGGGACTGGGAGAAGCACTGGCAAACATGAAATAAAGCCCTTTTGGAAGGATATGATTGATTGATTTAGCGTCTTCATTAAAGACATATTAGATGGCCCAGGCCTAAAACAGATCTTCTGGCCAATTCTCTGTGATGGTAGATTCTATAACAAGCTTGTCCAACTTGCTTAATTTTGTTGTTGTTGTTCTGATTGGTTTTGTTTTAGGCTTTTAGCAGCCTGAAGCCATAGTTTTTAGTTTCTGTCTCTAGTGATAAGCGGAAAAGAGGGATGAGGAAGGGGCTTTACTGCCCCAACCAGAAACAGAAACTAAGAACCCATGACTGCATTCTCTCCCTTGGACACCCCTGTGAAATGTTCTGCACTTTTTGATAAGCAACTTAAAGGACTAAGGAATGTAAAAAGTTAAATCCTAGGAGACTGGAAAAGATGGCTAAAGTAGGCAAGGGCATACATTCCTGCCCTGACACCTGTAAGAGTTGTTGCATTTTGAGTAGTGAGGTTTGTAAATGTGGCCAGGCAGAGAGGAGAGTGGCTGGGGAGAGTCGGCAGGCTGAAGAGCCCACTCACCTGGAGACATTAAACACCATCTAAGGTTTGATCTCCTACCGCCTGCTCAGGATGCTGCCTCTTCCAGACCCCACATGTGTTAGCATTGAGTTGTTAAGCAGGCAGACTGAATTCATTTACCCTCTCAACAAATGAATGAGATGCTGAACTCTGTAATGGATGTTGATGTTTTCCTGGCTATGAAGATTTTTAGGGGGCGTATTTCCCATATTCTCACGAACTTGGTAGCCATGGAAAGCACTGAGAGTCTGTTTCCTAAAGTTGACTTAACCTGGGGACTCTGGCTTAAACTAAGAACTCAGAAGAGACTGACCCATGAAATGTTGTTAATTTAGAATCAGAAGTTTAACAGTGAGGTGAATCAAGTCTCAACTTGACCTCCTGTATTACCTCCCTTTAGGCAAGTAAAAGTTTCTTGATAAGAAACAAGGCACAGGAAGTTAGTGAGATGATTCAAATGTCCAGGGGTGTATCAGCTATCTGCTGCTGTGTAACACATTACTCCAACACTTAAAGCAAGTGTTTATTATCTCATTGTTTCTGTGCGTCAGGAATCTTGGGCAGCTTTGCTGGGTGCCTCTGACTCAGAATCTGTTACAGGCTGTGCAATCCAGGTGTTGATCAGGGCTGCAGTCATATCCAGGCTTGACTTGGGGAGGATCTGCTTCCAAGCTCACTCATGTGGTTGTTGGCAAGTCTCGGGTCCCCACTGGCTATTGGCAGAGACATCGGCTCCTTGCCACGTGGGCCTTTCCCTGTAGCTTCTCAAAACATGGAAGTCAGAGTTTGTTCAGAACCTAACCTCAGAAGTGACATCCATGACGTTTGCCATATTCTAATGAGTCACTAGGTCCAGCCTACACTCAAAGGGAAGAGATTACAGAGGGAGGGGATTAGTACTGGAGGTAGGGGTTACTGGGGGGCATTTTAGAGGCTGCCCACTGCAAGTGCCTTCTGGTTCTAGTGGTAGATTTTTCCCAAGAGAGAAAAGAGAGGTTTTGTGGGTACCTTGGACTTCTGTTGGCATGGTGGGCTGCCCTCCCCCAAATGCTGCTGGAACATGGGCACTGCCAGCTTGTGGCTTTTGTATTTTGCTTTTCTGTGGCCTGAGACAGGTTTCTATTTTGGGCCCATGGCTGAGGTCTGTGAAGCTGCATGCTAAAATTCTGTTTCTGAGCATTTTCTAGAGAGAGGGTAAAACTATAATGACTCTGAAAAATTTAAAAGCCACTCATCTACGTTCACCTTGGACTTTCTGTTTAGTGTTGATTCACACAAGATGTAACTGATTGATTATAATCAGTAACTAATTGATTAGTTATCCCACATTTAAGATTAAGATTATTCCAGGTCACTTTGGCATTTTGGATGTTCCCAAAGTATTAGATGACTCATTTATATAAAAAGTTTACTTCTGGCCAGGCGCGGTGGCTCACGCCTGTAATCCCAGCACTTTGGGAGGCCGAGGCAGGCAGATTGCAAGGTCAGGAGATTGAGACCATCCTGGCTAACACGGTGAAACCCCGTCTCTACTAAAAATACAGAAAAATTAGCCGGGCGTGGTGGCGGGCACCTGTAGTCCCAGCTACTCGGGAGGCTGAGGCAGGAGAATGGCGTGAACCCGGGAGGCGGAGCTTGCAGCGAGCCGAGATTGCGCCACTGCACTCTAGCCTGGGCCACAGAGTGAGACCCCGTCTCAAAAAAAAAAAAAAAAGTTTACTTCCGTAGGTAGGAGGAATAGCCAGCAAAAACGTCTTTTAGGAAGGAAAATAGTACAAAGTCCATGTTCTCATGAAAAGAAAAGTTTGCCAGTGTTTTGCTCTGGAACCTGAGCTTATGAAAGAAGCTCCTCAGAG
Source organism: Homo sapiens (assembly GCF_000001405.40). Taxonomy (NCBI): domain Eukaryota; kingdom Metazoa; phylum Chordata; class Mammalia; order Primates; family Hominidae; genus Homo; species Homo sapiens. The sequence continues at coordinate 38,835,412 of NC_000008.11, forward strand.
CTTCTGAGCCAGCACCTCAGAGGGCGAAGTGCTGCCAGAAGGGAGTGGAAAACTTAGTAGCAAGGAAGAACCAACACACAGGCATGGTCCTTGACTTATGTATGGCCATTTTGCATATGGGCAACAATGGCACACACCCAGCAGGCTGGGTTACAGCAGGAGGTCGCTGCGGAGCAGCGGAAGTTCAGGATGATCCTGAATCATCCGGGTGAAAGGGTGGGGGTGAGAGTTCAGAGTTCAAATATATTTGCTATTTCTGCCTTCTTAGGCCTGAAAGTTAGTATTTTAGAAACATTTCCATCTGCAGTGGCTAAAGATACATACAAAGCATCAATATGTAACAGGAGCAGCTGTCACTTGTTTTTGTTTTTGCTTTTTTAAAAAAGAAATTCCCATTTACATGGAGCTTATCCCCAGAAACTTAATCATGGGTGTGTTTCTCTTTTATCCATGTGGTTCTTTGGTGACTGACCGCTATTATAAGTACACTTTCTCCCTTTTAGATCAGAATAAAATTCTCTAGGTTATCTGCTCAACAGAAGCTAAGACCACTCTGATAGTCATTATAACAGTTTTTCTTTAGTTACTTCCATAATTAGATTTGTTTTTTAAAAAGCTTCCCCCCGCTGACTTTTCTTTAAACATGGTTTTAAAGGATGTGATCAATTTAGTAATGAGGAAGTTGTTGAAGGATGTCTGGGGTTAAGAAGCTGAAAGCTGACAGATTCAGTGTAATCCCTTTCCCCACAGGGGCTGCTGGAGTCCTCTGCAGAGAAGGCCCCTGTGTCGGTGTCCTGTGGAGGTGAGAGCCCCCTGGATGGGATCTGCCTCAGCGAATCAGACAAGACAGCCGTGCTCACCTTAATAAGAGAAGAGGTAAAAGCTCTCCTGTTTAGTCTGCTTATCACTCCATTTCTTTGTAAGGCCCATGTACCAGCAGGTAGATTGCATCTCTGCTGGCTCAAGTTATCACAGGCTGGAAGTTCTTATTACCTGCAGCTTGTTTAGGTCGTAAAAGGGCCCCCTGTGGCAGTGGTGCTGGAGTCCTGACATTCTGGTCTCCAGGGTAAAATGTTGACAATCTGAAATATTCTTAAGAATTTTGTACCCTTCTTTATCTTTCAGCCCTGACATTTAAAATACCTAATTTTGCCAGCTTTGCTCCCATGTGTAACTAAATCAGTGCTTTTATTTTACAGAGGATATATGCTAATGCCTAAAAACATTTGTAATTTTTTTGCAGTAATACACAGTTGTTTCCTACTTTCATCCATTCTTTAAACCGTTCAACTCTCCGATTCCTGTATTGTGTTTCTTGAACAGCCTTTGTTCAAAATAGATCACTGCTAGGCCTTTCCTGGTTATCTGAAAAATACGAAAGACACTGTTGTGTACCATTAATAAGTTGCCCACCCTCTCCTGTCATATATCTATGCTGTATTTTGTGTGTTTGTTTTGTGTGTTTCTTGACAATTCCACCTGTTCTTAAAGGAAGGTGTGGCAATTTTATTTTTATAGTTTTTAGTTTTATAGTTTTTTTTAGTTTTAATTTTTATAGTATGCTGAAAGTGGTTAAGCACCTCAGCTGTAGGTCTTTTACAGCTTTCTAAAATAGCATCAAGTTGGTAATGAGGGATGTCAGCTAGTCCTGTTTTCAAAACTTGGGAGCAGTGGTAATAAGGCCCACCAAAATCTTTTTTTTTTTTTTTTTTTGAGATAAAATCTTGGCGCAGTAGCTCATGCCTGTAATCCCAGTGCTTTGGGAGGCCAAGGCGGGCGGATCACCTGAGTTCAGGAATTCGAGACCAGACTGACCAACGTGGAGAAACCCCATCTCTACTAAAAAAAAAAAAAATACAAAATTAGCTGGGCGTGGTGGTGCATGCCTGTAATCCCAGCTACTTGGGAGGCTGAGGTGGGAGAATCGCTTGAACCTGGGAGACGAAGGTTGTGGTGAGCCGAGATCGCACCATTGCACTCCAACCTGGGCAACAAGAGCGAAACTCCATCTCAGAAAAATAAAAATAAAATAAAAGACAAGATCTCACTCTGTCACCCAGGCTGAGTGCAGTGGCACAATTATAGCTCATTGCAGCCTCGAACTCCTAGGGTCAAGCGATCCTCTTGCCTCAGCTGCCTGAGTAGCTGGGACTGCAAGCACGCACCACTGTCCCTGGCCAAAATCTTGTAAATGAGAAAAATGACTTGATGTTTTTCCTGGGAGTTAAACTATGAGATCACCACCTAATGGATCAAAGTAAAGAGGTGCCTGATTACCTGAAGCACACAGGATACATCCTTCTATGTTCTTGAGATCCTAATAAATATAATGAAACTACCAATTAGGAAGAGAGCGGCACGGCCAGGGAAGTACAGTAAGAGGCTGCCCATGCAAGCCCAGCCCAGGGCAAATAGAGTTTGAGGCAATGAATTTAGAGTATTTCCTTCCAGTTAGCAAGAGCATCCCAAATATGAGCCTAGGTTCCAGGCTAACTAGCAAGACTCTACCCATAAGTGACGGATGCTATAGCTAGATGTAGCCAGCTCATCTGAGCCCCCTCCTTCTGACTCCATTTCTATGAAGCTGTCAGAAATCTCTATAGAAAGAGAATGTGTTGCTCATGCCAACTTCCAGTGGTCTGACTTTGTGGCAGTTTCACTCTGGTGGCCTGGCATCAGCCGTGATTACATGGCCTTAGTTAAGAGTGAATACCTGCCAATCAGATGGCTCTGTTCTTGGTGTCTGTCCCAGTCAGGGCCTGGCCCTGCAGAGCTGAGAGCTAGACCCTGGACCAAGGTAAAGTTCACAGAGGCTGTAAATACTACTTGGGATTTCTGAGAGATGTTCTACTCATCTTTATTCCCGTGTCTGCATCCCAGCATTCAGTGTGGCTTAGAATACACTTTTCCAAATGGTTACAAACATTTAATATTGAAGTTTATATTTCTAATATAGATTGAACATCTTGGGTTAGACCTGGTTGTGTGCTATTTCAGTTCCCAGTCTTAAATGCAAATTGTAATAGATTGGGTAAAACTAAGCTTTATTGTACTCTAGATAATTACTAAAGAGATTGAAGCAAATGAATGGAAGAAGAAATACGAAGAGACCCGGCAAGAAGTTTTGGAGATGAGGTTAGACTGGAGGTTTTGGGGAGGGGCTGGATACTTTTATGCACTGTTAGATTTGATACAGATGAAGTGATGACAGTGTTTGCTTGCCACAGAACCAAGTGTTGAGAGCTTGAGGGCTTTGCTGTTTGCACCTTGCTTTGTGATTGAGAATGTTATTTCAGGAGTTATTGCTAACCAGTTATTATATTCAAATACTGTAGTTTATCTTGGGTTGTTCAGAACATATAACATGTAAACAGAACCCACATAATTCTTATCTTCTTAGAACTGACAGAAATTTGTATCAAAATATCCATTTGGAATACAGAAAAATAAGATTTATCCAATGATAGAGACACTGAAATTCATAATACTACTTTTTTTTTTTTGAGGCAGGGTCTCACTCTGTCATCCAGGCTGGAGTGCAGTGGTGTGATCATGGCTCACTGCAGCCTCAACCTCCTGGGATCAACTGATCCTCTCCCCTCTGCCTCCCAAGTAGCTGGGACCACAGGCATGTGCCACCATGCCTGCATAATTTTTTTTAGAGATGAGGTCTCGCTCTGTTGCCCAGGCTGGTTTGTAACTCCTGAGCTCAAGCAATGCACCTGCCTCAGCCTCCCAAAGTGCTGGGATTGCAGGCATGAGCCACAGCGCCTGGTCCATAATACTTTTTAAAAATTAATTATGCATGAGAGTTTCAAATTACATAACCACCAAATAGATGATAGAAAGCTTGTTAACAAGAAACAAAATTGATTGACTTGAAATCGAAATCTTTTTATTTTTCCTCACTTTTAGAAAGGAGAGTTATGAGCCATGAAATGACTAAAGATGAAATCAAAGTAGAGAAGAAAAAAAGGCATAAATAATTCACACACAGTGTGGTCAACACTTGAATGATTAAAAAACATTTTAAGTATATCCCTCTAATTTGTTGCTCTTTTATTATTTGTCTTTTAAGCATTTCCTAGGTGTAAGGCCCTTTGCTGGGCTTGATGGAAAGGAAGGGACATTCCTGCTCTTAGAGAGCGGTAGCCATCCATAATAACCAACTTGGATATGACGTCAAAAGTGATGGGGGCACCACCATTGAGGGCAGGGGAGGACGTGATGCGACTCACAGAGCACCCAGCACCGGACTGGGTCAGAAGGACATTGTCATTCTTCACTAGAAGAAAGGTTAACCCAAGAGGTTGATCTTTAAAGTCTTTGAATAAGTGAAATACTTTTGGAATTAGGACACAAAATAAAACTTGTCACTGAATCAGAGGTAGAGTGTCTGAAAGGGTGGATTGACTCAGGAAAGTCTAAAGTCAGATCGCATCTGTTAGGAAGAGCCCAGAAGAATATCTTTAACTTAGTTTGTAAAAGATTGACTCATCTAAGCAGAATGAATCTATTTCCTTGCAGTATTCAAATAGGTGCAAAGAGAAAGGGAAGGCAGTTGGTTCTATAAGTAAAATATAAGTTTGACTAAAGATAAAATCTTAACAAAAACCTTTTTAGAACCTTAAGAAACCTTATATAATGTAAAAAAAAAAAAAAAAAAAAGATAACGAGAGCCCCAAAGCAGATAAATGGATTACATACATTGTCAGTGTATGTTAATGTGTTTAATTGTTTGGGACAGCATTTCTCCAACTTTCATTGTCTGAAAATCCTCCTCTGGTAATAAGTTCTTTTTTTCTCATTTAGGAAAATTGTAGCTGAATATGAAAAGACTATTGCTCAAATGATTGGTAAGGAGAACATTTTGTTTTTTGAGGGTATGAGCCATAGGATCTGTCTTAGTCTGTTCAGCCTGGTATAACAAAATATGTAAGCTAGGTAGCTTATAAACAACAAACATTTTTCATAGCTCTGGAGACAGGAGAGTTCAAGGTGCCCACAGATGAGATGTCTGGGGAGGGCCCATTCCTCATAGAAGGGGCTGGCTAGCTCTCTGGGGTCTCTTTTATAAGGACACTAATCCTGACATAATCACCTCCCAAATTCCCTTCCATGCCCACTTTCACCCTGAACATACTCACACACTGGGGATTAGGTTTCAATACACAAATTTGGGGTTGGGGGGTGGCATAAACTATAAGACCATAGCCGGATCCATTTATGATTTTCAGACCATGTCACAAACTTGTATTTGTCTGTCACTTAGATACAGTCGTCTCATTATTCGTGGGAGGTATGTTCTGTAAAGTTGCTGCAAACACTGAGTTAGTGAATACTAAACACTGCTCCTGGCCTGGCATGGTGTCTCACGCCTGTAATCCCAGCACTTTGGGAGGCTTGGGTAGGTGGATCACCTGAGGTTGAGAGTTCGAAAACAGCCTGACCAACATGGAGAAACCCCGTCTCTACTAATAATACAAAATTAGCTGGGCGTGGTGGTGCATGCCTGTAATCCCAGCTACTCGGGAGGCTGAGGCAGGAGAATCGCTTGAACCTGGGAGGCGGAAGTTATGGTGAGCCGAGATCGTGCCACTGCACTCCAGCCTGGGCAATGAGCAAAATTCCATCTCAAAAAATAAATAAGTAAATAAACACTGCTCCTAGGGAAAAGACAGAGTTAGAGTCTTGCATCTGGCCACAACATTTTCATTGATTGATCAGTATATAACCTTGTTTTACGTGTGTTCCTGTTTAAAGACACCTTATTTAATATATATAGTTGATTCATTAACATTGAGCTCACAGTCAGCGGCACTTTGGCTCACGTCTGAACAGAGCTTCTGTAATGTATGTATTTTAAGGAACCTTACTGCCTTCTTGTGCTTGGTATCACTAGACAGCACTGTGGCACTGCCCTTGGAGGCCACTTAAAACAGTGAAGTCTCCGGCAAAAAGAACACAAGTGCAACAAACATGGCCTGAATAGACCAAAAGAAGAACACTTGTTTATAGAATGAATCAAGAAGGCAGAGTATTGCTTTGTTCACTGTCAGCTGAGAGCGTGCATATCAGGTGACTAAAGCATTTTTGCACTCTGCACACATCCACAAATGACTGTCAAAGTCCAGGAGGATAGATTTTAGGATTACAAATAAATTTTAGCAAGTAGGTGAATTGGGAGGTATGGACTTGGTGAATAATGAGGGTCAACTGTAGTTAGGTTCATTTTAGAAGATGGCAGGCCTTGAATTCTGTGACTGTTGGTGGCCTGGTCACATCACTAACACCCACTGGGAGCATCCTGTGTTTTGGTGCAGGGTTCTTACTCTAGTGCAGATTGTAATTTCTCTGCATCAGACCCAGCGGTGCCTTTACAAAACAACAGGGATTGATCCTCCTGCATGGAATTTAGAGTCTCTTCTCATCTATATCATAAGGATTGACTCCCTAAACCAGAGTCTGTCCTTTCTCCACTAAATTGCCGAAATGATACTTTCTATCATCCACATCACCTAATGCCTTCCCAGCTCAGGGCCTTACCACAGCTGTTCTTCTCTATGGAATATTCTCCCAGGTAGCTGTATGGCTCACATCCTCATTTCTGTCCGGTCTATGCTCAGATCTCTCCCTGAGAGCAGGTACTCTCTGTACAGTAACAGCCCCCTCCCCGCCCCCATTCCTCCTTACCCTGCCTTGTTCTTTCCCCATCACTTGTTACCACGCGTCTCCCCCAACTAGAGTATAAGCCATAAGAGCGGGAATTTGGTCACATCCCCGGCTGTGTCCCTACCACGAGAACACTGCTTGTCTTCTAAGGAGTGTCTATTTTTTGAATAAATATGTCATTCCTTTTGACTTGTGATTCCCAGAAGATGAACAAAGGACAAGTATGACCTCTCAGAAGAGCTTCCAGCAACTGACCATGGAGAAGGAACAGGCCCTGGCTGACCTTAACTCTGTGGAAAGGTCCCTTTCTGATCTCTTCAGGAGATATGAGAACCTGAAAGGTGTTCTGGAAGGGTTCAAGAAGGTAGAGTGTTTTTTCCCTCTGTCTCCTGGTGTATTTCCAGTAGTGTATTTCCTTGGTAACTGGTCATCAAATACATATGCCAGAGGTTGTGGGTATCCTTTTAAATAGGAGCTCAGGGCCTACTGGCCTTGTATCCTCTATTCCAGTGAAGCTGGATTTTTTTCCACATTTTTCCTTCTTTGGTTGTTCAGGCATCTGGCCCACTGGGTGCCATGTCTTGGCCATTCCTCTCCTGTGTCAAGCCAATAAGCCCCAGGCTGTGGCGTAGACTGCAAGAACTGTTAATTGAACCCTCAGACCTCAGGTGAATTCTAGAAATGTTCTTTCTGGTAATTCACCTTTTCAGTTTTAGTAAAAGGGATTAGAAGGAATTCCATGTCTCTGAAAAATTCAAGCTGCATATTCTAGAAGACATTAGTATAATGTTTCAAATTTAGATGTAAATGGGCCTGTTGATTTAATTTAACTTTACCATATCAACCAGACACAATTATAGCAATGAAATGGCTTTATTTTCATATTAAAATAAAAATGAAACTGGCCAGTTTATCAAATATGGAAATCGAATTGCCATTCAGTTTTGAATAACTGCCTTCCTAAAGTAGGCATATTGGTATAACTGACCCTTACTGTATGATATTGAAAATTAACACATGAAGACATTATGTAGAATTTCCTCAGTGAGAATTACATGTGGCTATTTCAAATTACTGCAGAGTATGAATAAAAGCCATCTGAATTAATTAGATTTTTCCATTCTTTAAAAAATGAAAACTCTGATATGTGGTAGATTAGAAGAAACAAAATGACCTGTTTATTTTCAATTTTTGCTTTGGAACAGAATGAAGAAGCCTTGAAGAAATGTGCTCAGGATTACTTAGCCAGAGTTAAACAAGAGGAGCAGCGATACCAGGCCCTGAAAATCCACGCAGAAGAGAAACTGGACAAGTAAGAGCTTGTAAATGTTGAATTTCACTCTTCATGATGTTGTGGGAAGATTGAGAGAGGAAAACAAAATCACTGTTTCGCAACTCCAGGTTGTATTTTTATGTGTGTGTTTATTTCACTTTTTAAACCCTTTTCCCATTGTTAAAACATTAAAAAGTAAAAAAAGGTATATCTGCTCCTGCCTCCTTCCACTGGGTTCCCATCTTTCTCTATGCCAGGTAATCACCATTGTTGGTTTCTGTTTTTTCTTCCTATTACAATTTTTTTCTTTTTTATATGATTATAGCATACTTCGCTATTTTTGCTTAGCAATATAATTTTGAGAATCTTTCCATGTCAGTGCAAGAAGAGCTTCCTCTTTTTTTTCTAATAGCCACATGGTATTCCATTGTTGGAATGTATCATTTATTTAACAATCCCCTCCTGTTAGACATTAAAGTTAATTCAAATGTCTTGCTGCCACAGACAGTGCTGTAATAAGTGACCTGGTAGGTGATCGTTTTGCATGCCTGTGAGTTATCTTTATGATCTGTATGTTAGAAAAGGAATTGCTAGACCAAAGCATATATGAATTTATAATTATAAGTGTTGTCAGATTGGCCCCATTAGACTTTTATCATTTGATAGCCCTAGATAATATATGAGAGCATCTCTTTTTTCTACAACTGTGCCAATAGGTCAACGTTTTTATTTTCTGCAAATCAAATAGGTGAAAATGGTATTTCAACATAGGTATTTGTTTTTGGCAAGCAACAGAGCATTTATTTATTTATTTTATTATTATTATTATTTTTTGAGACGGAGTTTCTCTCTGTCACCCAGGCTGGAGTGGAGCGGTGCAATCTAGGCTCACTGCAACCTCAGTCTCCCGGGTTCAAGTGATTCTCCTGCCTCAGCCTCCCAAGTAGCTTGGATTACAGGCACACGCCACCACACCCGGCTAATTTTTTGTATTTTTAGTAGAGACAGGGTTTCACCATGTTGGCCAGGCTGGTCTGGAACTCCTGACCTCAGGTGATCCGCCCGCCTCAGCTTCCCAAAGTGCTGGGATTACAGGTGTGAGCCACCGCGCCCAGCCCCAGAGCATTTATTTTAATCAATGTAATTTTGATTTGCATCTATCTTATGAATGAAATTGAATATATTTCACCATTCATTTATTAATATATTTGCTTTACTATGAATTACTCTATTCTTTGCCCATTTTCCTATTGTCATTTTATAGATTTTATATATTAGGGACACCAGCCCTTTGTGATAAGAATTTTGAATAATTTTTCAAGTTTATCATTTGTCTTTTGCGTCCACCTATAGTGTTTTTTGATATTCAGAAATTTACTTTTATGTGCTGAAATGTATTAGTCATTTCTTTTACAGCTTCTGGATTCTTTGTCATAGTAACAAAGATCTTCCCCATGCTGGATAGAAAATATTCTCCCATGTTTTACTTACACTTTATGGCTTAGTTTTTTTAATCCTTAAATCTAATACATTTGGAGTTTATCCTGGGGAGTGTTATCCAACTTGATTTTTTGTTGGTTTTTTTTGAGACAGAGTCTCACTCTGTCACCCATGCTGTAGTGCAGTGGCACAGTGTCAGCTCACTGCAACCTCTGCCTCCTGGGTTCAAGTGACTCTCCTGCTTCAGCCTTCCGAGCAGCTGGGATTACAGGCACCCGCCACCATGCCCAGCTAATTTTTGTATTTTTAGTAGAGACGGGGTTTCGCCATGTTGGGCAGGCTGGTCTCGAACTTCTGACCTCAAGTGATCCGCCCGCCTCGGTCTCCCAAAGTGCAGGATTACAGGCATGAACCACTGAGCCTGGCCTCCCAACTTGACTTTTTAACTAAAAGGTAATACATGCTTGTACATTTTGCTGCCTAAATTTCTATCTGTAGAAGCAGAAGTTCCCCTGTCCCCTTCCCACTCCCATAGTACTGTATTAGATTTCTTATGCATTCTTCTCCATAGGTTTTACAGATGCCTCTATATATTATACGTAGGTTTATTGTATATCCCTCTAGTCGTTTCTTTGTGTCTTTATAAATACTATGATTTTGAACTATAAAAAATATTTACAATATTGGAATCACATTAGACAAATTTCCTTTTTCCCTTAATAGCATATCCTGACCATTTTTTCATGTCAGAACATATAGCTGAATCTAATTCTTTTTATTAGGTCGTGGAACTATAGCATTTCTTTATTGATGGGCACTTAGTTACAAACTTTTTTACATTGAAGGTAACACTACAGCGAACATCCTGTGCACTCACTGTTATGCCAGGTGGGAGTATTTCTGTGAATACATAACTGAAAGTGGCATTGCTGCGTTGGAGGGCATGTACACTTTAAATTGCCCTGGTGACTACCACATTGCCCGCCACAAGGCAGCGCCAGTTTTCAGCCGCCCATTGGCACATGAGCCTGCCTGTCTCCTTGTATCTCGGCCCACACAGGACTGTCCTTGTTAATTTTTGCCAATTCAATCAATTTTCAAAGCTTATCATTTTAATTTACATGCCTCTGATTGCTAATGAGGCTTTAGCATCCTTTCATCAGTTTAATGGCTGTTCATCAACTGACATTTATGGTTTTTAAGAATGCCTTTCAGGCCGGGCGCGGTGGCTCACGCTTGTAATCCCAGCACTTTGGGAGGCCGAGGCGGGTGGATCACGAGGTCAGGAGATCGAGACCACGGTGAAACCCCGTCTCTACTAAAAATAAAAAAAAAAATTAGCCGGGCGTGGTGGCGGGCGCCTGTAGTCCCAGCTACTCGGAGAGGCTGAGGCAGGAGAATGGCGTGAACCCGGGAGGCGGAGCTTGCAGTGAGCCGAGACTGCGCCACTGTACTCCAGCCTGGGTGACAGAGCGAGACTCCATCTCAAAAAAAAAAAAAAAAAAAAAAAAAAAGAATGCCTTTCACATCTCATTAATAAACTCATTCCCTGTAGGCCCGTGTCTCACAGATGTCAGTGGTTAGTATCCCAACTCTAGCTGTGATCGTCTCCAAAATTATGCAGTCTGCTTTTGTACTGGTCTAAAAAAAAAAAAAAAATCTAAGACTGTTATAGAAACCATTTGCTAGTGAGATACAAATTTTGAAGTTGTCTGTAAATTGAATTTTTATAAATTAAAATGGAATTATTTAGGTCACCGATTTTTGTTTTTTTTCTCTCATGCAGTCAATTCTTTGAGGCCTGTGCCTCACAGATGTCAGTGGTTAGTATCCTGACTGGCTTTGACTAGTGGCTAATCATGTGCTTTTTGTCTCTTTATTACACCCAAACACCATAAACAGAGCCAATGAAGAGATTGCTCAGGTTCGAACAAAAGCAAAGGCTGAGAGTGCAGCTCTCCATGCTGGACTCCGCAAAGAGCAGATGAAGGTGGAGTCCCTGGAAAGGGCCCTGCAGCAGAAGGTACAGAAAGGGACCTGATCTGGGTGGCCACAGAGACGTTTGGTTTTCCTCCTCAGCAGTGACTCACTTAATGACAGATCTGGGTGAAAGAGGCCTTGGCTTTCTACTCAGACATTTCAGTCCAGCTCCTTTCTGAACTGATCCAGGTGGAAACAAACAAGTCAAACCATTAAATTTTCAAGCACATCATGTGGAAATCATCCACAGGCAGGGTGCAGAGAGGAAGTTGCATTTTAACTGAAGTTCAGAACAGCTTCCTAGTTGGGGTCATGAGACTGCCTTTCTTTCTTTCTTTGTTTTTTATGCAATATATTAATATGAAGCCATCTTCCCCCTTCATTGCTTTAGATCAGTGGTTTGCAGTTGGGGGCAGTTTTGCCCTCCAGGGGATGTTAGGTGTTAGGTAATGTCTGGAGATATATTTGTTTGGTTGTCACCACTGGGAGATGCTGCTGGTATCTAGTGCAGGAAGCCAGGGATGCTGTTAAACATCCTACAATGCACAGGACAGCCTCTGACAACACATTTACCCATCCTAAAACATCAGCAGGGCTGCTTTGAGAAACTGCTATAGATAAATGAAAACCAGGACTAGCAACAATCCCTGTTTCTCACTAAGCAATTTTTAGCTTTCCGTTTTTATATGTCTCCGGTGTATTTTCTTTACTGCATTTCCAATTATGTACTCATACCTGTGCCATCCATTCATCAAGAGCAGGAGTTTTTATCACAGGGTCTGTTAGCCCCTAGAACGGTGCTCCCTGGGAGATTCAGACTCCAGCATCCCTAGATATGCTAATGGATTGAGTGAGACCCAGATACTTATGTTTTTGACAAGTACCCCAGATAATTCCTCTGATAACAAGAAAATTGGGGAACTAAGAGATTCATGGACAAGTTTCAGAGGGCTGGTGACTGTCCTCACCCTTTACTCAATTTAAGCATGATTTTATGAGTACATTTTTTGAGGTGTGTAGCCTTTTTTTCTTTAAAGCATCTCTGATGTAGAAAAGTTAAAAATCACTGAATTAGGATGTCTAGGGTAGGGTAGATCCAGACTTGGGACTAGTTAACTCTATTTGCCTTTATTTCAGAATACAAAGTGGCCTGCATAATTATGTCATTTGTCTTTCAGAACCAAGAAATTGAAGAACTGACAAAAATCTGTGATGAGCTGATTGCAAAGCTGGGAAAGACTGACTGAGACACTCCCCCTGTTAGCTCAACAGATCTGCATTTGGCTGCTTCTCTTGTGACCACAATTATCTTGCCTTATCCAGGAATAATTGCCCCTTTGCAGAGAAAAAAAAAAACTTAAAAAAAGCACATGCCTACTGCTGCCTGTCCCGCTTTGCTGCCAATGCAACAGCCCTGGAAGAAACCCTAGAGGGTTGCATAGTCTAGAAAGGAGTGTGACCTGACAGTGCTGGAGCCTCCTAGTTTCCCCCTATGAAGGTTCCCTTAGGCTGCTGAGTTTGGGTTTGTGATTTATCTTTAGTTTGTTTTAAAGTCATCTTTACTTTCCCAAATGTGTTAAATTTGTAACTCCTCTTTGGGGTCTTCTCCACCACCTGTCTGATTTTTTTGTGATCTGTTTAATCTTTTAATTTTTTAGTATCAGTGGTTTTATTTAAGGAGACAGTTTGGCCTATTGTTACTTCCAATTTATAATCAAGAAGGGGCTCTGGATCCCCTTTTAAATTACACACACTCTCACACACATACATGTATGTTTATAGATGCTGCTGCTCTTTTCCCTGAAGCATAGTCAAGTAAGAACTGCTCTACAGAAGGACATATTTCCTTGGATGTGAGACCCTATTTTGAAATAGAGTCCTGACTCAGAACACCAACTTAAGAATTTGGGGGATTAAAGATGTGAAGACCACAGTCTTGGGTTTTCATATCTGGAGAAGACTATTTGCCATGACGTTTTGTTGCCCTGGTATTTGGACACTCCTCAGCTTTAATGGGTGTGGCCCCTTTAGGGTTAGTCCTCAGACTAATGATAGTGTCTGCTTTCTGCATGAACGGCAATATGGGACTCCCTCCAAGCTAGGGTTTGGCAAGTCTGCCCTAGAGTCATTTACTCTCCTCTGCCTCCATTTGTTAATACAGAATCAACATTTAGTCTTCATTATCTTTTTTTTTTTTTTTGAGACAGAGTTTCGATCTATTTTAAGTATGTGAAGAAAATCTACTTGTAAAAGGCTCAGATCTTAATTAAAAGGTAATTGTAGCACATTACCAATTATAAGGTGAAGAAATGTTTTTTTCCCAAGTGTGATGCATTGTTCTTCAGATGTTGAAAAGAAAGCAAAAAATACCTTCTAACTTAAGACAGAATTTTTAACAAAATGAGCAGTAAAAGTCACATGAACCACTCCAAAAATCAGTGCATTTTGCATATTTTTAAACAAAGACAGCTTGTTGAATACTGAGAAGAGGAGTGCAAGGAGAAGGTCTGTACTAACAAAGCCAAATTCCTCAAGCTCTTACTGGACTCAGTTCAGAGTGGTGGGCCATTAACCCCAACATGGAATTTTTCCATATAAATCTCAATGAATTCCCTTTCATTTGAATAGGCAAACCCAAATCCATGCAAGTGTTTTAAAGCACTGTCCTGTCTTAATCTTACATGCTGAAAGTCTTCATGGTGATATGCACTATATTCAGTATACGTATGTTTTCCTACTTCTCTTGTAAAACTGTTGCATGATCCAACTTCAGCAATGAATTGTGCCTAGTGGAGAACCTCTATAGATCTTAAAAAATGAATTATTCTTTAGCAGTGTATTACTCACATGGGTGCAATCTTTAGCCCCAGGGAGGTCAATAATGTCTTTTAAAGCCAGAAGTCACATTTTACCAATATGCATTTATCATAATTGGTGCTTAGGCTGTATATTCAAGCCTGTTGTCTTAACATTTTGTATAAAAAAGAACAACAGAAATTATCTGTCATTTGAGAAGTGGCTTGACAATCATTTGAGCTTTGAAAGCAGTCACTGTGGTGTAATATGAATGCTGTCCTAGTGGTCATAGTACCAAGGGCACGTGTCTCCCCTTGGTATAACTGATTTCCTTTTTAGTCCTCTACTGCTAAATAAGTTAATTTTGCATTTTGCAGAAAGAAACATTGATTGCTAAATCTTTTTGCTGCTGTGTTTTGGTGTTTTCATGTTTACTTGTTTTATATTGATCTGTTTTAAGTATGAGAGGCTTATAGTGCCCTCCATTGTAAATCCATAGTCATCTTTTTAAGCTTATTGTGTTTAAGAAAGTAGCTATGTGTTAAACAGAGGTGATGGCAGCCCTTCCCTAGCACACTGGTGGAAGAGACCCCTTAAGAACCTGACCCCAGTGAATGAAGCTGATGCACAGGGAGCACCAAAGGACCTTCGTTAAGTGATAATTGTCCTGGCCTCTCAGCCATGACCGTTATGAGGAAATATCCCCCATTCGAACTTAACAGATGCCTCCTCTCCAAAGAGAATTAAAATCGTAGCTTGTACAGATCAAGAGAATATACTGGGCAGAATGAAGTATGTTTGTTTATTTTTCTTTAAAAATAAAGGATTTTGGAACTCTGGAGAGTAAGAATATAGTATAGAGTTTGCCTCAACACATGTGAGGGCCAAATAACCTGCTAGCTAGGCAGTAATAAACTCTGTTACAGAAGAGAAAAAGGGCCGGGCACAGTGGCTTATTCCTGTAATCCCAACACTGTGGAAGGCCGAGGCAGGAGGATCACTTGAGTCCAGGAGTTTGAAACCTACCTAGGCAACATGGTGAAACCTTGTCTCTACCAAAATAAAAATTAGCTGGGCATGGTGGCACGTGCCTGTGGTCCCAGCTACTTGGGAGGCTGAGGTGGGAGCCTGGGAGGTCAAGGCTGCAGTGAGCCATGATCATGCCACTGCACTCCATCCTGGGTGACAGCAAGATCTTGTCTCAAAAAAAAAAAAAAAAAAAAAAAAACCAGGAGTGAAAAAGGAAAGTAGAAGGCAGCTGCTGGCCTAGATGTTGGTTTGGGAATATTAGGTGATCCTGTTGAGATTCTGGATCCAGAGCAATTTCTTTAGCTTTTGACTTTGCCAAAGTGTAGATAGCCTTTATCCAGCAGTATTTTAAGTGGGGAATGCAACGTGAGGCCAACTGAACAATTCCCCCCGTGGCTGCCCAGATAGTCACAGTCAAGGTTGGAGAGTCTCCTTCCAGCCAGTGACCTACCCAAACCTTTTGTTCTGTAAAACTGCTCTGGAAATACCGGGAAGCCCAGTTTTCTCACGTGGTTTCTAGCTTCTTCAGACTCAGCCCAAATTAGGAAGTGCAGAAGCACATGATGGTGAAAAACCTAGGATTTGGCAGCCTTCCAGAATGGTATGGAATCTGAGGGAAGATTTATGTTTCGTTTTGGAGGATAGCTCAAGTTGAATTTTCTTTCCAGCCAGTTACCCTTTCAACCTACCCATACTTTGTACAACTCTTACACAAATACTTAGATATTTATTAGATAGCCCTGAATTCACTCTAATTATAAACAGGGAGTGTAAACTGCCCCCAGATGTTCCTGGGCTGGGTAAAAGCAGCTGGAGTGAAGCACTCATTTTCCATAAAGGTAACAAAGGGCAGCTCAGTGGTTACTCAAGCTCAAAAGGGTTTTTTTAAGAGCAAGCATTGGTTAAGTCTGTGTATACTGAGTTGGAAGTGATTTCAGCACATTCTTTTTTAGTGGAGTGAAAGTTCTGAAGCCCCCTTTTAACTTCCTCTTGGTTTTTCATTATAATTGGTAGCCATCTCATGAACTGTCTCTGACTGTTGTCTCTTTGTGGTCATGTGATTGTGAGCTTGCTTTCTGACTTGCATTTCTGACTTTATCCTGTTGTTAGGAAGATAGAAACTAGGTTTTGAAAGATTACATGATTCAAGCGAGGGATTTTAAAGTAAAGATGTATTTATTCTGAAGAATCTAAAAGATAACAGATTATTTGCTTATGAAAGAACAATATAGTCTGGGAATCCCAGAATGTCAAGCCAAAGGTCTAAGAAGTCATCTCCTTCAAATACTTTAATAAAGAAGTATTTCGAGGAGATATCTGTCCAAAAAGGTTTGACTGGCCTCCAGATTCCAGTTATTTTTAAAAAGCAACTTACCACTAAATCCTTGAGTCTCCATAGAGTAACAGTAAAGAAACTGATGTAACAGACTCTCCTCTCAAAGGATCTCCTCTGGAAGAGACTATCAGCGGCAGCATTCTCCAGGGAAGACCCATCCCCTAGTGCCAGAGCTTGCATCCTGGAGACTAAAGATTGCACTTTTTTGTAGTTTTTTGTCCAAATGCAATCCCATTTCTGTGCCTCTTAGCATGCAGTTAGATTTGGACAAACAAGATTCCTAAGGAATGACTTTATTAACTATAATATGGTTACAGCTATTATATAAATATATATTCTGGTTATAGTTCTAATATGGAGATGTTGTGTGCAATGCTGGCCTGTGGTGGTCTGTGTAATGCTTTAACTTGTATGGAGGAGGCCAGGCTCAGAGCTGAGATGTGGCCTGAACCTTCCCTGTATCGATCCTTTAATTTAGAACTGTCAAGATGTCACTTTCTCCCCCTCTGCCTTTTAGTGGTATCTGACATATACTCAAAACAGTAATTTCCTGGTCACATCATTAACTGCTAATTCTGTATTTATAAAGAATTTTCAGATGGACATGTACAAATTTGAACTCAAACCATCCCCAGTCCAGATACAGGGCAGCGTGTAGGTGACCACACCAGAGCCTCAGCCTCGGTCCTTCTCAGCCGTCGGGATAGGATCCAGGCATTTCTTTTAAATCTCAGAGGTAGCAGTAAACTTTTCAGTATTGCTGTTAGCAAGTGTGTGTTTGCCAATAGATACCCATTATACTAATGTGCCAAGTAAATGTTCATTGCACATCTGCTTCCACTGTGTTCCCACGGGTGCCATGAAGTGTGTGAGGAGCCCCTCATCTGGAGGGATGAGTGCTGCGTTGACTACTGCTATCAGGATTGTGTTGTGTGGAATATTCATCTACATAAATTTTATATGCACAGTAATTTCCCTTTTTATATGTCAAGTAACTATTTGTAAAAGTTATACTCACAAATTATTATAATGATTACTAATATATTTTTTCCATGTTTCATTGCCTGAATAAAAACTGTTTACCACTGTTAGATTTGGGGGTGTGTGTGGTGTTGGTACTTTTCCTGGTTATAAATTGTATCCCTGAATGTGAAAATTTATGGCAGCCCTGCTTTTATGAGCCCCATATTTCAACCTAAAAATAGGAAAGATCACATTTTCTCTACACTCATTTTGTGCATGTGGTTGGGTGTGTAACTAAAAACAAACTTTGGAATTCAGATACTGCCATGTAGATGTCGTGCCTTTGCATCTGTGCAAACAAAGTTTTTAGCTGGGTGCTTCTTGGTTTTGCTTAGAGACTTGTTGTCTGCCCTGGCATTTTTCAAGTCACCCCAAGCTTTCTGACTCGAAGGACCTGGGGTAAGGCAGAACTATGTAAATAGTGCAGAGCAAAGAGTTGCTGTGTTTTGTTTCTTCTAGGTTCAATGCGGTACCAGGAATAACTTTTTAAATACTGGCTAAGCCAACTCTCCACTTTAAAGGGATAGGAGATTGGGCAGGAAATTTTGTGGGTTGTATTACAGGAAAAGACAAATTAAGAGGATAGTTAAGGCTTCATTTTACAACTAGCTGGAGATCCACTTAGGAAAATCAGAGAACTATCACTTTTCTTGCTGTTTGCCACATCTTAAGACAGTGCAGCCTCTGTCTGCAAATATGCCAAAAGGCATATTTCTCACCCCTGCGCGCCTGAATCACCAGGAGAGAATCTTCTAAAAGTCTCTGATGGAGACTGCCATTTGCAGAATGTGAAACACAGTAGAAATATGTTTCTAAGAATTATTGGGAAGAATAAGATGGAAATTAACCTTGCTACTCTCTTACAGAATTGTATTCTTAGATAATTTAGGACCACCAATGTTTTTCATACTTTTACAAATAGGGGATCATGGGGCCATTTTAGTGAATAGCAATTAAGCGTAAGTATTTCTTCATGGAATCTATTACAGATATAAATGAATATATGTGAACTTGGTCATGACAAAAAATGACTTTCTTGCTGTGGCTAATGGTCAAAGCATGAAAAACCCTGATCTAGCCAACTGAAGTCCTTTTACAATGGAAACAGGCCCAGTGGGAGAAGCAATGAAGTGAAGATCACATGGCTTGTATGTCAGTAAGCATTGTTGCCCTCACTCAAAATGAGGGAAAAAAAATTAATTGCAACTTAGTTCTTTTCAAGCTCTTGAAATCCAAGTCCTAGGTTTAGGTAGTATTTATATCATTTTCCAAGTTTGTAGGCACTTAAGGACCGATGAAAACCAAATACCTTTTTCTCAACACTTACTCATTCATTCACTCATTTATTTGCAGAGTTTAAAGTGAAACATGAAAAGTTTGAGGGACAGTTAGCCAAAGAAATTGTTTTTACATTTTATTGAAACAGCATTTAAATATAAATAATAGGGTAATGAAAATGATTCTTCCCGAGAAGAAAGCCATCCCTAGGTTACATTTCTTGAAAGAAAAAATGTAGTTGTGAGTTGTTGGTTAGTTATTATCTGAGTTATTTCCTGAGAGTGGATAGATAGTGGTGCTTATGATCTATGAGATAAATCTAACCCGGACAGGCCTGTATTTTCCACCTTTTTTCTTTTTTGGAGACAGATTCTCGCTCTGCTGCCCAGGCTGAAGTGCAGTGGCATGATTTCAGCTCACTACAACCTTCACATCCCAGGTTCAAGTGATTCTCCTGCCTCAGCCTCCCAAGTAGCTAGGATTACAGGCGCATGCCGCTACGCCATGCTAATTTTTGTATTTTAGTAGAGAGGAGGTTTCACAATGTTGGTCAGGCTGGTCTCGAACTCCTAACTTCAGATGATCCACCCGCCTCGGCCTCCCAAATTGCTGAGATTACAGGCGTGAGCCACCGCGCCTAGCCCTATTTTCTGCATTTCTGAGAATTAACAAAATGTGCCAAGTTAAGATGTGCAAACTCCTAATCAGAAAACATTCAACTGTGAGACATCATATAGACCAAGAAGACATTTTTGTTTTAGACATCAAAAATGACAGCACAATTAGCTAATTGGGTGCATTCAGGCATAATCACAATATTTTACTAAAATATTAAGGAGTCCAGACAGCGTCTCTTGGATGTGCAACGATGAACATGCCTTCTATTTCACTGTAAGACTGGCACTCTAATTTGTCTTTTATGTAGTCCGTACTTTTCCAGATACGTATTTTTTTCTTTCTCCCTTTCAGTTGATTTGTATAACATCATGAATTTTCAGCAAAAATGCCATGTGTAAAATATGATTCAGTCAAGCATGGTGATTCACGCCTGTAATCCCGGCACTCTGGGAGGCCAACGAGGGTGGCGGATTGCTTGAGCTCAGGATTTTGAGACCAGCCTCTAACATGGCAAAAACCTGTCTCTACAAAAAACACAAAAATTAGCCGGGCATGGTGGTGCACACCTGTAGTCCCAGCTACTCGGGAGGCTGAGGTGGGAAGATTGCTTGAGCTGGAGGTCGAGGCTCCAGTGAGCCATGATTGCACCTCCGCACTCCAGCCTGGGCGCCAGAGCAAGACCCTATCTCAAAAAATTTTTTTTTTATATTAAAAATTTTTTAAATAAGCAAAATATGATTTTACTTCCTGTGTCAACTTTCAGTGCAAATGTGTATGAGTGGTCACAGGGGGCCTCCATTCCCAAAGGCTTATTCTCTCTCGGGCCACGTCTTTCAAACTGCAGGTCAAAACCCATTTTAGAGGTTATGAATTAGAACAGAAGAATGAACGCTTGTAAAAGCAAATAGTGAAGATGTAAGTGCTGTTTCATGAAATTTTATTACACTTACATGATACCATATATGGGTAATGAGTTGTAATTTTAAACATCTTGGTTTGGGGGCCTAAAAGTTAAAAAAAGCAAGTTTAAAAAAGCTTAAAAGCCACTAACTTTAGGTCATGGGGAGACAGTTGTTGGATCAGTCAAGGATTTTATAGGAGTTAAAAACAATGATTGCAATCTCCATTTGTTAAAAGTAAGCTACAGAGTTAGAACACAGTAATCCACAACCACAGTTTATGGCAACTTGAAGAAATCAAAACTTCAGAACGGAAACATGAAGCTGCGTTCAGAAAACACAACCTAAAAATTCCTTTCTAATCCTCAGTTGAGATGGAAAGAAGAAAAGAGAACGTTAGAACGGGAGTACATAAAGAATAAAAGCCTGTGGACCTAACAAGCCCTCTAGAAAATAAAGTCTACTAAAAAATAAGAAATGTAAAATTCTTCCTTCCCTCTGCCGTCCCAACATAAACTCATCCTCCTCCTCGAGGCAGCAGAGGGCGAGCTACTCAGGTTCAGAGACACATTTCTGTTTTGCTGCCACTGCCAAAAACTAACCCGACTCTCAACTGAAAAAATGAAACCTCCTCTGTTAGAAGCAAAAATTCTCCTTGATTACAACTTCTTAGACTTAAATTTCTTTGCACAGTTCAATTCTAAATTACAATTGTTCCTATCTGCTGTAGACAAGATCTTTCATTTAAATCTTAACTAGATGTTGGTGTCTGTTCTTCGATGCCACACTTCAACTGAGTAACTGCAAGGCAATGAATACGTGTGTATGAAGTAAGTGACCAAGTCTTGAGGTTCCACATATTTTCAGAAACGTGGTCAGATTTGAAGTTGAATCTGAGGGTTTGAGTTAAGGAAATAAGCTTAAGGAGACAAGATCATTCACCACAATGTCACACAGGCAGAAATCAGATACAAATCAGAGAATGCCAGAGGTGTGATAAAATAGTTGGTCAATTGGGGCCAGGCACAGTGGCTCATGCCTGTAATCCCAGCACTTTGGGAGGCTGAAGCGGGTGGATCACGAGGTCAAGAGATCGAGACCATACTGGCCAACATGGTGAAACCCCGTCTCTACTAAAAACACAAAAGTTAGCCCGGCGTGGTGGTGCATGCCTGTAAACCCAGCTACTCGGGAGGCTGAGGCAGGAGAATCACTTCAACCTGGGAGGCTGAGGTTGCAGTGAGCCGAGATCGCCCCACCGCACTCCAGCCTGGTGACAAGAGTGAGACTCCGTCTCAAAAAAAAAAAAAAGAAAAAAAAAATATATATATATATATTTGGTCAATTGGGATGTTTGTGGAAATTAATTTCTCTAAACATTTAAAAATTATTTTGGAATCATTTTAGATTTGCAGAAAAGTTGCAAAGATTCTCTTAACTTTCCTTCCTTTCGTGGCTAGCTCTATATTTCCACCCTTTCCTTGTTCTTCCTTTTTTTTTTTTTTTTTTTTTTTTTGACAGAGTTCTTTCTCTGTCACACAGGCTGGAGTGCAGTGGTACAATTATAGCTCACTGCAGCCTTGACCTCCTGGGCTCAAGTGAGCCTTCCCCCTAAGCCTTGTGAGTAGCTAGGACTACAGGTGCACGCCACTGCACCTGCCTGTTTTTTTTTTAATTGTAGAGATGGGGTCTTGATACGTTGTCTAGGGCGGTCTTGAACTCCACAGCCCATCCTGGGCTCAAGTGATCCACTCACCTTGGCCTCCCAAAGTGCTGGGATTACAGGTGTGAGCCACCACACCCAGCCTCTTCCTTATTTTGTATCCTGCTGGTGTTTGGCTATTAACTGGGCATTTGCCATGTGCAGAGTCCTGGGTAGGCGCTGATGGGAGAAAGCTATCTTCCCCCTGCACACCTCTCTTTATACAAGCACTATTATGAGGAAAGGCTATGAACTCCTCAGCCCTACTTTAAAAACAAGCATTACTGTGGTTATAGCAAAGTGGTGGTATCGTGGGCCATCTCTTTTCCAATAAGATATACTTAATATATTTTTAAAGCTATAAAAGGTCAAATCAATACTTGGTAATTTGCCATAGACGAAAACAAGGCCGCTTTCTTTTCCTCCCTGCATCTTCTATACAAAGAGCTTGGGTCAAGTTGAGAAGAGAGCTGGGTTTGAAACCTTGGCCTGTGACCTGGGGCCCTGGGACAGTCACTCTAATGCTGTGGACCTCTTTCCTCACCAGTATATCTATAAAATACCAGAACTTTGGGCCAGGTGCAGTGGCTCACGCCTGTAATCCCAGCACTTTGGGAGGCCGAGGCGGGTGGATCACCTGAGGTCAGGAGTTCGAGACCAGCCTGGCCAACGTGGTGAAACCCCATCTCTACTAAAAATACAAAAAGTTAGCCGGGTGTGGTGGCAGGCGCCTGTAATCCCAGCTACTCAGGAGGCTGAGGCAGGATAATCGCTTGAACCTGGGAGGCGGAGGTTGTGGTGAGCCGAGATGGTACCATTGCACTCCAGCCTGGGCAACAAAAGCAAAACTCCATCTCAAAAAAACAAAAAATAAACAAACAAAAAAAACAGAACTTTGGACTCTATGTTCTTAAAACTGTGTATGTGTTTAGGTGTTCTAACATTTTAAATTTGTCTTTAAAACTTGGAGCTCTTTTCCAACCTCTTCTCAGGTTTCCTTCTTATTCCAGAGACATTCTCCTGACACAGCTGTTCTCCTAATTTATTTGGTTATAGTCCTGCATTGAGAAATGCTACTTTTTATGGAATTCCTGTTTGAAAGTCCACTATCTAAATTTGCCTGAGTCCTAAATGAAATCAGATCCTAGCACCCCCACCAAAAAAAAGAAATGGAATTATGAACTCCGAAGCAAAAATATAGCTGTACCTTTGTGTGTGTAACTTTAGTAACTTGGTGTTCAAACACACATGATCGTCAGGGAGGAGAGAGATCACTTGGCTGGAGGCAAGTGCTTTTGTTCTGTTTGGGAGACAATATGAGGGAAGGGGAGGGAGGCGTGGGTACCAGGAGGCAAAGTAGGCAGCATCTGTAGATTCCAGTTGGGCCCATTTCAATTGTGTAGGTGGATCAAATGCTGGGCCTATTTGTGCTTTTGGACAGCGATCTGCCATTTTCCTAATGCTGGAAAATTCCTAATTCTGGTCTACAAAATTGACCAATGCCAGTATAATATAATTCAACATTTTCCTAGCTTGTTTAGAAGAGGCATGTTGCAATGTGACTTTGATCACATTTTTTGATCAGCAGATAAATCTATCTTTATTTATAATTCTGTTTTGTTCTAAGAAGGATTTAAGGCAGTTTGCAGGCAGGGTATAGAACCATCGATGTCACTTAAGATTGTCAGTTAATAGTGATGATGACAAAGGACTCGATGCAGTTGGGTCCAGTCACTTCCACCCCACCCACATGACAGGCATGGCCAAGACAGCCATTATCTTGTCATCACTGCAAATGGAATCTTCCTGAAATGATTAGCAAGTCACTTTCCTAAAATGAGAATGACTTTTACATTTTTATTTATTTGTTCATTTTTTTAGAGACAGGGCCTCGCTCTGTAGCCCAGGCTGGAGTGCAGTGGCACAATCATAGGTTACTCCTGGGCTCAAGTGATTCTCCTGCCTCAGCCTCCCGAGTAGCTAGGACTACAGGCTCACACAACTCATTTTTTAATTTTTTCTAGAGACAGGGATCTCAAGGACAACTTTGCCCGTGCCCACTTCTACATGGTGACTGAGCACCTGGGAAAAAAAAAAAAAGATAGCATCTCACTATGTTGCCCAGACTGGTCTGGAACTCCTGGGCCCAAGCAATCCTCCTGCCTTGGGCCTCTCCAGAGTGCTGGGATTACAGGCATGAGCCACTGCACCCAGCTGGCTTTTACATTTTTTAATGGTGGAGGAAAAAAAAAAATCAAAACAAGAATGACATTTGATGTCAAATGAAAATTACATTGAATTTAAATTTTAGTGTCCATGCATAAGATCTGTTTATAACACAGCTACACACATTTGTTTACATACTGCCTATGTCTGCTTTTTTGTACAACATAATCAAGCAGTTGTAACAGAGGCCATATGGCCCACAAGGTGTATAATATTTACTATTTGGTCCTTTAAAAAATGGATTTGCCAGCCCTTGTTTTTTTTTTTTTTTAAAGAGGGAACCTCGCTCTGTTGCCCAGGCTGGAGTGCAGTGGCGCGATCTCGCTCACTGCAACTTCCACCTCCTGGTTTCAAGCAATTCTCCTGCCTCAGCCTGAGTAGCTGGGATTACAGAAGCCCACCATCACACCCAGCCAATTTTTGTATTTTAGTAGAGACAAGATTTCGCCATGTTGGCCAGGCTGGTCTTGAACTCCTGACCGCAAGTGATGGCCCGCCTCGGCCTCCCAAAGTGCTGGGATTACAGGCGTGAGCCACCCCTGTTAGAGCCCAGCCCCCTGTTCTAATTTATTCATTATTCAACTGACTTATTGGCAGTGTACTATGTTTGTTGTGCTTGGGTTCTTGGTGCTTGATTACTGTTCTCAGTGCTGGAGTTAGAAAGTTCCTAACCTTAATGGACTTTATACTGTAGGTGACATCAAAAATTATATCATAGTAAATTGAGTCCTATCATGTAGATATTAACAAGAATCATTAACATGGACATGCTTTCTAGGTGCCAAGCACTACTCTAAGGATTTCATATGCACGAATTTACTTAATCCTCACAATAACTATGCAGTCTTCAAGGAATCTTTAGAAGAGGATATAACCATGACCTTCATACAGATACACAAAATCAACCCATGTCAAAGATTTTATTAAGCTCATTAGTTAATCAGGGAACCAGGAAATGTTATAAGTGGTTCAAAGAAGAATTCAAAAAAATATATAGAAAATAAGGAATTGCGAAATAAATGTATACATAGATGAAAAATGGGTCTGTCCTCAAGGCCATTATCATTCTATTGGAGGCAGTCCATTTGCATTTCTATGGACAACTGTCATTTACGGAGTTGCACAAGAGCTCAAAGACAATAAAAGACAGAGATTCTGGGTGCGGTGGCTTGGTGGCTCACGCCTGTAATCCCAGAACTCTGGGAGGTTGAAGCAGGAAGATCGCTTGAGGTCAGAACTTTGAGACCAGCCTGGGTGACATAATGAGACCCCAAGTCTACAGAAAAAAAAAAAAAAAAGACGGAGATAACACAGATAGGTGAGCAAGTCTAAGAAGATTTTCTTGCCTATTTCAGTCTCAGTTTTTTTCTGATAGAAGTCAGTACTACAGTATGTCCATACAATATATTTGTATAGACTGAAGATGTCCTTGATGACATTACAGGCATACCTCCCTTTATTGCACTTCACTTTATTGTGCTTTGCAGGCTGTTTTTTACAAAATGTGGCAAGCCTGCATTGAGCGGGTCTACCGGTGCCGTTTTCCCAAGAGCATGTGCTCACTTTGCGTCCCTCTGTTACATTTTGGGAATTATTTTACAATATTTCAAACGTTTTCATTATTATTATATCTGTTATGGTGATCTACGATCAGTGCTCTTTGACGTTACTATTGTCTTTGTTTTGGGGTGCCACAATCCACATCCACATAAGATGGTGAACTTAATAAATGTTGTGTGTGGTCAGACTGCTCCACTGACCAGTGTTCCTCCATCTCTCTCCCTCTCCTTGGGCCTCCCTATTCCTTGAGACACAACAATATTGAAATTAATAACACTACCATGTCCTCTAAGTAAAGTGAAAGGAAATGTGTCATATGTCTGTCTCTTACTTTAAATCAAAAGCAAGAAATGATTGAACTTAGGAAGACATGTTGAAAGCCAAGACAGGCTGAAACTGAGGCTTCCTGGCCAAACAGCCGTGAGTGAATGCAAAGACATTTCTAAAGGAAATTTAAAATGCTACTCCAAGGCCAGACGTGGTGGCTCACACCTATAAATCCAGCTGAGACGGGAGGATTCCCTGAGTCCAGGAGTTCGAGACCAGCCTGGGCAACATAGGGAAATCCCATCTCCAAAAAAAATAATAGGCCAGGCGCAGTGGCTCACGCCTGTAATCCTAGCACTTTGGGAGGCCAAGGCGGGAGGATCACGAGGTCAGGAGATTGAGACCATCCTGGCCAACATGGTGAGACCCCATCTCTACTAAAATACAAAAAAAAAAAAAAAAAAAATTAGCCGGGCATGGCGGGGGTGTCTGTAGTCCCAGCTACTCGGGAACCTGAGGCAGGAGAACCGCTTGAACCCAGGAGGCAGAGGTTGCAGTGAGCTGAGTTTGTGCCACTGCACTCCAGGCTGGTGACAGAGTGAGACTCCGTCTCAAAAATAATAATAAAATAAAAATTAATTTAAAAATGAAAATAAGCTATTCTACCTCTAGCTTTACCTATTTCTGACAACAACAAACAAACAAAACCACATTTCTTCCTCTTATGCAGAGAAATTCAATGATGCTTCCATGTGATCTTTTTCAGGCTTTGTTTTCACTCCCATCTTTTAATACCTAAATGCCCCTTCAAGATAATTTCCTAAACAAAAACAATTCCCTTCTTTAGAGAAATTCCTGCAGAGGAGTCTTTACACACATTTTTAACACTGAAAGATGACCTTGAATTCACTCTAATTTATATTTTCAAAGCCACTTTCAAACTTTGGTTTCCTGAGTGTCAATTACTAATAAATTACTTGCAATATGCCCCCGAGTCATTGAGAAGCACTCCTCTAATTGTCCAGTTTTGCACATGTGTTAGATTACAGATTGATTTCAAGGTTCCAGAGTACTGTTTCTGTACTTGTCTCCTTACAACCAGAGCATCTGACAAAGGGTTTGCTGCATGTAATAGACTAAAAGAAACTGTTGGCTGAACCTCTTTTCTAGGACTTGGTATTGTAGAACTGCTCTGGAATTGGTGAAGTGTTTCTTCACTGTCCTCCACAGCACTGGTTTACAACGTTTGCCAGATAATGTTGGCCAAGTTGTGATTTGATAGGGAACAAAACCCAGAAGGAGCCATGATTCCACCCCACAGCTAAATGCTTGGAATGGAACGCTTTGTTTCCTAAACATCTGAAGTTATCAAATCAACCTTCTTGCCTCTTCTTTTGTTTTCTTTGCAAAAGTGAGATCCTGAAGGGCCACAGCTGCTATATGACCTCAAGTGACCACGTCAGTTAATTCCTCAAATTAGTGCCTCTGTTTTTAATGGTGCAGAAAGATCCAAGCTCAGAAAATCAAAGAAGAGAATTGGCACGGGGAGCTTGTCTCCACAGTGTTGCAACAGAGCTGAAGTCAGAAGTGGACTGAGCAACTTGACATGCCCAAGTAGTGAAGGAGTTCAGGACCTGCCACCCCAAAATACGCTGCCTTGGCATATTAATTATTTTGGGCTAAATGCACTTCAAAAAGAGCAGGTGCGGCTGGGCACAGTGGCTCATGCCTGTAATCCCAACACTTTGGGAGGCTGAGGCGGGTGGATCACTTGAGGTCAGGAGTTCGAGAACAGCCTGGCCAACATGGTGAAACCCCGTCTTGACTAAAAATACAAAAATTAGTCAGGTGTGGTGACTCATGCCTGTAATTCCAGCTACTTGGGAGACTGAGGCAGGAGAATCACTTGAACCTGGGAGGCGGAGGTAGCGGTGAGCCAAGATTGCGCCACTGCACTCCAGCCTGAACGACAGAGGGAGACTCCGTCTCAAAACAACAAAAAAAAACCTAGCAGGTGCAAGAAGGACTCCGATCTCCCTTTTTCCTCCTGAAAGCAGGAGATGAAACTCTCCCATGAGAGATGCCCTTCCTAAACTAGGAGGAAACCAGCATTCTTATCACTAGAGATGAGGAGTCAAAACTGAGAGAAAACTACAAACAAACTTTGTGACACTAACCCTTATCTTTCTGGTTACTTTTCCACAATTTACTACTCTTCATTCAACTTAGTAGAGAAAGCTTCAGCTCTCTGTATAAACTGCTTCTCTGTGCCTTTATTTTTCTTGTGAGGGCTCCCATGCACATGTCAATCAATCACGTCAATCAAATCTGTGTGCTTTTCTCTTGTCACTCTGCATGATGTCAGTCCCAGCGGGAGACTCCAGGAGCGGGGAGGAAAATCTGACCTTCCTTCCAGTATGAACGGAAGAAAATGACTACCTGAAGCTCCCATCATGATACTGACGGGTCAAAGCAATGCCACTTTCTGCTGGCCAGAAGGTATTATTGCCAAAGGGCAAGACCCTTAAAGATGATCTAGTATTGCTCTGTGATTTTATGGATGAAAGATATTAATAGCAAAGTGACCATCCAAGGCTACACGGTAACTTGGTGGCAGTGGTAGGATTATTACTTACGGATTCTTTCCATGCAGCCACTTCACTTTTCTTGATGTATATAAGAAAAATAAGGAGGCTGAGGTGGGAGGATCACTTGAGCCAAGGAGTTCGAGGCCTGCCTGGGGAACACAGGGAGACCCTTTCTCTGCAAAAAGTACAAAAAAGGCACTGGAGCTCTCGGTGGCAGAAGAGAACTTGATTGGCCTGCTTTTCTTACTGTGGCTGCCAGGCTCCTGTCAGCCGCTCAGTGAGAAAGCTGCTCTCACCCTTGCTCAGCCTTGGTGCTGGTCCTCTACCCAACTCTGCACCTGTCTTGCTGGTGCTGATCTGCCTTGTCAGGGCTGCCTGGCTTCCCTGCGGATGGCACCAGGGCAGGACAATGATGCCTCTGGATGAGCTTCCCCACCCTGACCTCTGTGGGCTTTGTTCAGCCTAGTCGGCCTCGCCTTGGCTACAGCCCAGGGAAGATTTGAGAAGTGGGAATTTCAGGAAGCTGGGGAAATCTTTTTTGGTGGGGGGACAGTGTCTCGCTGTGTTTCCCAGGCTGGAGTACAGTGGAACAATCATAGCTCACTGCAGCCTCCAGCACCCAGGCTTAAGCCATCCTCTGGCCTCAGCCTCCCTAGTAGCTGGGACCACAGGTGTGTTGGACCACATGTAGCTAATGTTTTAATTTTTTGTAGAGACAGGGTCTTGCTATGTTGCCCAGGCTGGTCTCGAATCTTTGGGCTCAAGCAATCTGCCCACCTTGGCCTCCCAAAGTGCTGGAATTACTGGCATGAACCACCATGCCTGCTCGGGGAAATCTTTTAACAGACAGTAGAATCTGTTTGAATATGAGCTGTTGAGAAATGGGGAAGTTGGTGGGTGAGAGAGCATCGAGTTGGGGGTTTGTGACGGGAACAGAATAGGAATCAGTCTGACTGGACACTTGAAAGAAGTTTCCTTAAAATATGAAAATAATTTTGCA
Organism: Homo sapiens; assembly: GCF_000001405.40. Taxonomy (NCBI): domain Eukaryota; kingdom Metazoa; phylum Chordata; class Mammalia; order Primates; family Hominidae; genus Homo; species Homo sapiens. The sequence continues at coordinate 38,865,099 of NC_000008.11, forward strand.
GAGGAATGTTTACACAAAAAACGATCTAAAGAAAAAACAGCTTACACACTGGAATCAAAATGTCACTTGATTCCCAGAGGGAATGAGCTCAGAAGTTAAAAAGAAAGGGATCCTTTCCAACTATTAAATGTATTTTTAAAGGCCCTTTCGGGTTTAAATTGGTTCCCGGAAGAACACAGGCACTTATCCCAGGGGAGGTATCTTTGCAGATGCAAATAGAAGGGCCCAGAAGCTCACCATTCAGAATGGGGGTGGCGGGGGCAGAGGACAGAGGGCAGGGAGGTCAACCAGAAATACTCCATCAATGGTGGTTTCAGCCGATAAATTCAGCCAGATTTTAAGATCAAGCATTTGGAATTTGAGAACTTCCCACAAGGGTTGCTTTTGTTTATCCTACTTCCCTGGCTGTTGGAGTTCGCAGGGAATGATATCATTGGAAGAACTTTGAAAGCAGGTCCAAATTTTCTAAGGCACAACCTTCGAAATGGAAAACAGTTCTGCAAATTGGTTTGCAAGAGTCATAAATAAACTTTGAGTGGGCAGTTTTAATAAGTGTGCTGCCTGAGCAGTGAAGGAAGTTGAAAATGCAACTGCCCAACTGCTAGCAGCTAGCTGGTCACTGCAAGAAAAGGGAAACAGGGTTCCTGATTCCCAGTCCGGTGCTTTTATTATAAACTTGATCCTATGGTCTGGAAGTCAACCTCGTATAAGTATAAAAATAGCTTCAGAAGTGAAGCTGACTTACATATGAAGTGCAGAATAAGATGCCTCGTCTTCCCAGGCACCACACAAAATCTGGACCTCTAAGCAACTTATCACCATCTAAGGCCATCAAATCAAAAGGAAACAAGAAAGATGCTCCTACCTAGTTGAGGGGGAAGAAGGGGCTTGGGGGCCTGGGGCCTCAGGAGCTGACAGGTAGGCAACTCTTAAAGGTACTGTCATTTTGGGAAATTCTTACTTCCCTTTCTGCAAACCTCCAACTTCCTCCCCCTCCCCCAAGGCCCTTTAGAGAATCCTTCGTTTGCTCCTGGACACACCTTTGTCACTGTGCCTTAGGACAGGGGTCCCCAACCTTTAGCAGTCCCCAACCTTTCTGGTACCAGCGACCAGTTTCGCGGAAGACAATTTTTCCACGGATCAGGGGAGGCAGACTGGGGAAGGTTTCGGGATGCAACTGTTCCACCTCTGATCATCAGGCATTGGTTAGATTCTCATAAGCAGCGTGCAACCTAGATTCCTCGCACACGCAATTCACGGTAAGGTTTGTGCTTCTATGAGAATCCGATGCTGACGCTGATCTGACAGGACATGGAGCTCAGGCGGTCATGCTCACTCAAGGGCTGCTCACCTCCTGCTGTGTGGCCCTGTTCCTAAGAGGCCAGTCCCTGGCTCAGGGGTTGGGGACCCCTGCTTTAGGACAACAAAAGCCAGGGGAGTTCATTTTACTGCAGGTGACTTAAAGGGAGCACTGGTCATCCCACCTACCCGCTTTCCATCCCTGCCTCTCATCTTTACCTGCAATCCACTCCTATGCAACTTTTCCGCCTGTTGTTTTGTGTCCAGGAGTCTCCCGAGTGTTAGAGTTATTTGAATCAGAGCAACTCCGTTCTTGAATAGGGGCTGGGTAAAATAAGGCTGAGACCTGCTGGGCTGCATTCCCAGGAGGTTAAGGCATTCTTAGTCACAGGATGAGACAGGAGGTCAGCACAAGATACAGCTCATAAAGACCTTGCTCATGAAACAGGTTGCAGTAAGGAAGCCAGCCAAATCCCACCAAAACCAAGATGGCGACGAGGGTGACCTCTGGTCGTCCTCACTGCTACACTCCCACCAGCGCCATGACAGTTTACAAATGCCATGGCAACGTCAGGAAGTTACCCAATATGGTCTAAAAAGGGGAGGCATAAATAATCCACCCCTTGTTTAGCATGTAATCAAGAAATAACCATAAAAATGGGCAACCAGCAGCCCCGAGGGTAGCCATTCTTTTATTCCTCTACTTTCTTCATAAACTTGCTTCCACTTTGCTGTATGGACTTAGCTTGAATTCTTTCTTACAAGAGATCCAAGAACCCTCTCTTGGGGCCTGGATCAGGACCCCTTTCCAGTAACACGAGTAATGACTGATGAAGTGTGTGGTCAGTTAGCACTGAGTCTTCGGCAGTCTCCATTTATCTAGCAAACCTTTACCAAGCTCCTTCTACAATCCCAGCAGCATGCTGAATATTAAGGATTCAAGAGACCCAGTCCCGGTTCCTCCACAGCGCAGCACGGGAGTCTGAGAGTAAACCACCAATGCCACCAATGCAACAACTCTGGTCATGAGGGTTTGTTGGGGGTTCAAATTGTGGCCTTGGCAGCCAGCAGAGGGGAGACGAGGGAGGTGTACTTTCCTTAGAGATATGGGGGTGGACAATCCTATGGGTAGGATGCAGGTGAGAGGGAACAGGAAAGACACTGTACATCCAGAAAAACCATGTGCAGAGGAACGAGGCAAGAGACGGCATGCTGGGATGTCTGGAGCAGCAGGAGGCAAAGTTGAAGAGCCAGGCATGGGTCAAACTGTGGAGGAACAGTGAGCCATTGTTACCTGGAGGGGGTGGCGGGCAGTCCTTTTTCTTAGAGTTCCCAAGATGGTGGCGGACCGCTTCCAAGATGGCGGCGGACCGCTTCCAAGATGGCGGCAAGCCTCTTGTTCTCTGACCTGCGGTTCTTGGCATCACAGATTCCAAGGAATGGAATCTTGGGCCATGCGGTGAGTGTTACAGCTCTATCAGAAGCTGTGGGTCATGGAATAAAACTGTGGAACCCAGCGACTAGTGTTTAGCTCGATTAGGATGAACCCGGGCACTTAGGCATGCAGGAACAAAGGCGAGCCTTTAGCCCCATTGGGAGCGGCAATGGGCGCCTCGCTGGATCAGCAGCACAGCAGACACGGTGCGGGATCTGGAGGGGTGGAAGTCAGCGATGGGTCTGCCACAGCGGCAAACAGCAGTGGTGGATGGCGAGCGAAAGCTCAGCTCGAGCAGTAACAAACACGGAGCAGCAGTGTGTGCAGTTGCAAGATTTAATAGAGTGAAAACAGAGCTCCCATAAAATGGGAGGGGACCCAAAGGGGCGTTGCCGTTGCCGGCTTGAATGCCTGGGTTTATATCCCGATCATTGTCCCTCCCGCTGTGCTCTCAGGCAATAGATGATTGGCTATTTCTTTACCTCCTGTTTTAGCCTAATTGGCATTTTAGTGGGCTCTCTTTACTACCTGATTTGTCGGGTGTGAGCTAAGTTGCAAGCCCCATGTTTAAAGGTGGATGTGGTCAGCTTCCCAGCTAGGTTTAGGGATTCTTAGTTGGCCTAGGAAATCCAGCTAGTCCTGTCTCTCACCATCACAGGTGTCTGAGCAGGAGACTGGGATGGTCCAGTTTCTGATTTAGAAAAATCACCTGGGGCTGGAGTGGGGAGAAGAGATGGGTGGAGAGGTGAGCCTGCAGACAAATTAGATCAGGATCCCCACGTGGTCCCTCGGCAACCTTTGTCCCACTTCCACAATCTCTAAATTCTAGAGAAAGTGGGCCCTTGCTGAGATGGTGGCAGCAATCCTCTGAGAAGAATTCTCCAAGGGACCTCTCCATAGGTCTCTTTACACAGAGTTGTGAGTCCATTTCCTGGACCTTTCTTAAACCCCCCAAATAAAGTTCCAGGTAGGAGAACCTGAGACATTGCTAACACACCCTGGGGCAGCAGTTTTCCAAGTGGGGCCCCAGATCACTAGGAGCAGCAGCATTGCATGAGAACTTTAAGATCTCATCTTCTTGAGACCTACTTTATAGGTATTGAACCAGAAACTCTGGGGCCCAGCTACGGTGGGTTTTGTTTTTGCTTTTTTTTTTTTTTTTTTTAGAGCCAGAGTCTTGCTCTGTTGCCCAGGTTGGAGTGCAATCGTATGATTATGGCTCACTACAGCCTCTAACTCTTGGGCTCAAATGATCCTCCTACCTCAGCCTCCCAAGTAACTGGGACCACAGGGGTGCCACCATACCCAGCATTGTGACAGGCTTTCACTTTGCAGAGATGGGATCTCACTATGCTGCCCAGGCTGGTCTCAAATTCCTGGACTTGAATGATTCTCCCACTTCGGCCTCCCAAAGTGCTGAGATTACAGGCATGAGCCACTATGCCCAGCCCCAGCTAGTGTTTTTAACAAGCTCCAGGTGATTCTGATGCAAGGTTCAAGTTTGAGAACCACTACCTTGTGCTAGCACAAACTCAGATGAGTTATATGGAGAACTGATCAGCAGGCTCCCAACATCCTATTTTTGTTTTGTTTCTTTAAGAAAAAGAAAAGCTTCAAGCCTAATCAAAGTCACCACCAAGCAACTTAGATGTTCCATGTGTAGGCTGGGCGTGGTGGCTCAAGCCTGTCATCCTAACACTTTGGGAGGCTGAGGCGGGCGGATTGCTTGAACCCAGGAGTTCAAGACCAGCCTGGGCAATATAGTGAAACCCCATCTCTACAGAAATTACAAAAATTAGCCAAGCCCAGTGGTGGTGCGTGCCTGTAGTCTCAGCTACTTGGGAGGCTGACGCGGGAGGATCACTTGAACCCAGGAGGTGTAGGTTGCAGTGAGCTGAGATTGTGCAACTGCACTCCAGCCTGGGCAACAGAGCTAGACCCTGTCTCAAAAACAAAAAAAAAGGTTTTATTTGACAGACATGGAATGATTATGATTTATTTGATAATCTAGCAAATGATTTTTAAAAACCTACTATTTGCACTGTACTTTCTGGGCAGAGGGAAGAAAGAAATAAAAAAGACACAAGGTTCCTTCCTCCAGTAGGATTCTGCCGTCACCACATCATCAATCATCATCATCATTATCAATCATCATCATCCAAACATCATCATTACTATCATCAATCATCACCATCTTCAAAAAACATCTTTTAATGCTAATGATAGTCACTTATAAGAATCCACGTCTGAAAATCCACAAGGGATTTCTGAGAACTCATTTTGTACCCAGCTCTGTTCCCTAAGGCTTCTGCCTACAACTGATTTGCTGTCTGGTTCAGTCAGAACTTGAACACAAGAAGCAATCAGTCACACAGGGCAGCAGATAATTGTGGGCTAAATGTTTCCAAGCTTAAGCAGGCCTGTGGATTCAAGAGTCCTCTTCCAGCTTTATGCAGATGGCCTTCATTTTCACTCCTTGCCTGAAGCCCTGTATTTTTCTTCTTTTTTTTTTTTAATCCAGATAGTGGCAATCACATGCTACAAGATAAACAAGGTGATGCCCTTTGCATCTCCCTACTCTCTTATCCACAGCAATTTCCCAGCCTATTTTTCAAAAACCCCCAAAGGAATTATTAGGCTGGCTGTGCACGGTGGCTCACACCTGTAATCCCAGCACTTTAGGATGCCAAGGCGGGTGGATCACCTGAGGTCAGGAGTTCGACACCAGCCTGGCCAACATGGTGAAACCCCGTCTCGACTGAAAATACAAAATTAGCCGGGCGTGGTGGCACATGCCTGTGATCCCAGCTACTTGGGAGGCTGAGGCAGGAGAATCACTTGAGCCCAAGAGGCAGAGGTTGCAGTGAGCCAAGATTGCACCATTGCACCCCAACCTGGGCAACAGAGCGAGACTCTGTCTCAAAAAATAAAAATAAAAAAAGATAAAGGGGATTATTAGGCCTATCAGACCCCAAATACTGCCAGAATGAGGCCAGAATTTCCCAGGAATTGAGCTCCCACTCCCCACCCTGCAGGCATTGAGTCATGCGTCTCCAGGAGAGAGCATTTGGCTACACCTTTGGTGCTATCGAGGAAATCATGATGCCCAGTGGTCCACAGCTCTTAGGAATCTGAGCTTCTCTGGGTTTGTCCGTGGACGTGGGGAGAGGAGTCTTTTGGTGCCCTGACTCTAAGAACTTTGACCTTTAATTCTGAAGTCCTGGGCCCCTATCATCTCTCTCCCAAAGGGAGTGTTTGAGGATATGGCAAGTGCGGCATTAACAGATGATTCTAGGAAGAAGAGGAAAAGGCCTGTTCTATAAATAAATGTACTGTTCCTGAATGAGGCACTGTCCTCCTCCCTACTCCCACCCAATCACCCTTGTGACTCTTTCAGAGCAGAGCAGAGCAGCCCCGAGCCAAGGATTAGTGTGATCACAAGGTCAACAATAGATACCCTGTCCATAAATACTCCTGGAGAGCTTTAGTCATTGACTAGGAGCCAGGAGTGGGGGAATAAGAAGAGGGGAAGGGAGAGAGCTGGAAGCCTGTAGGGCTAGCTTGAAACATCTACAGTTGTTTGTTTGTTTGTTTGTTTGTTTGTTTGTTTAAAAAAGCCCAACTTTCCTCCTGAATGTGAAAGTCTCTGGATGGCGTGGAGAAGGGAGGGGACACGGGCTTCAGGAGGGGGATACTGGGAGGGATGGATGAACCCCAGAGAAGGACTCTTGTTTTTAGGGTGGTTAGCTTTATCCTCAGAGCACAGATCTGCCCCCAAAATCTTTGTTAAAAGAAACCCAAGAGCTGGCCGGGTGCGGTGGCTCATGCGTATAATCCCAGCACTTTGGGAGGCCAAGGCAGGTGGATCACCTGAGGTCAGGAGTTTGAGACCAGCCTGGCCAATATGGTGATACCCTGTCTCTACTAAAACACAAAAATTAGTTGGGCGTGGTTGTGGGCACCTGTAATCCCAGCTACTTGGAAGGCTGAGACAGGAGAATGGCTTGAACCCAAGAAGTGGAGGTTGTAGTGAGCCAAGATCATGCCACTTACACTCCAGCCTGCATGACAGAGCAAGACTCCACCTCGAAAAGAAAAGAAAAGAAACCCAAGAGCTGGTACCACCAGCAATTTCAGAATCTCTTTTGTTATATCTTCAGTAAGCAGGAAGAGAGAGCCAGGCTCCTGCATTGATAAGGCTGGGAAACAGTTTAATATCTAACCTTTTTGGATATGAGGACCAATGAAGCCAAGCGATAATCTGTTGGAGGGGCCTGTTCTGCGGGTTCTGAGGACCCCGGGGATCTTTAAGTCCTCACTTTCTTTTTGGGCATGAACATTTGGGTGTTGCAGGCAGATAAAAGTGGTGGGGGAATGTGATCAAGAGATGGAAAGCTGCGTGTAGGAGCGCACTGCCCACCAGCATTGCACCTAAATAAAGAAGGCCACGATGTGCTGTGACAGTGCCACAGAACTGATAGTCTGCATTTTCACCAGGCAGAGGGGAGGACAGGGGGGTGGGTCGGCTTTACTGTCACCAGCAGAGAACTTCCAGAGCAGCTTGGATGAATCATCTGGTGCACACGCACACTCAACATTTTAAAATATGGATGATGGGGCTGGGGAGGCGCCAACTCACAAAAGCTGACTGTTGGGTACATAATTTTTTGGACCCGGTGTGTCTAATTCCATCTTCAATTATTGATTCTTTTGATCCCTTTCAAGTGAAACTTTAAGTGACTTATCTAAAAATAGGCTACTGCTAAGCTTATGTTAGAAGGAGGTAAAAACCTAAGTTATTTAAGATGATGTGGCTAATGTAAGTGACTAATCAGAAAACAAATTAGCTAATTGGTTGTGGTCACAATGTTATTAACATTAGATGCTACTAACATCTTTGTTTTGCCTTTTTTAAAATTTTTTAAGAGACAGAGTCTCACTATGCTGCCCAGGCTGGTCCTGAACTCCTGGCCTCAAGAGATTCTCCTGCCTCAGCCTCCCAAGTAGCTGAGATTACAGGCATGAGCCACTGTGTCTGACTGTTTTATTTTTTAAAACCAAAGTTTAGGGCGAGGCATGGTGGCTTACACTTGTAATCCCAGTGCTTTGGGAGGCCAAGGCAGGAGGAGTGCTTAAGACCAGGAGTTGGAGACCAACCTGGGCAACACAGTGAGACCACTACAGAAAACTTAAAAATTAGCTGGGCCTGGTGGCTCACACCTGTAGTTCCAGCTGCCCAGGAGGCTGAGGAGGGAGGATCGCTTGGGCCCAGGAGTTCGAGGTTACAGTGAACTATGATTGCACCACTGCATTCCAGCCTGGGCAACAGAGCAAGAACTTGTCTCAAAAACTTAAAAAATAAATAAAAATAAAACCAAGGTTTAGGTTCTGAGTTCCAGGGTGAATTTGTGTTTATAATTGATATTCAGAGCAAAAATTCACCATCCCTTTGTCCCCATGTTGGAGAAAGGGCATGGCTTTAGGTGGACAATAGATCTGAAAAATGTTGCCATTTCTTATCCCCAGAAACAAAAAGCCACTGAATTAAATTCCTTATTTGTCTTTGGAGACACAGGTTCTACTTCTGCAGAAAAGATGAAAGCAGATTCTGGCCAAGCAAACGAGAATGTAAGAAACTCTTACGAGATTCAGAGGTCAAAAGCTAGCTAAACGTAGCTGTAAAGGACTTTTTTGTGTGTGTACTTGGAGCTATGTGAAGATGGACTCTACAGGAGGTGATAGTTAAGCAATACTAATGCCTTGCTGTGATCTAAAAGGCTAAAACTTGCTAAGTCAGTCCAGTTACAGATGTTTTGCACCAGATTATTATGTACAATGAACTTCATGGGCCCCTGCTCTGGAAACAGCATGTCCTCTGTATTAGATTAGTGAGCCAAGACATAAATATATGGAAAGCTAAAAAAATAACAAAACAAAAAGTCAGCTGAAATTTTTGACCATTAAGGTAGGAGAAACACTGACTTCAACTTCACCAAGAAGCTGCATTTTGGGCTGGGCGCCATGGTCACCCCTGTAATCCCCCCACTTTAAGAGGCTGAGGAGGGGCTGGGCATGGTGGATCATACCTATAATCCCAACACTTTGGGAGGCCGAAGCAGGCCAGATTACTTGAGGTCAGGAGTTCAAGACCAGCCTGGCCAACATGGCGAAACCCTGCCTCTACTAAAAATACAAGAATTAGCCAGGCATGGTGGTGGGCCCGCGTAATCCCAGCTACTCGAGAGGCTGAGGCACAAGAATCGCTTGAACCTGGGAGGTGGAAGTTGCAGTGAGCTGAGATCACGCCACTGCACTTCAGCCTGGGTGACAAAGTAAGACTCTGTCTCAAAAAAAAAAAAAAAAAAAGAAGAAGAAAAAAAAAAAGTTGAGGAGGGAGGATCGCTTGAGACCAGGAGTTTGAGACCAGCCTGGGCAACATAGTGAAACCCTATCTCCAAAAAAGTAAAATTAAATTAAAAAAAAAAAAAGAAGTTGTCATTTGCTTGATGCTTAAGACCAAATGAAATCACCACAATTAGGATTTATGAAAAGAAGGGGCATCACCGTTTATAGCTTGATTTAAAGTTTTCACATCTTTCTTCAGAAATTGGTCATGGTTACATCTCACCTGAGCTGCAGCCAGCTGTCCTCTTCTAAGTTGTGCTGCTTGTGACGCAGGCGCAGGCAATGGCATCCACTTGGCAAAGCTTCTGAATCAGCCGTATCCGGAGAGCAAGGGAACTTGGCACCATTGGTCTTCGGCACGGGGAACACATCTGCCTTCAGTTGTCCCCATCGTGACTTTTTTCAGTAAGCACTCATGCAACAGTAATCAGTGACAGCAGTTCTCAAACCTGGAGAGCAGAAGTGTGCAGACTGGTCCTAGATGTATTTCCCTGGCCACCTCTTTGCTACCCCGGGCCACTTCTGCCCCACTTTCTTCCGAGCAGCAGCTGCTGAAAAGGCAGGAAGGGCACTCATTCTGAAGGTATTTCTCAGCACACGGCAAGCCCTTTGACAGGCAGCAGAGAAACCACTTTGAGCACTTGGCAGGGTCATTTTCTGATTCTTTTTCTTTTTTTCTGTAACCCTTAACATCTGGTAATTTTGGGATTCTCTTTTGCTTCATCCTCATTTGTGGCCCAGTCCATGATAAGCAGACACAAGCTGGTAGGAGCCATGCATTGACCTTCAACGTCAAGGTCAAGAGACCTTGAAAAACATCCGTAGCTTTTGCTGCCTGTAACATACCGTCCAGTGCTTGATTATATAGCCCTAGTTTATCTTCTAATTATGTCTTGCCTATCAATGTGTCAATTAACAAACATCAATTGGTGCCTTCTATGGACAGAGTCATGATCTCCCTTCCCTAGATATAGGAAACAAGTTATTTACTTTTTTATTTTCCCCCACCTACACTCCGCAGTGCAGAGCACTTACCCGGAAATTATTGGAAGTTTTCAAATAGGGTCTCACTCTGTTGCCCAGGCTGGAATGCAGTGACACAATCATGGCTCACTGCATCCTCAACCTCCTGGGCTCAAGCAGTCCTCCCACCTCAGCTCCCTGAGTAGCTGGGACTACAGGCACGCCACCACACCCAGCTAATTTTTAATTTTTTTGCGGGGGGGCGGGGACAGGGTCTCGTTCTGTTGCCAGGCTGGAGTGCAGTGGCGTGATCTCAGCTCACTGCAACCTCCACCTTCCGGGTTCAGGTGATTCTCCTGCCTCAGCCTCCTGAGTGACTGGGACTACACGTGCATGCCACCATGCCCAGCTAATTTTTGTATTTTTAGTAGAGACGAGGTTTCACCATGTTAGCCAGGATGGTCTCAATCTCTTGACCTCATGATCCACCCGCCTCGGCCTCCCAAAGTGCTGGGATTACAGGTGTAAGTCACCGCACCCGGCCATTTTTAAATGTTTTTGTAGAGATGTGGTCTTGCTATATTGCCCAGGCTCGTCTTGAACTCCTGGCCTCAAGTTCCTCCTACTTCAGCCTCCCAAATTGCTGGGATTACAGGTGCAAGCCACCATGTCCGGCTTTAGCAGGAATTATGAAGTGACAAATTCTGTCTCTGACAGTCCTGCTTCAAGCAGCTAATGCATCCCCTGGTACCATCTGTGATTGGATGAGGACTGTGGAAATGGTGCGGACACTGTAGAATGATGAGAGGTGGCTAACAAGTAAATAGGCTTCAAAATAGCTTGTGCCCCATAGGTATTTTTACTTGCTCAAACTCCTTCCAAGTTCCCTCCTTGCCAATGGGGCTCAACGTGTGGATGTAGCTTATGTTGGGAATACTGGCAGCTCAAAGACAGATCTGCTATAAGTCTCAACTGACATGTTCATTAAAATCCTCATGTTTGTAATCCTAGCACTTTGGGAGGCTGAAGCAGGTGAATCACTAGGTCAGGATGGCCAACATGGTGAAATCCCATCTCTACTAAAGATACAAAAAAAAAAAAAAATTAGCAGGGCGTAGTGGCGGGTGCCTGTAATCCCAGCTACTCAGGAGGCTGAGGCAGGAGAATTGCTTGAACCTAGGAGGCGGAGGTTGCAGTGAGCTGAGATCATGCCACTGCACTGCAGCCCGGGTGACAGAGTAAGACTCCATATAAAAAAAAAAAAAATAGAAATTCTCACTGAGCTTCAAGCATCTGGTTTCCTGCTCCTTTGGCAAAACTATCATGTGTAATCTAAATATGCAAAACAGGGGAAATCCGTTCTTTTTACACAATAAAGTACTCCAAGCTCTGTGCTCAATGGTAGGGAATAAATATGAGTAACAAAGGGTCATGTGTGAACAGGGAGAGATGCATGTAAACAGACACGTGCTGTCAAACATTGAGGATGCAGAGGAGGGAATCATCCATTTAAAACAATTTTTTTTTCTTTAGTGATGGGGGTCTCACTATGTTGCCCATGCTGGCCTCCAACTCCTGGGCTCAAGCTATCCTCCTCCCTCAGCCTGCCAAGTAACTGGGATTACAGACATGAGCCACCATGCCCTGTGGGAACAGTCCATTCTATCTGGGGGGTAGTGATCAGGAAAGATGAGGTGACATTTGACCTTCGGCTTGCAGGATGTGTAGATTTTTGTTTGATGATGGATGGCGTAGGGAATGCTGTACCCAGAGAGATGCATCCTGAGAAAAGACATGGCAGAACCCACGAGGCAACCTGGAAGTTGCTTGGCATGGCCAGGCAAAGGAGATAAAGAGACACAAGGAAAAATAAGGATGGAGCGAAACATGGGGCGAGAGCATTCAGGGCCTTGTAGGCCAAGCTAAGCAGTTTAGGTGTTAACAGCAGGCAAATGGGAGCCACTGGAAATTTTTAAAACCCAGAGAGACATGATCAGATACTTGTCCTGGAAAGACCAACCTTGAAGCCATGTTGAAGAAGGATTGAAGAGATATGGAAGGCCCAGGGAGACAGGTCACCCTCCTGATTAACACTTTTCAACAGCTTAAGGTAAAATCCAGACTTCTGGCTGGGCATGGTGGTTCATGCCTGGAATCCCAGCCCTTTGGGAGGCCGAGGTGGGTGGATCACCTGAGGCCAGGAGTTCAAGACCAGCCTGGGCAACATGGTGAAACCCCATCTCTACTAAAAAAAAACCAAAAAAACAAAAAACAGCTGGGTGTGGTGGTGCATGCCTATAGTCCCAGCTACTCAGGAGGCTGAGGCAGGAGAATCACTTGAACCCGGGAGGTGGAGGTTGCAGGGAGCTGAGATGGCACCACTACACTCCAGCCTGGTGATGGAGCGACACTCTGTCTCAAAATAAATAAACAATAATAAAAGATCCAGACTTCTCATTGTTGCCCAGAAGGGCCCTGCCCACTTCTCCATGCCACCTGGTTCCACTTTTCCTCTCAGAGCAATATGGCAACCGAAGCCCCTCCAATATGGCGAGATCTTTTCACCTCAGGGCCTTGCATTTGTTTGCTGTTTCTCTTTCTTGGAGTGTTTGTCTTTGAGCTCTCTCTGCGAAACTTTCTTCTCAGTCTCAATTTTAATTTCCCCTTCTTCAAGCAAACAGTTATATTCTTCATATTGCTCTGATACATCATAAACATGGGATTCTTTTGTTTGATTATTGTCTTTCGTACCCACAAGCTTCATGAGGGAAGGACTCATTCCTATCTTATTCACCAACATGCCCCCAGAGCCTGAATGAGTGAATGACCCAAACAAGGACTAACATGAGCCTGAACTAAGGCGAGGAGGAGCCAGGAGCAGGGAGGAGGAGATGGAAGGGGTGTAGGCAGTGGGAATCGATACGGCTCGATGACTAATTGGCTGTGGGTGGTGAGAGAGAAGGAGTGACAATGACATTTCGGTTCCTAGCTTGAGTGACGGGGTGGAAGTTATGTCTTTATTATAGAGACAGGGAATGCAAGAGAGAGAAGTTTATGAGACAAAGTCAACAAGGCGAGTTTTAGGTATATTAGGTTTGGGGCATTTGGAGGTAGAAGACCAGCGTGCAATTCGATACAGGAATGTAGAGAGAAGTAGAAAGGCTCAAGCTGCAGACACATACTCAGGAGCTGTCCACATGCATGATGATTGCAGTCAAAGGAAAGACATCCATCAGAGGAAAATGGAAAGGGTATGGGTGCAAAGGAGAGGAGACATGAGTGCAGTTTCTTTCTGAGAATGCATCTCTCTGAGGGATAGAAGGGACATTGAGCTGCAGGGACCTGCCAGCCTTCCCCGTGCCTCCTAGGCGTGGTTTGCTCCCAGGCTGACTAGATGAGAACCCATCATGGCAGAGCTCAGAGAAGAGCATGTAGAAGGCCAAGTGGGAGACATCTGCCCTTGCCTGTCCTCTCTGAGAAAAAGACAAAGGGTTTCAGTCACCCTGGGACCAATTAAAGAATGATATCCAGGCCAAGTGCAGTGAGTCATACCTGTAATTCCAGCACTTTGGGAGGCTGAGGCAAGAAGATTACTTAATCCCAGAAGTTTGAGACCAGCCTGGGCAACATAGTGAGACCTCATCCCTACAAATATTTTAAAAAATTAGCTGGGCATGGTGGTATGCACCTGTGGTCCCAGCTACTCTGGAGGCTAGGTGGGAGGATTGCATGAGCCCAGGAGGTGGAGGCTGCAGTGAGCTGTGATTGCACCACTGCACTCCAGCCTGGGCAACGGAGTAAGACCCTGTCTCAAAAAACAAAACAAAATAAAACAAACAAACAAACGAACAAAAAAAAGAGTAAGACCCTGTCTCAAAAAAAAAAAAAAAAAAAAAAAAAGGCATGACGTGCACAACAGCTTTTAACCTGCTGCACTGAACATGGGGATATGTGGGCAGGAATTTTATCAATACAGTTGGTGCAGTTGAGACCAAGAACCACATCCTCAGTCCAAACAATACTGTCTCCTTTCAGAAGTCTACTCTCTGTAAGAGTACATTCATACAGGTCCACTTACAGAGTGCCCTATTTTACCTGCTTATTTAAATAAGGTGTATTTCAAATAACAATAGGTTTAACTCTTCAATGGAGAAAGGAGAATATAAATCATCATCATCATCTTCTAAAACAATACTACAATGAGCTTTTTTTCCTCCTAGTTTTTTCCCCCTGACCACAGGCTTTATAAAGCATAGTCAAAATCATATATATATATATATGGGCATATATATATACATATATATATATGGGCATATATATATACCCATATATATACATATATATGGGTATATATATACACATATATATACATATATATGGGTATATATATACACATATATATATGGGTATATATATACATATATATGGGTATATATATATACATATATATATATGGGTATATATATATACATATATATATGGGTATATATATATACATATATATGGGTATATATATATACATATATATGGGTATATATACATATATATGGGTATATATATATGGGTATATATATATACATATATATATGGGTATATATATATACATATATATATGGGTATATATACATATATATATATGGGTATATATATATACATATATATATGCATTTATGTGTGTGTGTGTATGAAATGTATCTTGTGGCCAGGCACAGTGGCTCACACCTGTAATCTCAGCACTTTGGGAGGCCGAGTGGATCATTTGAGTTCAGGAATTCGAGACCAGCCTGGCCAGTATGGTGAAACCCCACCTCTACTAAAAATACAAAAATTAGCCGGGCGTGGTTGCGGGAGCCTGTAGTCCCAGCTACTAGAGAGGCCGAGGCAGGAGAATGGCTTGAACCTGGGAGGCGGAGCTTGCAGTGAGCCGAGATCGCACCACTGCACTCCAGCCTAGGAAACAGAGCAAGACTGTCTTAAAAAATAATAATAAAATAAAATGTATCTTGCTTTTTAAAAAATAACCCATATGACAACATATAATTTTTCAAAATTATTTTACTTTTATTAATTATGGTACATCATAGTTGTACATATTTATGGGGTACATATGATGTTTTTTATTTTAGAGTTGGGGTCTTGCTATGTTGTCCAGGCTGGTCTCGAACTCCTGGTCTCAAGTGATCCTCTTCTTTCAGCCTCCCAAGTAGATAGGACTGCAAGTGAGAGGCACTGTGCCTGGCATCTTGCTTTTTTTGGCTAAACATTATCTTGTAAGCTGTTTTTTCCATACACCCTCAGCATTTTGATGATGGTATGATACTCTTTTCCCAATTGTTGAACATTTAGGCCATTTCTAATTGTTCTCTATTTTAAATATATATAATTATTTTAAAAATCATTGTCTATTAGTTTGCTAGGGCCACCATAACAAAGTACAACAGACCTAGGTGGCTTAGGCAACAGAAATTTTTTTTCTCACTGTCTGGAGGCTGGAAGTCCAAGATCAGGGTGGGAGCAGGGTTGGTTTCTGCCCAGGCCCCCTTCCTGGGCTTGCCATTGGTCACCTCCTTCCTGTGTCTGCACTGTCTTTCTTCCGTATTTGGGCATCCCTGGTGTTTCTTTATGTGTTCAAATTTCCTCTTCTTATATAAACACTACTCAGATTGAATTAGGGCCTATTTTAATAGACTCTGTTTAACTTAATCACCTCTATAAAGGCCCTACTTCCAAATACAGTCAATTTTGAGTTACTGGCGTTAGGGTTTTAACATGTGAATTAGGGGTTGGGGGGAGGCATAATTCAGTCCCATAACACATTATGTTCAATTTTTTCTCACTTGCATTTTAGATCATTTTCTTTGGATAGATTTCCAGAGTGGGAATCACTGGGCCAAATGATAAAAATATTTTAAGGCTCTTGAAAACTGCTTTTCCAAAGAATATAACAATTGGTTCCACAGCAGCCTGCTTAAATTAAAAAAAAAAAAAAGTAAATGGACTGGGTGCGGTGGCTCACACCTATAATCTCAGCACTTTTGGAGGCCCAGGAGGGCGGATCACTTGAGGTCAGGAGTTTGAGACCAGCCTGGCCAACATGGCGAAACCCTGTCTCTATTAAAAATATGAAAATTAGCTGGGTGTGGTGGCGGGTGCCTGTAATCCCAGCTACTTGGGAGGCTGAGACAGGGGAATCACTTGAACCTGGGAGGCGGAGGTTGCAGTGAGCTGAGATCACTGCACTCCAGCCTGGGCAACAGAGTGAGACTCCATCTCAAAAAACAAGCAAGCAAATAAACAAACAAAAAAACAAATAAAAAAAACAATTTTGTGAGCACTGCCTTCAGCAAGAAAAGGGCAAGGGGAAACAAAGTCATGAAAAGCTTGAACTGAATCTGTCCCAGGGCACCAAAAATTCTGCTTCCCATGGAGCTCTTGGAAATGTTTTTTTTTTTTTTTTTTCAGAGACAGGGTCTCACTCTGTCACCCAGGCTGGAATGCAGTGGTGCAATCATAGCTCACTGCAGCCTCCAATTCCTGGGCTCAAGTGATCCTCCACCTCACTCTCCCAAGAAGATGGGACTACAGGTGTAGAATCATGCCTGATTAATTTTGAAAATTTTTTGTAGGGTGGGAGTTTTGATCCATTGCCCAGGTTGGCCTCAAACTCCTGGGCTCAAGTGATCCTCCACCTCACTCTCCCAAGAAGATGGGACTACAGGTGTAGAATCATGCCTGATTAATTTTGAAAATTTTTTGTAGGGTAGGAGTTTTGATCCATTGCCCAGGTTGGCCTCAAACTCCTGGGTTCAAGCAATCCTCCCTTCGGGGCTGCACAAAACAGTGGGATTACAAGTGTGAGCTACCTTGCCTAGCTGTTGAAATGTATCTTTATTAAAAATCAAAATATAACCAGGAAACAGAAAGTGAGTATATGAACGGTGAAATTGTTACATATCCTATCTCATGCCATTCTTATTAGTTGACTATTGTCTTTTACTGAAAAGCAACTCATGCCAGAATCAACAAGAACTTTTGTTTTGTTTTGTTTTGTTTTGAAATGGAGTTTCGCTCTTGTTGCCCAGGCTGGAGTGCAATGGCGTGATCTCGGCTCACTGCAATGTCTGCCCCCCAGGTTCAAGTGATTCTCCTGCCTCAGCCTCCCAGGTAGCTGGGATTACAGGCGCCTGCCACCATGCCCGGCTAACTTTTGTATTTTTATTAGAGACGGAGTTTCATCATGTTGGCCAGGCTGGTCTTGAACTCCTGACCTCAGGTAATCCACCTGCCTTGGCCTCCCAAAAGTGTTAGAAGTGAGCCGCTGCGCCTGGCCTAACAAGAGCTTTAAGTATGGCAAACTTGTACCTTTGAGGTGTAAAATTAACTCAGCATGATAATTCCTGGCCATTACCTACCTCACAACTTCAAACAGTTTTTTCAAGAACTAGGCATGCAGAAATAAATGGTGGATTTCATTGAAACCTAAAGGCATTTTTGAATGACATTGTCACCAACCATTAATTGGTTCAGGACCTTTGCAATTTTTATTTAACTTGAGTTGTCTTTTTTTTACCATGCTTTTTTCAATGCATTGCTCAGTATTTTTTAAGTTTCATGAACGCATGCTCAATTCATTAGATTCCATGACTGTAATATTTTGATGCAGCATTTTGCAAATTAAGTTGCATTTTCAGAGCAGTTCTGTATGTTCTGTGATACCATCTTTTCAAAGAGAAACCTTTAAAACCTTAAAAACAAAAGAAAGAAAAACGAGGCCGGGTGCAGTAGCTCACACCTGTAATCCCAGCACTTTGGGAGGCCAAGGCGGGCAGATCACGAGGTCAGGAGATCGAGACCATCCTGACTAACACGGTGAAACTCCGTCTCTACTAAAAATACAAAACATTAGCCGGGCGTGGTGGCGGGCGCCTGTAGTCCCAGCTACTCGGGAGGCTGAGGCAGGAGAATGGCGTGAACTTGGGAGTCGGAGCTTGCAGTGAGCCGAGATCACACCACTGCACTCCAGCCTGGGCAACACAGAGAGACTCCATCGCAAAAAAAAAAAAAAAAAAAAAAAGAGAAAAAAGAAAAACAAAACTGCCCCAAACCATAGAAAACTCTTAGGTGTGCGGTCCTTTTTCTTGTTCTCATTTTTTTTCCCTTTCCTTTTTCTTGTCAATAACAAACATTTGCCAGAGTCTACAGATGCTAGCTAAGGAAGGGCTGAGATGGGGTGGAAATGGGTCGGAGGTGGGTGTCGGAGGGGACTGAGGGTGGGGTGGTTACATCTACAGATCTGGTGATATTTTGTCTTTTAATAAAGATGCATTTCAACAGCCAGGCAAGGTGGCTGCCACCTGTAATCTCACAGCTTTGGGCAGCCCAGGAGGGAGGACTGCAAACTCCCAGGAGTTTGAGGCCAGCATGGGCAACAGGCTTTTTCAGAAAGGAAAATCACCTGTCACCCAGAGGACCATGGAAGGGATCATGTGGGTGAGTTGGTGAGAAGGAAAATCACACACACACACACACACACACACACACACACACACACACACAGGGGGTGGGGTGGAGGAGAGAGAGGGAGAGAGAGACAGAGAGAGAGAGAGAAAGAGAGAGAGAGAGAGAGACTCACTGAACTTGGTAAGTTGTTAAAACTGTCTTTGAAACAGGAACTTGCCTTGGCTCCCCTGAACTGAAGAGTACAGATCTCGCCCTCCTCTTTCTCGCAATCACCTTGCCTTTTAAAGCTGTTGCTGGAGGTAGCTTCCCCTGGCTAGGGAGGAGCTGCTTTGTTGTTCAGAAAGAGTCGTTCTTCCAAAACCAGGAGTGGGGTAAGGGGAGGCTGCAGACCCTCAGGGGCTCCCTCGGGGGGTGCCTGGGGGGATCTCTGGGGGAGATCTTGTCGCTTTGGTTATCCTAAGAACCATATTTTGAGGTGGGGATTCGAACTCCCCTTATATTAAGAAGAAAAGTTGGGGGTAGGGTGCAGAAATTTTGCCAAATTACAGATGGAGCCACCTAGAACCAGAACAATTCCCAAAGGACGTCCTCCCACACCCGCAGGAAGGCCAAAAAAAGGCTTGAAATTCAAATTATTTTTGGTGCTTGGGAGATGAGAGGGAGTGAGAGAGGGCAGCAGCAGTGAATGGGAACTGAAGGGGGAAGAAAAAACAGAAGGCTTGGTCAGTATCATTCCGAAGAAACAGGTCAGGAGAGCACCAAGGACCCTCAGACATGTAGTTGGACTTGGAATACTTTTATTATGTGTCTACAGGGTAGACTGTAAAGGAGAATATTCACACATTTTACATAAATGTAGTTTTCGCTGTAAAGAAACTGCTGCTCTCCCTCCTCTTTTTTTTAGCCTCTGTTTCTGGGATGACAGGACAGAGGTGTCTATTTCTCTCTGCACCTCTCAAACCCCTTTCCTGACCCAAGTTTCCTCCAGGAGCCTTCTTCCCTTTATGAGCATTGGCAGTTTTGTTGTTTTGTCTGCTTACATTTTGCTTTGGGTAAGAAGGATGAAAAAAAGGTAGCAGGGTGGGATGGAAATGGAGCACCCTGTGAGAGGCGAGAAAGCAGTAAACTGATTTGAGAATTGGGCAGAGGGAAAGGGGAGAGACCCTTGTGGAAGAACTGTCTCGTTTATTTTTATTTATTTATTTTTTTGAGGCAGGGTCTCACTCTGTCGCCCAGGCTGGAGTGCGATGGTGTAATCTTGGCTCACTGCAACCTCCGCCTCCTGGGTTCATGCCATTCTCCTGCCTCAGGCCTCAAAATAGCTGGGACTACAGGTGTGAGCCACCATGCCCAGCTAATTTTTTGATCTTTTGTAGGGACGGGTTTTCACCATGTTGCCCAGGGTGGTTTCAAACTCCTGAGCTCAAGCAATCCACCTGCCTCGGCCTCCCAAAGTGTTGGGATTACAGGCGTGAGTCACCATGCCCGGCCTGCACATTTTTTAGGTATCAGTTTTTCTCATCTCTTTCATCTCTTCAAAAGAGTGACTTGGATTGCACAGGATTCCCAGGTAGATACTGGACACCCAGCTAAATTTGATTTTCGGACAAACAGCAAATGACTAAAAATCTGACATGAGGATTCTGTACATTTGAAGCAGTTCTTTTTTTTTTGAGATGGAGTTTCGCTCTTGCTCTTGTTGGCACGATCTCGGCTCACTGCAACCTCCACCTCTCGGGTTCAAGCAATTCTCCTGCCTCAGCCTCCCGAGTAGCTGGGATTACAGGCATGTGCCACCACACTCAGCTACTTTTGTATTTTTAGTAGAGACGGGGTTTCACAATGTTGGTCAGGCTGGTCTCAAACTCCTGACCTCAGGTAATCCACCCACCTTGGCCTTCCAAAGTGCTGGGATTACAGGCTTGAGCCACCGCGCCCGGCCCGAGGCAGTTCTTAAATCACCTCTACAGTGGTGTTTAAACAGTGGGTACCCAGAGGGCACGGTTTTAAGGGACTCAGTGTCTAGATCTCCCTGAGATGCAGTGAAGGCCAGTTCACACTGGCTTCTGCCTTCCCACCTCTCCTTTCCCAACAGCCTTCTCTCACTTCTAAAAACGGAAAGAAAGACATGGCGACATGGCCGTGGGTCGTAAAAACCTTCAGGGCCAAGACAAGGGACAGTGAGAAATATCCATGTTTGTGTTGAGACAGGAAAGCCTTTTCTAACTGAGATACAAATCCTTTCACAGGTTAAGCGGTTCCCAATTCATTGCTATCCATAAAATTTGGAAAAACCTAATTGAATTGTCCACGAACAGATCAATCATTAGAATTTTTTTTAAGAATAAACTTTATTGGCTGGGCACAGTGGCTCAAGCCTGTAATCCCAGTACTTTGGGAGGCTGAGGCGGGCGGATCACCTGAGGTCAGGGAGTTCAAGACCAGCCTGGCTAACATGGTGAAACCCCGTCTCTACAAAAATACAAAACTTAGCCAGGTGTGGTGGCGGGTGCCTGTAATCCCACCTACTTGGGAGGCCAAGACGGGAGAATTGCTTGAACCCGGGAGGCAGAGGTTGCAGTGAGCTGAGATCCCGCCACTGCACTCCAGCCTGGGCGACAGAGTGAGACTCTGTCTCAAAAACAAACAAACAAGCAAGCAAAACTTTATTTTGTAGGGCAGTTTTGGGATCACAGCACAATTGGGTGGAAACTAGAGAGTGTTCTCATTATACCCCCAACCCCACACATAAAAAGCCTCCCCACAGAATAATTTTTGAAGGAAGCTCTCTAACATAATTGAATGACATTACCAAATACGGCCCTGCTGAAAAACAGATCTCAGGTTCCCTGGCAAAAGTGGATTTAGTCATTCCAGGATCCCTCTTGAAACCATAAGCCTTTCTGGGTTATGTCCCAGTTTTCTTGCCTCTCTTCAGCCCTGGACATTGTCATAACAAAAGTCCTTGTAGCCTCATCTACGTATTAACGTGACCAAAGCTGCTCAGAGCTTACATTCGTAAAAATGAGAAATAGGGAAAGTATTAAGGCCAGGGGCGGCGGCTCACACCTGTAATCCCAGCACTTTGGGAGGACGAGGCAGGCCTCACTTGAGGCCAGGAGTTCCAGGCCAGCCTGGCCAACATGGTGAAACCTTGTCTCTACTAAAAATACAAAAATTAGCTGGGCGTGGTGGCAGGCACCTGTAATCCCAACTACTTAGGAAGCTGAGGCAGGAGAATCGCTTGAACCGGGGAGGCGGAGGTTGCAGTGAGCCGAGATTGTGCCACTGCATTCCAGCCTGGAAGACAGAGTGAGACTCCATCTCAAAAAAAAAAGAAAAAGAAATAGGGGAAGTATTGATGCTACATCCTGCTCATTATTGCAATAAGTAATATTAATTAATGAATATTTAACCTCATTACATATACTTGTTTACTGTAGATGTATGTATGTAAATATATAAACATACATATATTTAAAAATCCATCTCATCCATCTCATTAAGAGAATGATTTCTAATGCTATTTTACTGTTTTGTGTTTAACTATCAATAAACTATATTTTTATCTTGTTATTAATAATTGTAATGATGACTTAGTCTCAAAAACTATTTTAACACTTAGAGCCTTATGAACACAGGATGTTTTTTAACATTGTAAAATCAATTTACATATGCATTTTTGTTTCAGAAAATATGATAGGGCAATCAATAAAAGATGTTCAAGCATAAAAATAGCTGACATTTGGATACAATTCTTTAGAGAAAGTGGAATGAAAGTATAGTTCAAGGAAGAAAGGGGATGATTTAACATTTCTGGCTGTCAAAGAACCGCTTGTTCAATTTCAAAAATGAGTGACAGTGTCATATTACTATGGTACTTAGATTCTATTGGATACATTAAAAACAGTGATATGACAGTTTTATTTCAAAACATCCCATGCTAACAACTGCAGAATACATCCCTTGCGAACACTTAAAGCTACGATTAAAAGTTATAGATGTCAAACTTTAAAGTGTGTGAAGAGATGCATAGCATTTCAGCATTTTAGGGGTTGTAGGTAAGGAAAAGTTTGAAGGCTGTTGCTTTCTTTTTTTTTTTTTTTTTTTTGAGACGGAGTCTCGCTCTGTCACCCAGACTGGAGTGTAGTGGTGCAATCTGCCCACTGCAACCTCCGCCTCCTTGGTTCATGCGATTCTTCTGCCTCAGCCTCCCGAGTAGCTGGGATTACAGGCATCTGCCACCATGCCCGGCTAATTTTTTAATTTTTTTAGTAGAGACAGGGTTTCACCATGTTTCCCAGGCTTGTTTCAAACTCCTGATCCCAGGTGATCCGCCTGCCTTGGCCTCCCAAAGTGTTGGGAGTGCAGGTGTGAGCCACCGTGCCCAGCCGAAGGCTGTTGCTTTCTATCACCCTCTTACTAACATTCCTGTTCACAACGTAATACTTACATTTTCCCAATCCTTTACAACCTGGAACAACAGAAATGGTAGACATAATTGTCCCTACAATTTCAGAGGATTCCTAGTCTGAAATTCTTTGTACTGCACTATGCTGCCCTTCTACTCTGAACTGGGTAGTAGTTACAGGATCATAGTACAGTACAAGGACTTAAATTGGAGAAACCAGAAATAAATCAGCCCCCAGACCTCCTGGATGAACTATTTAAAGAATATGCAGTTACATTTCGGAGGCCCCAATTTGACTCATGGTGTACTCAGCAACACATAATTAGAAGCTGCATTCTAACAGACTTCTGCTGTAATGCTTGCTTCTGAACGTAATGCTTGCTACCATGATGTCATCTTCTGAATACAGGGGAAAGCCACGGCAGAATTTATGGCAACACATTGAAACTAACCAACCTTCATATGCACCTTGCTCTGCTCTGGAGAGAGACTTTCTCGAATACCAGGTGAGGTTCTGGTGGAGTTTCTCCAAGTGTTGAAACTTTCTTCTTAAGGAAGGTAGAAAAATGGATGGAAGCAACCAAATGCCCAAAGAGCAGAGGAAGTGCTCATGGGGGCAGCTATGTGAGAGGGATTGTAGCAGTTGAGGTGGGAGAGGAATGAAGCACTGCTCTTTAAGTCACAGCTAAAAACTGAATGTTAGCCCCCAACAATTTAAGGATTGCCAGCCTCAATGTGCAAAACTATGCTTAGTCTGTGGAGTTCATAAGTAGGGATGCCTCAGTTATCCAGGATCAAAAGGGATATATGTTCACCATAAGTTATATATATATATGTACACACACACACACATATTGAGATAGTGCCTCCTCTGCCACCCAGACTGGAGTGCAATGGCACGATCATGGCTCACTGCAGCCTTGACCTCCTGAACTCAGGTGTTTCTCCTGCCTCAGCCTTCTGAATAGCTGGGACTACAAGTGCACGCCATCACATCTGGATATATATATATGTGTGTATATATATATATATATATATATATATATATATATTTTTTTTTTTTTTTTTTTTTTTTTTGAGATGGAGTCTTGCTCTGTCACCCAGGCTGAAGTGCAGTGGCATGATCTTGGCTCACTGCAACCTTTGCCTCCTGGGTTCAAGGAATTCTCCTGCCTCAGCCTCCCAAGTAGCTGGGACTACAGGTGCACACCACTAGACTCGGCTAATTTTTTGTATTTTTAGTAGAGATGGAGTTTTGCCATGTTGGCCAGTCTGGTCTCAAACTCCTGGCCTCAAGTGATCCAGCTGCCTTGGCCTCCCAAAGTGCTGAGATCATAGGCTTGAGCCACTGCGCCTGTCTTTGGCTAATTTTTTTTATTTGTTGTAGAGATGGGGTTTTGCCACATTGCCCAGGCTGGTCTCAAACTCCTGGACTCAAGCGATCAGGCTGCCTCGGCCTCCTGAAGTGCTGGGATTACATGCATAAGCCACAGCTCCTGTCCTTAAGTGATTTTTTAAAAAAATAGATAACATCTATTCAAGCACAGAACACTCACAATAAATTGTTTGGCTTTAAAACTCTTTCTTGGCCAAGCGCAGTGGCTCATGCCTGTAATTCCAGCACTTTGGGAGGCCGAGGAGGGCAGATCACCTGAGGTCAGGAGTTCAAGACCAGCCTGACCAACATGGAGAAACCCCGTCTCTACTAAAAATACAAAATCAGCTGGGCGTGGTGGCGCATGCCTGTAATCCCAGCTACTCAGGAGGCTGAGGCAGGAGAATCGCTTGACCCAGGGAAGCGGAGCTTGCAGTGAGCCGAGATCGCGCCACTGCTCTCCAGTCTGGGTGACAGAGCAAGACTCTGTCTAAAAAAAAAAAAAAAAAGAAGTGGATATGATGGGAAGGAAGGAAGTATATGTGGCTATAAAAGAACAACACAGGGTTACTTGTGCTGATGGAAATGTTCTGTGTCTTGGCTCACTCAATGTCAAAATCCTGGTTGTGGCATCTCACTATGATTTACAAGAGGCTACCATTCAGGAAATGGGGGAAAGGCATGAACCACCATGCCCAGCACATACCCACTTCATAACCTTTGACACCCATGAATCTGTTCTCCATTTCTATACTTTTATCATTTCAAAATGTTCTATAAATGGAATCATACAGTATGTAACCTTTTGTTTGGCTTTTTTTGCTTGGCATGATTCTCTGAAGATTCATCCAGGTGGCTGTGTGTATCAACAGCTTGTTCCTTTTTATTGCTGAATAGTATTCCATGGTATGATGAACTAAACTTTGTCTGATATTCACCAGCAGAAAGACATCTGGGTTGATTCCAGTTTTTGGCTATTATAAGTAAAGCTGCTATAAGCATTCCTGTATAGGTTTTTGTGTGAATACCATAAGTCTTCATTTCTCTGGAATAAATGCCCAGAAGAGCAATTGCTGGGTCCTATGATAGTTGCATGTTTATTTTTATTTATTTAAATTTATATTTATTTATCTATTTTACAGATAAGATCTTGCTCTGTCACCCAGGCAGGAGTGCAGTGGTGTGATCATGGTTCACTGCAGCCTCAAACTCCTGAGCTTGAGGCTCAGGAGCAACCCTCCTCCCCCAGCCTCCTGGGTGGCTGGGACTACAGGCACATGTTGCTGCGTCTGGCAAATTTTTGTATTTTTCTTTGTAGAGACGGGGTTTTGCCATGCTGCCCAGGCTGGTCTGGAACTCCTGGACTCCGGTGATCTGCTTGCCTCAGCTTCTCAAAGTGCTGAGATTACAGGCGTGAGCCACTGCACCTGGCCTGTCACCCTTTTTCATTTTAGCCATGCTGGTATGTGTGTAGGTATATCTCATTGTGGTTTTTTCTCAATGTGGTACAGTATTTTTAATTTGTACACTTTTTCCAGGCTTTTTATTTGTAAAGTCTTATGAACATTAATTAAAAACATTTTTTATTAAGAAAAAGATACATAATGCACATGATGTAATATCTTAAGAATATAAAAGGGCATGAGAGAATCATTAAGGCTGCTCTTATCACCGCAGGGGTGAGCTCCACTGCCATCCCCCCACCAGGCCACCCCTCCTACTAGCAAAACCACGTAGCACTTTCCACCTAAAACAAAGGCACTGATCACAGTTCAACCACATCTTACTCCAAGATCATCCCCAGGAATGATGAAGATTGTCTTGAGCACATGTAACCTGTGGGAATGCTAGTTAACTTTTCAGCAATCCCATGTATGAGCATAGGAATGAACTGGATAAAACCATGCACTTGGCTGGTGTGGTGGCTCACGCCTGTAATCCCAGCACTTTGAGAGGCCAAGGCAGGCGGATCACGAGGTCAGGAGTTCAAGACCAGCCTGACCAACATGGTGAAACCCCGTCTTTACTAAAAATACAAAAATTAGCCTGGTGTGGTGGCGCACGCCTGTAGTCCCAGCTATTCAGGAAGCTGAGGCAGGAAAATCGTTTGAACCCAGGAGGCATAGGTTGCAGTGAGCTGAGATCACGCCATTGTACTCCAGCCTGGGTGACACAGTGAGACTCCGTCTCAAAAAAACAAAACAAAACAAAACAAAACCCATGCACTCCTCCACACCCTCTCACCCACTTCTCCAGTGGTTCTTCCATTCTCCTGAGATTTCTGATATGCTGAGGGCTAGGAAACCATACTCCCAGGGTTTCTGAAATTAGATATGCAATTGGAATCAATAATCAAACCTAAGAAAGGCTCCCAGAACTTTGGCTAGCAACTCAGAGGCCCTTCTCTTCTCACCTTATGAGTTCAGAGTTCTGTTCCAGAAACTGAAGTTGCCAGAAAGGTGACCATGTTCCTATATCTTCTTAGGGAGCTGGAACTATGACAACTTCAGACACTGAAGGGTGCATTTGGTCATTCAGGCAATTAAAACACCCACAGCATCATTAAGTATTAGGTGTAAGGATAAATTTAGTTTGTGATAGTTTAATTGCTAAATGAAGGAGTTAAACTGGACTGGCCTTAATTCTCCAGTCTGGTGCTACACTTAATTTTAATGTAGTTTGAAGGACATGTGGAGTCATCATACAAATTATGATGAAATTTGAAAGAAGATTCCTGAGCAACTTACCTATCTCCAGTGACTCATGCTGATTCACTAGGACTCAGAGTTCAAGCTGCTAACTACGTTTTGCATCTCTTTTCCAGTAGCAGGAGTTTTAATGTGAATGGACACAAAACTGGCCAAAATTTTTTGAAAAATATATCCACAGACTGGCATTTTCTTTCTTTCTTTTTTTGAGAGAGGGCCTCTCTATGGTCCTCCAGGCTAGGCGGGAGTGCAGTAGCACAGTCATCACTTACTGTAGCCTCAACCTCCTGAGCTCAAATGATCCTCCTACCTCAGCCTCCCAGGTAGCTAGGACTACATGCTCATGGTGCCATGCCTGGCACCATGTATTTTTAGTAGAGACAGAGTTTTACTATGTTGCCCAGGCTGATCTCGAACTCTTGGGATCAAGCAATTGCTTACCTTGGCCTCCCAAAGTGTTGGGGTTACAGGTGTGGGCCAGCATGCCCAGACATGGCAAGTATTTTCAAGTATTTTTTGAGGATGAAGTTAGTTCTGTGTTGTTTTTATTTATTTTTATTTTTATTTATTTTTATTTATTTATTTTCTTGTTTTGAGACAGAGTCTTGCTCTGTCGCCCAGACTGGAGTGCAGTAGCATGATCTGGGCTCACTGCAAACTTCACCTCCTGGGTTCAAGCAATTATCTGCCTCAGCCTCCTGAGTAGCTGGGATTAGAGGTGCCTGCCACCACACCTGGCTAATTTTTTGTATTTTTAGTAGAGATGGGGTTTCACCATCTTAGCCAGGCTGGTCTTGAACTCCTGACCTCATGATCTACCAACCTCAGCCTGAGCCACTGCGCCTGGCCAGTTCTATATTGTTTTTAAATCACAAAACATCTGTGAGATAGCTGAAGTACTTTCATGGTAAGAACTATTTATTTGTAAAACTTTTTTTTCTTGAATCATAAAATAATACATGCATATTAAAGAAAACTTAGAAAACCCAGAAAAACAGAAGATTTTAAAAATCACCTATAAGTCCACCACTAGGGTAATTACTGTTATCGTTTTTAGGTATATTCTTGCAAAACTGAATATTTAGTATTAAACACACACATACACAGACACACACACACACACACACATTGATTATCTCTGGTAAGAATAACAGTGTGTTTGAGAACATGGGTAGAAGAAATACTGCTTTTCAATGTTGTTATTTTGTACTTTTTTTTTTTTTTTTTGAGATGGAGTCTCGCCCTGTCACCCAGGCTGGAGTGCAATGGCGCCATCTCGGCTCAATGCAACCTCTGCCTTCCAGGTTCAAGCGATTCTCCTGCCTCAGCCTCCCAAGTAGCTGGGATTACAGGCGCCTGCCACCACGCCTGGCTAATTTTTTGTATCTTTAATAGAGATGAGATTTCACCATGTTGGCCAGGCTGGTCTCGAACTCCTGACCTCGTGATCCGCCCACCTTGGCCTCCCAATCTGCTGGGATTACAGGCGTGAGCCACCACGCCCAGCCCATTATTTTGTACTTTTAAAAAATAATTGGTAACTCCTTTGTATGTGAGAACACAAGAATTTAGAAGTCAAGCAGGGAAGCATCGACTTCATTCTTTTCTACTGTGTGATTCTGAGATGCTATTGTTCTCCTTAAAACCTAAATTTTCCATCTGTAAAGTGAGATGAAAAATCTCTAATTCCCTGAGAGTGGGGGAAAAGGAATATTTAATTCTTTTGAACTTTGTACTGTGTATATATATTGCCTATTAACAAAATAATAAAAGGACATAAGTCTACGTGTCCAAATATCCTTTTTGCTTTTCTTTGTTTTCTATGGTTTATAATAATCAGCTTGTATTGGGAATCACTGATGTAAAAGTCAACCCACTTCACTGACTACCATAGGCATCTCTTGGAATAAACTGGCTAGAGTTTATTCTTGCTAATAACTTTGACTATATTCACCCACAAGTATTTACTAAGAGTAGCCCCTGTGTGGCCTCAGTACTGAAGTAGTGAATTATTTAACTAGTCTATAGTGAATTATTTAACTAGTCTAAGCAAAAATAAAGTCAAACAGTGCTAAAACATGGTCATAGATCCAAAGTTAAGTACCTATTCATTCTCTCACTCTGAACTGGGAAGTCCCAGTTCTTCCCTCTAATTGCAGGGCATCACTGAGGATGCAGAATTCCGAGTGGTGCACTACACTTATTCAAACTGATGGGAAAACAATGCCATCAGCATGAATCAATAGGAATGGTGCTCTTGGCCAGGAGACTGTTATTTCTGGGGACGGCACGCACACTCATTTCTGAGGCTGAGAAATGACACTATTAGTGTTAGACTTAGCAGTACAACAATGCTTTCCAAACTTTTTTACTAGGAAATAACTTTAGCACCAGTAAGTATGTATGTATATGTGTGTATGTATATATATTTATATGTATATCTCCTGTTTATATTTTACAAGTCTGATTTTATAAACTTCCAGATGTTCCACCAGAGTTTTCTCTTTTTTGATTTTACCTTATTACTGTCCTTTACTGCTGTTCCTCTTACTCTATAAACAGAAATTTCCTAAGCTTCTTCCACTCCCCATTTTCCTACTCTCAAGGCTCTGAGAATTTGAGCTAAGAGACAACCTTAAGTATTGGGCAAAGGTCACTGAACTACCATTCAGAACCCAGGGATTCAGATCATGACTGGCTGTGTGATTCTGAGATGCTATTGCTCTCTTAAAACCTAAATTCTTCCATCTGTAAAATGAGATGAAAAATCTCTAATTCCCTGAGAGTGGGGGAAAAAGAATAGTTAATAATTTATCATGAAGTGTTAGCTCTTTGGGATAAAAGTTTCAAATGAAATACGAGGATTTAAATCCAAAGGTATGACACTGATTTTTCAAATTTAGCATTGTCAGCACTTAACCATGTTTCCTAAAAGCATGAATTCACTCAATCCCAAATGCCATGGTATGAGACAGTTATCTGTCATCACCACCTTCCCCATTTTATAGAAGCACAGAGAAGTCACTGGTCCCTGGCTATTCAGCTAATTAGTGACAGAGTCAGGAGTCAAAACTAGGTAGCTGGGTGCCAGAGTCTAGTTACTAGGCAGCCAGTAACTACGAAATCACAGCCAGTTAACTTCCAACTGTGTCCCTTCCTTGCTCAAAAGCCTTCAGTGGCTCTTGAAGCCTAATAATAAGTACAGACTCCTTAGCTTAGCAATAAAGACACTCCAGCTACCTTTCTTTCCTGTTTCATTCCCCATGAAAATCCTTCCTATGTCCTCCCGTGCTCCAGCTCAACTGTACCAGCCACACTTCCCTGAATAGATCCCATGTGGTCCTGCTCTGTGCTTTGCCTCTGATCATCTCTGTATCTGGAATCCACCTATTCTCACCTCCTCTTCACTTTTCTACATTTTAACCTTTCTTTCAAGGTCCTTGCAAGGGGCCATGTCCTTCATGCATTTTCCCCTGCCCTTCTCAACCACAGCTGGTTGATAATCTTCCCGGGGAATTTTATCTCTGCTCTCCTCTGCATGTATCAGTTTCTGTACATACTATGTTCCCTCCTTAGTAAGAGATGAGCTCCTCGAAGGCTGCAATATTATTTTCTTCCTCATGGAACTTTTAAATTTTATTAAAAATTTAAGCCATTCCTGTTCTTTTTTTAAAAAAAAAACCAAATGCATGCATGCTTGTTGCAAAAAAAGAACCCTCACAGAATACATCTCTTAGAAAGTGAAATCCACCATTATCACCCCTCTACCCCTGCCCTAAGAGAACTGTGGTTAACAGTTTGGAATGTATTCTTATAGAGCTTTTTCATGCAAAAAATTATTTACAGAAATGGAATTATACTACATGTAAAGCTCTGTACTTTTTTCACTTAAAATGTATAGTATTTTTCATATAGATATCTACCTCATTCTTTTTTTTTTTTTTTTTTTTTTTGAGACAGCGTCTGGTTCTGTTGCCCAGGCTGGAGTGTAGTGATGGAATCATAGTTCACTGCAACCTTGAACTCCTGGGCTCAAGTGATCCTCTTGCCTCAGCCTCCTGAGTAGCTGGGGCTACAGGTGTGCACCACCATGTCCAGCTAATTTTTAAAAATCGTTCCCAGAGACAGATCTCGCCATGTTGACCATGTTAGTCTGGAACTCCTGGGCTCAAGTGATTCTCCTGCTTTGACCTTTCAAACTGCTGGAATTATAGGCATGAGCCACCCCACCCAGCCCTCATTCTTTTCTAAGTGCAGCATAGCATAAGATTGTAGTGATGCACCTGTTCAATCCCTTCTTGATGCGCATGAAAGTGATTTCCAATTTTTACCATTATGACCAATGCTGCAGTGAATATAAATACATATGTGTGTGCATGTATTGCTATCTATATATCCATATAACTTTCTTTGGATAGGCAATTGCTAGGTGAAATGGAATGGAGATTCTAAATGATGATAAATATAGGAAGTGTCAGCGGTGGGAAGGAAGAGTCTTGTTTTATGCTTTTCTGCATCCTTCACAAGGCCTAACATTGCATCTACCAGTGTAGCTTGGTAGGTAAAAGACCAGGCTCTGGCCTCTGGCTGTCCAGGTTTGTATCAGGGCTTTATCTGTATGCCTTAGCCATCTCATCACCATAAAATAATGGCAGGGTCATTGTCATTATAAAGCTTAAATGAGATAATACATGCATAACAATTAGCAATTAGTAAGTACCTGGAAAACAAGTAAATGCAAGACATACAGAAGGAAAAATGGTAATGGGTTCAGATAATTGTTTGTTGAATGAATTGGACTGAATAAAACAATGGCAGTTTGAGCAATCATTCTAGAAATGGATGGTACAGAACTATTCATACTTTGCTATCAAAACCCATAGCAACTATTTATAAAATGACTGGCTAACATTAGAGGTGCAGTGTATAGCCCTGGAGCAATCCATCTCTGTGCAAAATGAACTGGCCTGAGCCAGAATCAAACCAATGACCTTGGCCTCTTTGGCCCCACACTTTCCCTAATAGAACTAACTGGCCCCAGCTGCAGCCTTATGTAATGGGTATCTATGAGGACAGAACAATAGTTCCCTGCAGGGTACACTGGCTCACCACTGGAGGTTGTTAGGTTATCTAGCTAACCAGCCATTAACATTGAAAATGAATAGAAAGTACATAAATAAATGCTTAGAGTAGTGCATAAGGTTTTCTGTTGAGATTCTTAGGTTCTAGGCCAGAAGTTTTCATCTTGGTGGCAAGGTTTCTATACCAATACTAGAAGATTCTAAGGTAGTCAACTCTGGGTTCTAGAACCAACTCTGCCACTAACTATTATAGCTTCAAAACCTTGAGCAAATTGTTGAGCTTTATTTTACCTTGGTACAACAAGGGGGCTGAAATAGCTCACATGAAACGTCCTTTTTTGACATTCCTTTCCCCACAGGTACAGTCACATTCTCAGACATCAGGGCTGTTTATTGCACTGAACAAAATTAAAGTATAAAATTAGGCAACAGCAATACTGTACTTTCAAAATGTGTCAATGAAGTGATGGCAAAAGTAAACATAAGAAGCTAGACACAGCCAGGTGCGGTGGCTCACGCCTGTAATCCCAGCACTTTGGGAGGCGGAGGCGGATGGATCACTTGAGGTCAGGAGTTCGATACCAGCCTGGCCAACGTGGTGAGACTCTGTCTCTACTAAAAATACAAAAATTAGCCGGGTGTGGTGGCGCAGGCCTGTAATCCTAGCTACTCGGGAGGCTGAGGCAGGAGAATCGCTTGAACCTGGGAGGCGG
The DNA here is from genome assembly GCF_000001405.40 of Homo sapiens. NCBI lineage: Eukaryota > Metazoa > Chordata > Mammalia > Primates > Hominidae > Homo > Homo sapiens. The sequence goes on from NC_000008.11 coordinate 38,897,949, forward strand.
AGGTTGCAGTGAGCCAAGATCATGCTGCTGCACTCTAGCTTGGGCAATAGAGTGAGACTCTGTCTCAAAAAAAAAAAAAAAAAAAAAAGCAGCAACAGCAGCTAGACACAGAAGGCCACATATATATGATTCCACTTATATGAAGTATCAAAAATAGGCAAATCTGTAGACTGGATGGAAAGCAAGTTAGTGGTGACCAGGGGCTGGGAGAAGAGAAGAATGGGAGGTGACTGCTTAATAGGTATGGCGTCAACTTTAGAAGCCATGAAAATCGGTTGGAACTAGACAGTGGTGAGAGTTGTACAACATTGTGAATTTACCGAATGCCACTACATATACACTTTAAAATGGTAAAATTTATGTCATGTATACTTTATCACAATAAAAAAGTGTCCCCCCAAAAAGAGAGAAAGGGATGGCAAAACATAGCAGGGCACAGACTCACTTGACGCCTGCTTCAAGGTGACATGAGAGGAGGGTGGGGGTGGGGGTCCCTCTGAGGAAGCCCTGGGAGATCCAGGAATAAGAGAGTGGACATTAGTGCAGGATTTGTCATCTAACTGGGGCCAGGTCCTGGCCAGGGACAAGTGTAGCAGTAAATGGGGCTCCAGTGAAGTATGAGCATCTCCCCGAGTGCACTGATGATGACCTTCCCTCAGCCCAACATGTTCCTGGCCTCCTCCCACTGGTGTCAAACTGTATCCATCTAAGTCCCATTTCAAAGCCCACTCCCTTCTTGAGCTCCCCCACCGTCCCCCCCCACCCCCCATCCCCCATTCAGAGACACATTTCCCTCTTTTTTATTTATTTTTTTTCTGAGACAGGTTCTCACTCTGTCACTCAGGTTGGAATGCAGTGGCATGATAATGGCTCACTGCAGCCTCAAAATCCTGGGTTCAAGTGACCCTCCCATTTCAACCTTTAGAGTAGCTGGGACCACAGGTGCATACCTGGCTAATTTAATATTTTTTATTTTTTGTAGAGATGAAGTTTCCCTAGTTGTCCAGGCTGGTCTTGAACTCCTGGACTCAAGGGATCCTCCTGCCTTGGTTTTCCAAAGTGCTGGGATTACAGGTCGTGAGCCACTGCCCCTGGCTATATCTTGTCCTTCTAAAAGTTGACAGCACTTACTCTCTGTGCCATTCCCAGGGCACAAGCCTGCTTCAGCCTTCTAGAGACACCTGTATTCTCTTGCCACCCAAGGCCTTCTGCTTCTCTTTGCCTCCCAGCATCCAAAACAGTAGTGCTCAGGAAATACTTGTGGCTCTGTGATGGAGTGACTCAGGCAGCCCCACGGGGAGTAGAGTTTTATGAGTTTAATATGAACCATACCCTGAAATCTGAGAAATTTACCTCATTGCTCATGCTGGAAACCCTCAGTTCCAGTCGGATTTGCTTGGAGCTGGATGGAATTGTGTTGCTTTTCATACTGAAAATGATCATCTAATTTTTAAATTTAAAAAACATTTACGTAGCACCTACTTCACGTTCGACAGGAATCTCAACACTTCACAAATGTTAACTCACTGACTTTTCCTAACAGAGGCATTGAGAAGTTAAGTAACTTGCCCAGGGGTCAAAGCCAGTAAACGGCAGAGCTGGGCTTCAAATCCAGGTTCCTTGCTTCCAGAGGAGATGCTCTTCAGTTTGTTCTGGTGCCTGAAACTTACAGATGAGTGGCAAAACCCTCCATGAACGGGGAAAAAAAAGACATTGATGTATTTATTTCAAGGGAAATGTGTGTGTGTGTGTGTGTGTGTGTGTGTGTGTGTGTGTGTGTGTGTGTTTTGCCCATCGTCCCCCTTTTCTTCCTCATTGAAAGCAAAATGCTCTAAAGCAAACAGTCTTTTTTCACACCTGAGACACCGGCGGTGTTCATTTTTGCTTTGGCAATCAAAATGGAAGAGGAAACTTGTGTGGTTTCATCACTGGTGCTTTCGGGGTGTGTGGGGCGGGCTGTCCTTCTCCCTCGGTCCTGGCTCATCGGCCCGAGCCCCCCTCCCCAGGCCTTGTGGCCTCCGGTCGGTCGTGGAGACATAAGAGGCCGCCTTTCCTCTGTTAACACCGGGAATGTGCCCCAGCCTCTCCCTCCTTCCTGCAAATCCAGTCCTTGTCCTGGAGAACCTCAGCGTCTTCTTATGCCTGCCTCTTTCAAAGCCTCGTAGGATTTACACCTGATTAACAACGTTTGCATTAGGATCGCCAGACACCGGCGCACGGCCCCGCAGGCCCGCGCGAATCTTCTACATTTTCATGTTTCGGATGTTGTCCACCTGACTTGATGCATATTCAAATGTCTCTCTCCCGACGTGGGAGGCCGGAGTCAGAACCTGACAGACCTGCCGTTTACTAACTGGGTACCCAGGGCAAATTACTTCACAAGTCTGAGTCTCGGTTTCCTCACCGTGAACCGGACTGGTACCCATAGGTTGCGGCGTGGATCAAATGAGATAGCGCAGGGGCGGGACCCGCGCACAGCAGCTCTCTTAGTTCCTCTTGGCGAGGTTTACGTAGTAACACATGCTTGTCTGTTTCCCATTTTTTCCCAGAGCACCCTCATGCTCTGGGGGCAGGAAGGGAGTCTTCGCATCACACCGAAAAAGTCCCAACGGGCACGGTGTAGGCGCCTGTGGTCCCAGCTACTCGGGAGGCTGGGGCAGAAGGATCGCTGGACCCAGGAGGTCGAGGCTGCAGTGAGCTATGACTGCGCCACCGCACTCCAGCCTGGGCGACAGAGCCAGACCCTGTCTTGATTAAAAAATAAAATAAAATAAAGAAATTAAAGTCCTTATAACCCTGGTTAGAGCGTTCCCGCCCACTGGTCTCTTAGGGCACATTTAGGACAACCTGAAGAAGCCACTCTTCTTGGGACCCTAACCCTTACCCCAACTCCTCGGTCCCCAAAGGCTAAGGGCTCGGGATCCGAAGGAGGCCCAGCTGAGGTCGCTGGGTGGGGCTCTGGGAGGAGGAAATGGGGTTCTTGAGGGAGCTCGCGCTCCAGCTCGCCTCCTCCTGCGAGGACGCCCCCTGCCCGGACACCTGCTGCCCGAGCGAGCGTCGGGGCCGGGCCTCCCCGCGGGGCAGTCTCGGCGCGCAGGTCCCACCTGCCAGGCGCGGAACGCGGGCGGCCTCGGGCGCAGCCTCCGGGCGCCCCGCCCCCGCCTCCCCCGCGCGGCCCCGGCGCCCGGCCGCACCCCCTCCCAGCCCGCGGCGCCCCGGCACCCCTCTCCCTCCCCGGCGGGCTCCGCGGAGCATTGTACTCACATCCGGGGCTGGGTTTTGCTTTAATGCGAAACGTAATTAACCCGGAAAAAAGAGCCGAGGGACGGGAGAGAAGGAGGGGGCACTGGGGGAGACCAGAGCGAGGGGAGCGAGAGGCGCGGAGAGTTTGGCAGGCAGACCCAGAAATCCCTGGAGCGCGGCGGACCCGGCGGCCGGAGGGGCGACCCCGCCCGATGTAACGCGCCCCGCCCGAGCCCCGGCCCCTGCACGGGGGGGTAAGTTGGGCGCCCTCGCGGGCTCGGGAGTGGAGAGGCGCAGAGGGGCGCGCGGGGGCTGGCGGGGCTGGGGGTGCAGGGGGCGCCCCGGCGGAGGCCTGGCGGCCTAGGGGCGCGAGGGGCGCGCGCGCAGGGCTGAATACGCCGGTCCTAGTGGCTGACAGGCGAGGGGAGGTGGCCGCAGACCCTGGAGGCCTCCTCCAACCCTCTGGGAGAGCCCCGAGGGCAGCCCCTCCTCCAAGTGCCCCGGGTGGCCAAGGTCGCCGCCGCCAGGGGTCGGGCTGCGGGGGGTGGGGCCGCGGAGAGGGTGGGGGCGGGAGTTCTGCTGAGCTGCATTTTCTCACGTTTGCAGCAGCGAAACTTCTCTGCGGGTTCTGGCGCTGGGGCACCGACCCCGCAACGACTGCCCGGGCTGCGGGAGGGGAGGAGAGCAGAGAACGTCCCCAGGCAAGTCCCTTGGGTACGGATTGGGCCATGGAGACTCCTCTTTCACTCCCCCGACTACCTTATTAAATGACAGGCCTAGAAGGCTCCCCTAGGGACTCCTGTCCTTTCCTCTGGGTGCAGCCTGGACTTCGGGCTTCTGGAACTCCAGACAGTGAAAAGGACTGCCCTAAAATGCAGGTTCGGTGCCAGGTTGGGTGAGCCCTCGAGGGGAGCTGTCGTTCTCTCTCTCACCAACTTCTTCCTCACCTTACACGCTTCCCTTTTCTCCTCCAGTCCTAAAGACGATTTCACCAAAATTTTTTTAAAAAGAAAGAGAAAAGAAGGGTGTGGGGGGGGGTGGTGGGAAGCTAGGCCGTTTAGAAGGGAAAAGTGTCCCTGCACGCCCAGAGAGGGGCGCAGGGCCCGCTGCGGCCGGAGCACCCTCACATCTCCTCCCCGGGGCCAGCCCTGCCCCCAGGCCCTAGCCTTAGGGTTTGGCTTCCTTCCTTCTTGGTGAACGCAGGTTCAGGATGTATCTTCCCCTTCTCATTCCTTCTTCCTGCCCGCCCCCTTTCTTTCTTTAGGGCTCCAAGTGGGGTTTTCAGAGGACAGTAAACGGCAGAGAAGAGGGAGGGGAGAGCACCCCACCAGAAAGCCAGCTGTGGCTCTGGGGGCTCTGAAGGCTGAGCTGTAGATGCACTTGGGGCTGAAGTCCCAAGATTGCACTAATGGTGTTCTTAATCTATCTGACCAAGTCCCATTTTCCCTTCTTTTGTCATTTTTTTTCTTTGGTTGCGAAGCCTTCCGAAACAGCAAAGCAAAAGATCTTGAAAGAATAGAAGTTTTTGCTTTCTATTTCAGTTGCATTCAGTTGACATGTATTATACATGCAAGGCAGTGATGAACAAAACACAACCCCTGTCTTTATTTTTTCTTTTTCCTTTACCTCTGGAGGGCTGGACCCTGTCTTTGGCGAGCTTACAGGACTTGTAAGCCCCCCACTTGTTTTGAGAAGCCAGAGTAAGCTTTTAGAAAGCATCATCATCATCTCAGACATTAGCCCTCTTCACCATGTGCCGCCTGAAGGCAGATGACTTTTGCACTATCAGAGGTCTAGCTTGTAGTCTAGATTATGGCCAGCCCAACGTATGACATGTACCAGGTGCTAAGTAAATGTTTATTGCATTAATGAATGAATGCAAACACATGAATTGTTTGCACTTGTCCAAATGGCAGAGAAAAGAGCAGTGTGGTTGTTCCTCAAACCTGTAGGGATTTGGTTCTCCAAGCTGGTACATGGGAGTTATTAGTCCGGATGTTGCCTTTACACCTAAGTATCCTTTGACCCTGTTTGTACATTACAGCATGCTTTCTACAAATTGTCTATGGCACTCCTAGTGGGGTTTTAGCTAGCTGGTAATGGGAGCCTTGCTCATTTCACAGATTGGTAATTACCTTGGTATTGATTGAGAAACTGCCTGCCCTTTGGTGAAGAGTTTTTGCAACCCTTTCTTTTTCCTTGTCATTGGTGCTTTCTTCTCTCTTCTGTGTTAAGGAAATAGGGCCTGCAGATCCCATCATGTCATGGTAGTGAGCTGAACCATATTCAGCTCGGTATTTTTGAGTGGTTAAAATAAATCTTGAAGACATGCAGGTTTTGGTTGGTGCAGGTTTTTGTTCTGCAGAAGTGGGAAGGGGAAGGCTGATGAGCCCTATCAGCTGAGCCCCAGAGCAGCCCTCCCACTACCTTGCCAAGTGTTTGCCGAAGTGCTAGGATACTAGGAAGACCCAAGCAGCGTTGGTCTCCTGTCCAATTCATGGGACAGATGGACAGGTGGGTGATGCCCCTGCTGAAAGGCTGGATGACTCAGATGAGAGCTTGCTGCAGACCACAGTGCATCAGAATATCTCTTCTGATTCACGGAAACTGCTGTGGCTCGACTTATTCCGGTTGTGATAGACCTAGGGCTTGGAAAAGAGGATCTGGGTGCTGGGACGTTGGGTTGCTCTGCCCCCTCTCTTTTTCCACCATGAACAGTTTGGGTTGCCTTACTTTCCGTTTTCCATCTGTCTCAGTGAGCTGGATGGGACTCCAGCAATCTAATCTGGTAGGCTTTGGAAAGGAAGGAAGGAAAGCAAATATTATAGTGTGTTGGCCTATGGGAAGAGAAGAACCCTGGCCCTGCCTGATATGAGCCCATTATTGAGATGGGGTATTGGACAGGCGGGGGAGATAGGGCAGCTGAGAGGTGGGAGGGATGCGGCCCCATCCTGTCAGTAGAGGAGGCCGGGGGTTGGTGTAGTGAGACCCTACTGTTCCTTCTGAAAGCCCCTTCCCTGCCCTGACCCCAGTTGACTGAAGTGATTTGTTATGCATTAAAGCCGGAATTGGGCTTTCTCACTGTGGAGGTCCCAGCCCTGCTGGGGCAGGGGCTCCTGATATTGCCCAGTGTGGGCAAAAGGCTTGGGGGCTTTGGCCCTGTGGTGTGCCTTTTGCCCACAGTGCCTGGTCAGCTGAGATGAAGAGGATGGGAAGCTGGGTCCTCTTGTCCTTATGCTCTTGAGAAGCACTGCAGTTAAAGTGCGAAGGCTGGGACTCAAATTTGGCTGGCCCCTTGCAAAGCAGCTCTCTGCTGGTATGATTGCCCATGGCTGGATCAAGAGGCAGCTTGCCTTGGAAACTGACGAGCATGTCTAGGTTTCTGTTAACTCTCAGGGTAGCCTGGCCAAGAAGGAGTCAGCACATTGCCTGGACTTTTTGTTTTAAACCTCCTGGAGAATTTTTAGAGATGTAAAATGTGGTGTTTCTTGGAGTAGAGGGAAGAGTGAGGGAAGCTGATGCCTTTCCTCGTGAGAGGAATCCCAGAGTCGCAGCTTTTTCATTGACATTTGCTCACTGGAGTTAGAGGGATGGAGGTGCGCATGCAGCAGCTGCCTGCCCAGTGTTAAGCAACTTTGCAGTAGTAATGATGACCATGTACTCCTTGTTAGGCACCCACACATGCAGTTTAACAACAACAATATTTACCCAATGTCTGGGTGTCCAGCACTTTTCACACATTATTTCATTTAATCCTCACAGCAGCCTTTGAAGTAGGTAAAGCAATTATCTCCATTTTGCAGATTAGGAAATAGACCCTGAAGACTTAAGCAACTTTTCTGCGTTTGAATCCAGGTCTGTCTGGCTCAAGACTCATGCTCTTTCCCTTCACTCCACTGCATGGATGGGATGGGTAACTGAAATCAGCACACCCTTTTGAATGGTCATCTTCTTGCAAAAGTTCCCTCAAAAATACTCATATTGGCTGGATGCCGTGGCTCATCTCTGTAATCCCAGGGCTTTGGGAGGCTGAGGTGGGGGGGATCACTTGAGGCTAAGAGTTTAAGACCAGCCTGGGGAACATAGCGAGACCCCATCTCTACAAAAAATTGAAAAATTAGCTAGCTGTAGTAGTGTGCGCCTGTAGTCCCAGCTACTCGGGAGGCTATAGCAGGAGGATTTTTTGAACTCAGGAGTTTGAGGTTATAGTGAGCTGTGATCGCACCACTGCACTCCAGCCTGGGCACCAGAGCGAGACCCTGCCTCTAAAAAAAAAAAATTTTTTTTAAATACTCATACTGATTATTGTCACCTGCACATCCTCCTTACCACACCCAGCCCCTCCTCCTTCCCTAAATCAAGAGACAGAAGCACATGTCTTTAGAGGAACAGAGCTAGGCCATTTACGCTCCCCCCTCACCACTCCCCTGCCCCACCCCCAGCACTTAGCAAAAGGCCAGTAGGTTGGAGAAATTATGTTTTTTGTGTTTTTGCTTTTTTTTTTTTTTTTTGAGACAGAGTCTCGCCCTGTCGCCCATGCTGGAGTGCAGTGGCGCTATCTCGGCTCACTGCAACCTCCACCTCACAGGTTCAAGCAATTTTCCTGCTTCAGCCTCCCAAGTAGCTGGGTCTACAGGCGCATGCCACCACGCCCAGCTAATTTTTTGTATTTTTAGCAGAGACAGGGTTTCACTGTGTTAGCCAGGATGGTCTCCATCTCCTGACCTCGTGATCCACCCACCTTGGACTCCCAAAGTGCTGGGATTTCAGGCGTGAGCCACTGTGCCCGGCCAGGAGAAATGGTGTTTTCTTTTCATTCTCTTAACTGCCCATGTATTAGTACCCTTTGGTTGACATCGTCCATTATAAAATGAAGATTAGAGTTCCAGGACTCGCAGCTGTTGTTAGGAAGCCCAATAGTGAAACCGAATTCATTGTGGGGAAACTTTCACAATTCTGAAAGTTGGAGATCTCAGCTTTTATAGGCTGTAAAGCCAGTATGGCTGCGTGCCTGCACTGGTGCCCTCTCTGGTGGAGATGGTCTGATGAGCCTTCAGCCCCGGGCAGGCTTTTGTTTCCTGCAGGCTCCAACAACCACATTTTCTTTGAATGTAGATGAGGCTGCTGTGAAGAGAGGTCATGAGTGTCTGAAATATTTTGTTGTTTTTGGCATCTTTATTGCAGTGGTATCAATTTCCAGTTACTCCTGCCTTACACCCCTCCCCCCATATTTTTTCAAAAATTCCTTCTTGAGTATCTCTTGCTCTCTACTCCAAGTTCTAGGGTCCAGTGGGGATTGGGCTATCTCAGGGTCAAGCCAGCACCCTGTCTGATCCGCCCCCCGCCATTCCTGTACATGTTTGCATTCCTCACCCTGCACTTCCTCTGGGAACTTGTTCTCAGTACGTTCCCTTCTCTCGCACTTTATTCTCCCGCCTTACACTATTTGGAATCTGCTATCATGACAGTTTCAAAATGCGGCCATGTTAGAGCAGTAGGAAGTGGAGGCTTCCACACTTCCTAAGTTATAATCTTTGACCCATTCTCAGGGATGTGTTCTCAAATAGCCATGCTTGCATTTTGCTGTTGTTTTTACTGGGTTTGTACATTGCGAAGGCTCTGGTTGGCTTCACAATATATCTTGATGTATGCTGCAAATCTGAACATATATGAACTCTGTTGACATGGTCCGTATGTATTCTAGCAACAGGTGAGTGACTGCTCCATATCTCTATACCTCAGTTCCTGTCTGCTGTATTTCATACAGTCCTCTTTGAGATCTCTGATGTTATTTCCCAAAAAACTTTCTCCTGTTACCCAGTTGAGCCATTTCTGGTTGGTAGAACCTCAGTCACTACTGAAGCTGCTGCCTGCAGCTTCTGCCCTGGTAGGGGTAACAGGACAGAAGATGTACGTACCACACGCCCCACTCCTTGTCAAAAAGCACCTTTTGAATATTTTCTGGAGCAAAATCCCAGAAATTCCTTGTCCTGCTAACACAGAATGTGAAAGAAACATCTCTAAATTTTAAAAATGAGTAATTTTTTTCTCATTTTTGAACTGAGGTTGTAGTAATTTTGTACTTCAGCCAATACCACTGAAGGCTTTATCTCTGTTATCACTTTCTCTTATTATTTATCTCAAAAATGCTAAAGTAGTCAGGCAGAGTCTCCCATATTTCCCTCTATTCTTTCCTCTGTCTCCAAATTATGTTAGCCATCTTCAAAATCAAGAGGGCTATTCAGAAAACCACAGCTCTCATTACTTAATACCTTTATAGCTTTTCTTTAAAATAAATCTATCTGGCTGGGCACAGTGGCTCATGCCTATAATCCCAGCACTTTGGGAGGCTGAGGCCAGAGGATCACTTGAGCCTAGGAGTTTGAGACCAGCCTGGGCAACCTACAAAAAATACAAAAATTAGCTGGGTATGGTGGTGCACGCCTGTAGTCCCAGCCACTCAGGAGGCTGAGGTGGGAGGATCGCATGAGCCCAGGAGGTGGAGGCTGCATTGAGCCATCATTGTGCCACTGTACTCCAGACTGGGAGACAGAGTGAGACCATATCTCAAAAAAAAAAAAAAATTAATCTATTCATCTTTTCACTCATCCAGCCAGCCACTTATTTTATGTATGTATGTATGTATGTATGTATGTATGTATGTATGTATGTATTTTTGAGACAGGGTTTCACTCCTGTCACCCAGGCTGGAGTGCAATGGTGTGAGACATTGGCTCAACTGCAACCTCCACCTCCTGGGCTCAAGAGATTCTCCTGCCCTAGCCTCCCCAATAGTTGTGACTATAGGTGCACACCACCTCACCTGACACTTATTTTAAAATGTCAGTCCTATCTCCCAAGTTTCAAGAAGGAAAACTCCACTGGGCGTTCCTGTCAGGGTCCCCATTTCCTTTTCCCAGAGCACTTTTCAAGGTACAGCTCATGTGTTGTAGGAATAGAGGAATAGCAGCATCGACTTGGGACTGAGTATTCTGTTGGCCCGAGGACCTGGGTGCTTCTTAAGACCAGAGAGCAAGGGACCACACCAGCAGGAGAAAGAGGGAAAGGCGCTCAGAGGATGTTGCCATACGAAGTAAGAAACCCAAACAGCTTGGAGGGTGCTAAAGCCCTCTGGGCAGGTAGATATCTGGCTCTTGGATGATTGTGAGATGTGAAACATTTATTTATTAGGTTTAGGTCTTTAAAACACCAAAAAGTTCCAAGAGAGCTATAATTTAGGGAAGGCCTTGTTTGTTTGTGGACTCTGGAGAATTGAGAAATTTATTATCAGATTCAAAACTTATACACTTGGGTGGGAATCTGTGTGGAATTAAATAGCTTTCTCTCCTGCTAAATAAAGTAACACATGCTCCCTGTAGAAGATTTGGAAAAATATGTACAAGTAAATGAAATTCCACTCATAGCCCGTAGATAATAACTTACTGTTTTGGTGACTATATATCTGGTTTTAAAACAGACCGTATATAGGAATATAAGAATAATATTTGGATGATTGAGATCATATTATGTACCATTTCATATCTTTTAAAAAACTTATGATGTGGTGAGTTTTCCCCTCATTCATTAAAAATAACCTGAAAACAGAGTTTTTGAATTATTGTGTAATATTTCCTTGTGAGTATGTCCTGTTGTTTATTTAATTATTTTCTGGGCCAGGCGCGGTGGCTCACGCCTGTAATCCCAGCACTTTGGGAGTCCAAGGTGGGTGGATCATGATGTCAGGAGATCGAGACCATCCTGGCCAACATGGTGAAACCCCATCTCTACTAAAAATACAAAAATCAGCTGGGCGTGGTGGTGCACGCCTGTAGTCCCAGCTACTCAGGAGGCTGAGGCAGGAGAATAGCTTGAACCTGGGAGGCGGAGGTTGCAGTGAGCCGAGATGGCGCCACTGCACTCCAACCTGGGCGACAGAGCGAGACTCTGTCTCAAAAAAAAAAAAAAGAATTATTTTCTAACCATTGTGTTGTTCAGGACATTACCAGTTGTTTGTTACTATAAATTCTATTGCAGTTGCCATCTTTTTACTTTAATCTTTCTTTGCATCTTTGTTGATTGACTTGGATGGAATCCTAGAAGTAGAATCACTGGGTCAAAGGGTATGAACATTTTTTGCTTTCTTGTTATATATATACAACTAAATTGCTTTCCAGAAAGGTTCATAGTCCTGTCCTGGGTGTATAAGAATCCTAGGAACATTTTTCAAGTAGACAACATCTGTTTTAAGCAGTGATCTTTCCCTTTCAGCCCCTCTATGCCTCTGTGTCCCATCTGGGCTATGTGCTATTTTCTCAGGGTCTGGGTCCCAGCTGTCTCTTGTATATTATGAGCCTTGCAAAGTTATCCATTGCCTCAGTTCCTCGGGGCAATTTTTTTCTTGGCTTGAATCTCCACTGGTGGAACCTAAGGCATGGGAATGGGCAGTAGAGAGATATTTGGGGCTGCAATACCTCCCAGTGCCCCCCATTTCATTCTCTGGCAGGCAGCCATTGACTTCCTTCTCATGAGCTGCTTCTAGTCAACTGGCAGGTGTCGGCCAGGAATCTCTCAGTTTAATTGCCATTTAACACACTTTCTGCCACTGATTAATGGGTGACTCCATGCAAACTCACTTTCTTTCCCCAAGTTTCACTTGTATCATAAATACTTATTTTCATTCGCAGTACATACTTAAGAACTTATATTCTACTTAGAAATCTGGATCATATAAAACTTCCCACTTTTTGTTTTTCTTTTCATTAAAATACTTTTTTTTTTTTTTTGAGATGGAGTCTCACTCTGTCACCCAGGCTGGAGTGCCATGGTGTGATCTCGGCTCACTGCAGCCTCCACTTCCAGGGCTCAAGTGATCCTCCTACCTCAGCCTCCTGAGTAGCTGGGACCACAGGCATGCACTACCATGCCCGGCTAATTTTTGTATTTTTGGTACAGATGAGGTTTTGCCATGTTGCCCAGGCTGGTCTCAAACTCTTGGGCTCAAGTGATCAGCCCGCCTTGGCCTCCCGAAGTGCTGGGATTACAGGCATGAGCCACCATGCCTAGCCTGAAATACAGTTTTTAGTTACTGGAATAATATGAGGCTACGTCTTGGTTTGGTTTGGTGTTTGTTTGTGAGAGACAGAGAAGAGAGGGAGAGAGAGAATGAAGGAGAGAGGGAGAGAAGGACAGGGAGGGAGACAGAAAGAGAGGAATTCTGTATGCACATACTTTTGATTTGCTTTTAATGAAGTTCAGGAAAGTAGATGAAATAGGAAACAAACATTTAAAAAACATTCAACCTCACTAGATGTCATTATGTATTTGAAACCACCAATAGTTTAAAATAATGAGAACATTCAATATATGTAAGATTATAGTGATGATAACAATATATTGCTGGTTGCAACATAGATAACATCTTTTTAGAAAACAATTTTGTAAAAGGACTCAAGAATTATGAAAGATCATAGCCTGTGATCTCATATTATTACTTGGAATTTATGCTCTTTCCATGTAAAAGAAGAAATAAAGCATGAAAATACAAATTTTAGCCTTATGTATAACAGTGAAAAATTGGATATAACCTTCAATTTAATTGTAGAGAAATGGTTATGTAAATTATAGTAAAACCAGTCCATTAATGTTATGCAACCATTAGAAACGATTATAAAGACTATGTAGCAACATGGAAAATGCTTATGACATCATCTTAAGTTTTAAAAAGGCCAATTATGTGGATAGGGACATGAAAAAGCATGCAAATGTGAAAATTGTTGGCTGGAGTGATTGTTAAAATAATTCCAGCATTGTTATATTATGATTTTTGCACTAAACCCAGAAAACACGAGGGAGGTTTGGCTAGGGAAGATAGGGTGCTGAGTGGGTTGGATAGAGGCCCCTTCTCTTACAAATACCCTGTGTGCTTTGTTAGCTGTGTGTTGTGAAGGCCAGGAAGCTACTTGCCAGATAGTTTCATTACGGTATGAGAGCAAAGGTGAAGGGACCATCTAGAGACAGGGGTATCTAGAGCTCTAACCCAGCATGAACACTTTCTTTTTTTTTTGAGAGGGAGTCTCACTCTGTCACCCAGGCTGGGGTGCAGTGGCATGATCTCGGCTCACTGCAACCTCCGCCTCCCAGGTTCAAGCAATTCTCCTGTCTTAGTCTCCCGAATAGCTGGGATTATAGGTGCGCACCACCATGCCTGGCTAATTTTTGTATTTTTAATGGAGACAGGGTTTCACCATGTTGGCCATGCTGGTTTTGAACTCCTGAACTCAAGTGATCCACCTGCTTCGGCCTCCCAAAGTGCTGGGTTTACAGGTGTGAGCCACCGTGCCAGGCCCCAGCATGAACGCTTTCCATGTTGTCCCAGGAGATGAGGGCTGGGTATTGTCAGGATGCCCACAGGCTTACCTGGGAACTCTTGAGATAAACCACCCTCGGTCACCCTCTACCCAATATTTTCACACTGGGGAACTCAGGACAAAATGAAATTTAAGGCTGGGTGTGGTGGCTCATGCCTATAATCCCAGTACTTTGGGAGGCTTGAGGCAGGAGGATTGCCTGGGTCTAAGAGTTTGAAAACAGCCTGGGCTATGTAGGGAGACCCCATCTCTACGAAGAATTAAAAAATTAGCCCTCCATGGTGGTGTGCACCTGTAGTCCCAGCTACTGGGGAGGCTAAGGCAGGAGGATGGCTTGAGCCCAGGAGTTGGAGGCTGCAGTAAGCTACGATTACACCACTGCACTCCAGCCTGGGCAACAGAGTGTGACCAGGTCTCTAAAAAATAAAAACATAAAATGAAATTTAAGGTAAGTGATTTTGGCTGGGCGTAGTGGCTCACGCCTATAATCCCAGCACTTGGGGAGGCTGAGGCTGGTGGTTCACCTGAGGTCAGGAGTTTGAGACCAGCCTGGCCAACATGGTGAAACCCCATCTCTACTAAAAATACAAAAATTAGCCGGATGTGGTGGCACACGCTGTAATCCCAGCTACTCTGGAGGCTGAGGCAGGAGAATGAATCACTTGAACCCAGTAGGTGGAGGTTGAAGTGTGCCGAGATGGCTCCACTGCACTCCAGCCTGGGCGACAAAAGCAAAACTCTGTCTCAAAAAACAAAACAAACAAACAAAAAACCAACCATGTAACTGGCAGAGTGTTGTGAGAGTTAGAAAAGACATTTTGAAGCTTTGCCTTGGTCTTGGCAGGGGATTTGGGGGTGATAGCATATATATGTACACCAAGTTGTTCCCCCATCTAAGTACCAATTACTACTGGCACTCCCCTTTCTCCCCTCACTGGCTCATTGCTAGAATAGTAGAAGCTAGGGATGAGCTGGCAAAGTTAACTTCCACACAGGCCTCTGTGAAGAAGAGGAAGAGCCAGAGAAGATTTGGAAGATTATGGTGACATGGCAGAGGAGGCGAGGACAGTGGATCTGGGGGCCTGGGGCAGCTCTGTGGACCCAATCTTAGCAACTGTTGAGACAAAGGATGTACAAATGGGATCAGAATGAACCATCAGAGGATTAGGGCTCAGGACCTGAGGTTCATGTTGTGTGCAGCATCTGAACGTGCCGCTGCTGCGTGGGTCAGCTAGTTAGAGCCACATTTCTGTGTGATGCTCTGTTCTCCTGCAGCCAGTCCTTCCCCCCACCTCCCACATTCCTGATGAGCTCTGTGACTCAGCTGCTTCTCGGGACGTCTGAGCAGCTGTTTTTTTCTAGGGATAGAAGCACAGTCAGGAGATGTAACCTGAATGCTTATCTTTCCCTTGGGTCCGTGAGGGCCCTCTCCCACCGTGAGGCCCCTGAAACAAAACTGGACTTTTAGAGGATTGTAGAAAGAGTGCCTTCTTTAGCCCCTGACTTCAGAAAAAGACAGGCATGACCAGGCATGGTGGCTCATGCCTGTAATCCCAGCACTTTGGGAGGCCGAGGCTGGTGGATCACCTGAGGTCAGGATTTCAAGACCAGCCTGGCCAACATGGCGAAAGCCCGTCTCTACTAAAAATACAAAAATTAGCTGGGTGTGGTGATGTGCACCTATAATCCCAGCTATTTGGGAGGCTGAGGCAGGACAATCGCTTGAACCTGGGAGGCGGAGGTTGCAGTGAGCCAAGATTGCCCTGCTGCACTCCAGCCTGGGTGACATAGCGAGACTCCATCTCAAAAAGGAAAAAAAAAAAAAAAAGAAAAAGGAAAGATGAATCCTGCAGGCTAAAAAGGGGAAATTTGAAAGCCAATGTTCAGCTGGACACCTTGCTTAGCGATTGAGCCCAGGACAGTTACCTTTGCTCTTCCACAGGAGCTTGTGTGTTTTCTCTGGGAGGTGCCTCAAGAGTAGCGATAGTCCTTGCAGCCCCTGCAAATCTGTCTGTGACTGGTTGGGCATCAAGGGAGTTTGCCTGGTTTTCTTGAGGGGCTGGCGATCACCAGCATCCTGACCAGGCAGCTCTGCACCCTTCCCGGAATGCTGACCCAGCCCTTCTGGTGGGACTCTTGTTCCTCCGTCATCCAGGGAGCTGAGGCTTCTTTCCAGGATATGCTCCCCCGCCCCCAGCCAGCGCCAGACCACTCCCCTTGCTGCCTTTGACCCAATGTCTGCTGGGAGACTTCACGTTCCTTCTGTGGCGTCTGTTCCTCATTACTGGCTTGTGCCCATCTCTCTCCTGTTTCTGAACTCAAACTTGCTCCATTGTGAAACTGGAGCTGGGGCGGAAGCTTTGTTGGAGGAGGCCCTGGGTCTGTCCGCAGGTGCCATAATGGAAGGGTTGCTGCTTTGGGCAGGGGTGTGCCTCCCCTGGCCCCTGCTGTGCTGCAACACATCCTTTTCTGCTGTGTTTCTGAAACCTCCTCTGTCCATGGTTGATCCTTCTCACCACCTCTTTTACTGCAGCTCCTCTGACTTCTTCCTTAGCTGTGCTGTTTCACCTCTGTCCTGTTTCTCGCCTGCTTTGCTCTTTGTCCCCTATCCTTTTGCACTGAGTAGCTGTGGGATTCCCCGACGCATCTCCCTGATGTTTGTGTCTCCAGTCCCCCTGACCTCACCTGGATCAAGGGATTCACCAGTCACTGGTATCCATATGTGTGTTTTGGGGGCATTTGTTCCTAGGGGCTGCCTCTCAGCACTGGCCCTTGTGGGGATGGGAGAGAACATGCCACACCACCAGTCGCCACCCTTACTATTAGCCTGATCTGAATCTGCCTGATGTCAGCCTGTGCTGTGGGAGGGTGTCTCCCTCTGGGCCTGCAGTACCGGGGCTGTTGGGTCTCTCTAGCTCACCTGCTGACCCAGCGTCCCGTTGTGGGGGATGGCCTGAGCCAGCCATCTCACAACTTTGTGTGGCTGTGGACAGAGGGCCTTCATGGGCTTGGGCCACCAGGAACTCCACTCTGTTGGAGCCTGTCAGGGCTCAGCAGTGGGTGGGGTCTGACCTTGAAAGTCTGAATGTCACGTGGTGCTTTGGGATCCCTTGTGGGACCCTTGTCCCACGTCAGCACTGGGTGTGCATTTGAATTGGGTGTCTCTGCTCATTGAAAGGGGCCAATCTTCGTTGGGGAGCAGGATAGAGCTCTCGCCCTTCCCTTTGGCTCTCAGAGAGGCCTAAGAAAATTGCAACAAGAGCAGAGGTTGGCTGGTTTGAAGGTGTGGCTCATCCCACATTACCAGAGAGACAGTTCCGGAGTCGGGGATAGTGCTCACGGGCTGGGACTTTCTTCTTTCTTCCTTCTTCTCCTTTTTCTTCTTTCTTCCTTTATTCCTCTTCTTCTGACAGGGTCTCACTCTGTCGTCCAGGCTAGAGTGGAGTGGTGCTCTCATGGTTCCCTGCAGCCCCAAATTCTTGAGCTCAAGCGATTCTCCTACCTCAGCCTCCTGAGTAGCTGGGACTACAGGCACGCCACCGTGCCTGGCTAATTTTTAAATTGTTTTGTGGAGACGAGGTCTCACTGTGTTGCGCACGTTGGTCTCAAACCCCTGGCCTCAAGCGATCCTCCCACCTCAGTCCCCCAAAGTGCTGGGATTACAGTTGTGAGCCACTGCACCCAGCCTGGGACTTTGTTCTGATTCCTCATTCTTTCCATTATAAAGGGTAACCGTATTAGGCTGCTCAGGCCATCATAAACAAGGACCACAGTTTGGATCGCTTAAACGGCAGAAGTTCATTTTCTCACCGATCTGGAGGCTGAAAGTCCAAGGGCAGGGTGTTAACAGGGTTGGTTTCTTCTGAGGGCCGTGAGAGAAAGATCTGTCCAGGGCCTGCGCCTCGGCTTCTGGATGGCTGTCACCTCCCTGTGTCTTCACAGGGTCTTTCCTCCTCTTACGGAGACATCAGTCATAGTGGATTAGGGCCCATGCCAATGACATCATGCTAACTCCGTCACCTCTTTAAAGACCCTGTCTCCAAATATAGCCACATTTTGAGGGCCTTAGGGTTAGTACTTCAACATATGAATTTTGAGAGGACATAATTCACCCCGTAACAATGACAGTGGAGTGATGTAAGATGCTGGGCCGGGGCTGTGACCCTACCTCAAGGCTCCAGAAACCCTTTGCATTTTAATCTTTTGGTATCTTCATGGAGCTGGAGAGGCTGTCCTTTGTGACTTAATTCCTGGCAGAATTTTAGAAAAATTTTTTATGTTTAATTTTTGTGCGTACGTAGTAGGTGTATATATTTATGGGGTACATGAGGCTTGCAGCACGTAACAGTCACTTCATGGAAGATGGGGTATTCATCCCCTTCAGCATTTATCCTTTGCGTTACAGACTGTTCAGTTATATTATTTTATTTTATTTTGACAGAGTTTTACTCTTGTTGCCCAGGCTGGAGTGCAATGGTGTGATCTCGTCTCACTATAACCTCCAGCTCCTGAGTTCAAGCGATTCTCCTACCTCAGCCTCCTGAGTAGCTGGGATTACAGGCATGCGCCACCACGACTGGCTAATTTTTTGTATTTTTAGTAGAGACGAGGTTTCACCATGTTGGCCAGGCTGGTCTCGAATTCCTGACCTCAGGTAATCCACCTGCCTCAGCCTCCCAAAGTGCTGGGATTACTGGCATGAGCCACCATGCCTGGCCTCTTTTAGTTATTTTAAAATGTGCAATTAAATTATTATTGACTATAGTTACCCTGTTGTACTATCAAATAGTAGGTCTTATTCACTCTTTCTAACTATTTTTTGTACCTATTAACCATCCCCATTTCCCCCCAGCCCCCCACTACCCTTCCCAGCCTCTGGTAACCACCCTTCTACTCTCTATCTCCATGAGTTCAATTGATTTGATTTTTAGATCCCATAAATGAGTGAGGACATGTGATGTCTGTCTTTCTGTGGCTCTCTTATTTCACACTTAACATAATGATCCCCAGTTCCATCCATGTTGTTGCAAATGACAGGATCTTACTCTTTTTTTATGGCTGAATAGTACTCCATTGTGTATATATGCCACATTTTCTTTATTCATTCATCTGTTGATGGCCACTTAAGTTGCTTCCAAATCTTGGCTATTGAGAACAGAGCTGCAACAAACATAGGAGTGCAGATATACCTCTTCAACAGACTGATTTCGTTTCTTTGGGTATATACCCAGCAGTGGGATTGCTGGATCATATGGTAGATCTATTTTTAGTTTTTTGAGGAATCTCCAAACTGTTCTCCATAGTGGTCATACTAATTTATATTCCCACCAATACCGTACAAGGGTTCCCTTTTCTCCACTTCCTCACCAGCATTTGTTGTTGCCTGTCTTTTGGATAAAAGCCATTTTCACGGGGGTGAGATGATATCTCATTGTAGTTTTGATTTGCATTTCTCTGGTGATCAATGATGTCGAGCACCTTTTCATGTGCCTGTTTGCCACTCGTATGTGTTTTCCTTGAGAAATGTCTGTTTAAATCTTTTGTCCATTTTAAATTTGGATTATGAGATTTTTTTTCCTATAAAGTTGTTTGAGCTCTTTATATATTCTGGTTATTAGTCCCTTGTCAGATGGGTAATTTGCCGATTTTTCTCCCATTCTGTGGGTTTTCTCTTCACTTTGTTGATTGTTTCCTTTGCTGTGCAGAAGCTTTTTAACTTGATGTGATCCCGCCTGTCCATGTTTGCTTTGGTTGCCTGTGCTTGTGGGGTATTGTTCAAGAGCCTGGCAGAATTTTATTCAGATGTTTGAATTGGAGCTTACATCCTTTCTGAGATCATTTCTTCCATGTATAAAATTGAGTTGCGAGCCACTTCACAAGGTTTTGTGCAGAGCAACGATAATAGCTACTGTTCAGGAAGTGCTTACTGTGTGCCTACCACTTAATTCTCAGCCCAAGCCTTATTATTAACCCCGTTTTACAGATGCAGAAGCTGAGGCACACGAAGGTTAAATAATTGGTGGTCATACAATTAACAAGTATCCAGAACTGGAATTTGAATGCAGGCCCCTGATCTAAAGTCTGGGCTTATCTCCTCTATGGATGTAAAGTGCCCAATGCTATCCTGGGCACATAGAGCCTTGGAAAAGTGAGTTGAATACGTGTGAATGGATTTTTAGGGGTGCTTAACATTGGGAGAGGTTTCCAGGGTCTGGGATGGAACATTTGGTGCCCCCACGGAAGGAAGCTGGTGAGAGTCTCAGCCCAGCTTCTGGAAAAGATTCCTGCAGGTCCTGAGGCAGAGCTGCTTCATCTTCCTTCTCATCAGCACCTCCCTCCTGCGCGCAGGGTGATGTGAGCAGAGCCCAGGAATGCCTTATGTGGATCGGCAGAACCGAATCTGTGGGTTTCTGGACATCGAGGAGCATGAGAACAGCGGCAAGTTTCTGCGGAGGTACTTCATTCTGGACACCCAGGCTAACTGCCTCCTCTGGTATATGGACAACCCCCAGGTGAGAGGGTCAGTGGGAAGGGGTGGGGCGACTGGGTGCCCATCACTGCGCCAGAGGAATGCACACAGGGTTAGCCTCCAGGCCTAGGCTCGTGAGCAACACAACCTGCTGATCAGCAGGGAGGGGACAACCCTACAACACACACAGACACACACACAAATGCACATTCACGTGCACACACACCACACACACCCCATACACACCACACACACGCACACACATGCACCTTATACACACACACCACACACACACTGTACAGACACGACACATACACACATGCACACACCATATACACACCACACAGACACACACACATACCCCCCATACACATACCACAGACACATACACACACCACACACACCATACACACACACAACCCATACACCATACACACATGCACACACGACACACACCATACACACAACCCATACACCAGACACACACCATACACACATGCACACACACCCCATATACACACACCACACACACATTATACACACACATGCACACACATGCACACACATCCCATACACACATACACAAGCCATACACACACACCACACACAGAGACACACATACACCATACACACACCCCCATACACACACACCCCCACGCACACCACACACACCACACACGCATGCACCTCATACACATGCAGACACATGCGCACACGCACACACCATACACACACATGCACACACACATATACACACAGACTACACACATACTATACACACCCATCCACACACACACAGAAAACCATCTCAGATCTTAGCTTGGAGAGAATGATGCTGTCCTGACCCTGGCATCTGGTGTCTGCTCTCACACGCAGACACCAGCCAGGATCTGCCAGTGAGATCCAAGTCCTGGATCCAGGCTCCAAGGCATGGCTTGCTTCCTGTTACTTCTCTCCAGGGCTGTGGCCTGTGGCTGCTCCTGCTCTTCCAGTCTGGGGGCCCCTCCCCAGCAGAGAATGTGACCTGGTTCCCTGAGCCGGACACATGTTGGACTTCTTTGGTCTCCTGACTCAGGAAGTCCTAGAATCCTGGATTGGAGGTGCCCTTGGAGGTCACCCAGTTTTGTTTCCTCATGGTCCAGATGAGAAGAGAGCCTCAGACACTGCACTGGATCTTGGCAAGGACATGGTCAGAATTAGGTGACTTGCTGAGCATCTTGTGGAGGTCAGGCACAAAGATGGGGGCCACCTACCTTTGACTGCTATGTCTAGGAGTCCCTGGAGTCATCACTGCTCTGGGAACAAGTTGCTTCACCCTGATTTGGGATCTCAAGGCTTTTCTTATTCTGGCCCTGAGTGCTGTTAGCTCTTTCCTTCCCCTACCCTTGAGTGATTTGGTGGAATGAGCCTGCAAACACTGACATGGCCTCTGAACAGCAAGGTCACAGGTCATGGCTGTGTTGGGATGAAGAAGGGTGTGGGATCTGGGATTTGGCTCTAGTTCCGAGGCTTGGGAAGAGGAAATTCTGAATGTCCCAGGGATGGAGTTATGCTTTAAGATGCAATGTGGAAAATGAGTTATGTGAATCTCTAGGTCACTGTCCAGGGACTAATCATCTAGTGATCTTGGGCATTTGTCTTCTAGATTTGATGACCAAGAGAAAAACAGCATAGATGCGGAAAACATACTCAGAAAGTCAGCTGCTGCTAATTGCCTTCTCTAGCAAGGATTAACCCTAAGTAGAACTGAGCCCCATGTTTCACCCTGCAGCCCTGATAAACCTGTTGCTTACTTTCATTTGAAGTGCCTAGTATTCAGAATGAACCCTTCCTAGGCACACTGTGACACCCTCAACTCAGCCTGGAATGCTGCCATTTGTCATGTAATGGGCCTGGTTTGCCTTCAGGCCCTGCGATATCATTTTCCTTTCCTTTGCTCTTTTCTTTTCTCTCTTTTTTTTTGAGACAGAGTCTTGCTCTGTCACCCAGGCTGGAGTGCAGTGGCATGATCTCGGCTCACTGCAACCTCTGCCTCCTGGATTTAAGTGATTCTCCTGCCTCAGCCTCCTCAGTAGCTGGGATTACTGGCATGTACCACCATGCCCGGCTAATTTTTGTTATTTATTTATTGATTTAGTTTTGAGACGGGGTCTCTCTCTGTTGCCCAGGCTAGAGTGCAGTGGCGCGATCTCGGCTCGCTGCAAGCTCTGCCTCCCGGGTTCACGCCATTCTCCTGCCTCAGCCTCCCGAGTAGTTGGGACTACAGGCACCCGCCACCACGCCCAGCTAATTTTTTGTATTTTTTTTTAGTAGAGACGGGGTTTCACTGTGTTAGCCAGGATGGTCTCAAGCTCCTGACCTCCTTATCTGCCCACCTTGGCCTCCCAAAGTGCTGGGATTACAGGCATGAGCCACTTTGTTACTTTTAGTAGAGACAAGGTTTTACCATGTTGGCCAGGCTGGTCTTGAACTCCTCACCTCAAGTGATCTGCCTGCTTTGGCCTCCCAAAGTGCTGGGATTACAGGCATGAGCCGTTGCACCTGGCCGTTTTTTTTTTTTTCAATTTGGGATCTTACTCCGTTGCCCAGGCTGGAGTGCAGTGATGCAATCATAGCTCAAACTCCTGGGCTCAAGTGATCCTCCCACCTCAGCCTCCCATGTAGCTGGGACTACAGGTGTGCGCCACCACACTGGGCTAATTATTTTTATTTTTTGTAGAGATGGAGGGTCTCACTTTGTTGACCAGGCTGGTCTCGAACTCCTGGTTTCTTTTTTTTTTTTCTTCTTTTGAGACAGAGTTTTGCTCTTGTTGCCCACGCTGGAGTGCAATGGCGCGATCTCAGCTCACTGCAACCTCTGCCTCCCGGGTTCAAGCGATTCTCCTGTCTCAGCCTCCCGAGTAGCTGGGATTACAGGCGTCAGCCACCACGCCCAGCTAATTTTTGTATTTTTAGTAGAGACGGGGTTTCATCATATTGGTCAGGCTGGTCTTGAACTCCTGACGTCAGGTGATCCACCGGCCTCGGCCTCCCAAAGTGCTGGGATTACAGGCATGAGCCACTGCGACTGGCCTGAACTCTTGGTTTCAAGCGATGCTTCTGCTTTGGCTGGAGTTAAATGTTTGTTGCCAGTAGACTTGGCTTTGGGCACACCAGAGATGAGCCCTGGGTGACTTATGGGTCTTCACGTTCCCTCTCCATTCTCCTCCTTTGTGTACTTCCTCCCACTCACCTGCTGTGTTAGTGCAAGTCATTCGAATGGATTTTTGTCTTGATTTACCTGCTTCACGCCATGCTTCCCCACTAGGGCTGTGCTTTACCCGAACTGACTTGCTTGGGGAATCCTGTCTGGCTGTTGCCAGCTGCCTCCCTGGAGAGTTGGATCTTTCTTCACACCCTGGGTCACAGACTGAGAGTTGTGCTGTCAGTGGCAGATCACCCAGGACCACAGTGGCACCATCTTGGAACTTGAATATTGACGGTTGTCAGGATTCCCCTCACTCTGATTTGTCACTGGGGCCCAGAACCTGTGCTAAGCCTGGACGCTGTGCCTCGGGCTGCCTTCTAAGCTCTCTGGGGTCAGCCTCTGCAGCAGGTTCCCCTGGCCCAGGGCAGGCTCTTACTCTTTCCTGCTAGCTGAGCTCTCAGGGTGTTTTGTGGTAGAACCTTCTTCAAGTTTGAATTACCAGGTAAAACTAACTAGTGGCCCACTGCTGGGGATTCTTTATGTTTTCCCAGGAAGCAGTAGAGCTCACCTGGCTTGGCATATTCTTGAAAAAAGAGAGTCTTGCTGTGATACAGAAATAATTCAGGACATTTTACTTCTTCAGTGGTTGGGTTAGTTCTTTGTTGTGTGAACAGCCAAACGGCCACTCCAGATTTAAGTGTGGATGTTTCAGTTAAGTTCTAAAATGGTATTAGTGAGCATTTATTACTGTGTGCCAAGCACACTTCATTGGGTTTTTATTTCATTCTGACAACAAGTTTAATTGGTAGTTATTATTGCCCTCATTCTGAAGATGAGGTGGGTGAGGCTGACAGGGGAAGAATTTGCCCGTGGTTACATAATAAAAAAGTAGCACAGCTGGGACTCTAACCCCGGCAGTCTAACTCTAGTGCCCCTGCCATTATTGCTGATAATGAGACAGGCGTCTAAGGGTGACTTGGAGGATGAAGAGCCTGCAAAGGTAGTTTCTGGTTAAGAAAGAGAAACCTGAGGACTCTCGGGGCTGGGAGGTCCTAGAAGGTAGGGCACTCGTGTGGCTTAGTTTTTTATCATAGTGTTTCCAGCATTTGATGAATATGTGTTCATTGAATGAAGGAATGAATGAGCCAGCTAAAGAGGGCCAGGGAAGGAAGTGGTCAGAAGTCAGGTCACTGGGGAATGTGGAGTGCCCAACATTGCTTTCCTGGGACTGGGGACAGGGCCAAAATGGAATGGAAGCTCTGCAGAGAGGGGCATCCTGGGGATTTTGGTCCATTCCTATGAAAAGAGGCATTGAGAACTGTGTGTGGTCGTTGAACATCTTTATTTGATAGGGACAAGGAGATGCCTGCTATGTTTTCTTAATTATTTAATAGGCAGTAATAAGCAGAAGATTTTTGGACCCAGGTCTCCGATCTTTGTGTGTTGAAGCCACCTGGTAGGTGGTGTTCACTGAGCCTGAATCTGTTACTGCTGCTGCTACTGCTGTTATTACTAACTGCAGCTTATACTTACTAAGTGGTTGCCATGTACCAGCTATGGTGTGAAATGCTTTTACATGTGTTACCCCATGGAACCTCTCCATAATCCTGGGGCCTAGGGTCTGTTGTTACTCTTTGCTCATGGTTGTGCAGGTGGTAAATGCAGCGCTGGAGCCAGGTCCATCGACTCAAGTGTGCAACCTCCTCTTTGTCTGCCTCCCTCCTCCCACTGACCTCTGTGCTCAGCCCGTGCAAGGTCTTGTAGATGATGTGGAAAATGAATTCGGTGAGGCCTTTGCCACCAGGAAGCTTCAGGGTTAGCTGGGGAGAGGAAAACAACACACACAAAACTATGGTGCTAATAATCCTGGCAAATCATTATAACAGGGTAGCATATCATTAGGTGCCAGTGCCAATGCCCGGATGCCAATATTTGGGTTGAAGGAGAAGCAGTTGCCATTTTCCTTTGCTGCCACCCATAAGGGAAAGATGTAGGGCTTGGAGGTGGAGTCTCATATGGAAAGTTCTCATGCTGCAGAGATAAGAGATCAAGGTTGCAATCTTGGCTCTGCCACTAAGTTGATTTACATCTTAGGCAAGTCACTTATCCTGTGGAGTATGGGCACTCTAGGTGATCCTTTCACCAGCACACCTGGCTAATTTTTGTAGTTTTAGTAGAGATGGGGTTTCACTATGTTGGTCAGCCTGGTCTTGAACTCCTGACCTCAAATGATCCCACTGCCTTGGCCTCCCAAAGTGCTGGGATTACAGGCATGAGCTACCGCGCCCAGCCTGTAGGTGATCCTTACGTGCCTTTTATCCTTTCATTTCCTGAGAATAGAAGGAGATCCTGGAGTTCAACAGCATTGTTAACACATATTTACTAAATTTGTTCAGCGTGCCAGATGCTGATCTAAATACTGTGGCTACTTCAGTGAACAAGACAGTCTTTGCCTTCATAGAGTTTACACTGTATTTGGGGAAACAGACAATTGGGGTGGGGAGAGCTGGGGGCCCCCCTTCATAGAGGAGGTGTCACTAGATCCAGATGTTGAAGGGTGTGTGAGGTTCATTTTTGCTATACATTATTTGTATTTGCAGAGCATTTTGTGGGTTTTCCACTTACTTTTTAAAATTTGTATTTATTTATTTTTTTAAGACAGAGTCTCACTCTGTTGCCGAGGATCCAGTGCAGTGGCGCGATCTCAGCTCACTGCAACCTCCGCCTCCCAGCTTAAAGAAATTCTCGTGCCTCAGCCTCCCAAGTAGCTGGGATTACAGGCCTGCACCACCATGCCCGGCTACTTTTTGTATTTTATTAGAGATGGGGGTGTCACCACGTTGGCTAGGCTGGTCTCGAACTCCTGACCTCAGGTGATCCACCCACCTCGGCATCCAAAGTGCTGGGTTACAGATGTGAGCCACTACGCCTGGCCCGGTTTTCACTTACAAGATGTCCTTTGATTGTTATACCTACTCTGCCCCAAGCAGAGATGAAGAGGAGGAGAAGGGCGTTCTGAGTTGGGGAAACAGCAGTCATTGTGGGGCAGAGGTGAGCTCGCCTGGTTGGAGGGGCATTTAGGGTCGTCAGGGTCCCCAGAAGAAGACCCTGAGACGAGGAGTCAGGCGCTGAGACAGGGAGTCAGGCGCGGAGGCAAGATCTGTCAGGAAGTTCTTTATTGAGGAAATGTTCCCGCGGGGACTGTGAAGAGAGCTGGGGAAGGAGGACAGGGAAGGGAGGAGGCCAGACAAGGGTGTGAACTCAGGTGGAGGTCTGAGCAAGGGATGGTTTCACTGTGGGCCTGCAGGAGCGCTGGGGTGAGTCATGCCTCAGCCTTGTCTCAGGGAGCTGGGCTTTCGTGTGCCTGCACCGGGCAGTCACTGGCTCCAGCTCTGCACATGTGGGCAGAATGGCTTCCAGCAGCCCAGAGGCAGTTCTCTGAAGCAGAGCTGTAGATGCAGGCCATGGAAGGCACAGCCAAATGGCAAAAAGAGATGGAGGGAATTTGGGAAGTCAGTGGCAACGTCTGCTAGATGGACATACGGTGGGGGTGTGTTGGGGATCAGAACACAGCGTGGGCCAGGCGCAGCCTTGAATGTCTGGCAGAATTTAGAATCAGTGTGGTTAAGTAATGAATCAAGGCTTCTCGTACAGGCAGTGGTGACTCTAAACTGATATAGAACAAAAACCCATTAGCTAAAAAGGACCTGTATAAATGGAAAGTCTCAGTATTATTGATTATGGACACTGATTTGGCTAATGCATTTAAAAATCAATATACTGACAATATCAAGCAAACTTTTTTTTAAATTATAGTAAGGATGTTCAGCATGAGATCTACCCTTTTAACAAATTTTTAAATGCATGATACCATATTGTTGACTGTAGGCACGATGTAATACAGCCAGTCTCCCTACTCTAGAACTTCTTCATCTTGCATGCAATCAAATAATTCTTGAACAGAAACAAATGCTGGCTTGATTTTCCTTAAAATGTTACTACAATATTATGGCACTAGCGCTTGTATTTTGATTTCACATTGGTTCCCGTCATGATAGAGGAGATGAAATTCCTTAGGGCCGCCCTACTCTAGTACAGCAATCTGCAGACTAACTATGTTTTAGTTGCAGAGAATTGCTTACATCCCCCACTTTCTAAAGTCCACTTGGCTAAGTAATTGCAAGACCAAATTATATGGCCCTGAACAAAGAGTAAACAGAAGCGTGAAACACAATATTGCACTAGATTGCTGGTCTTGTCAAATTTACTCTGTCAAATGTGTTTTTTCCTCTTTTTCCAAAAAATACGTAGTTGCTTTTACTTTCCAAAGGCCACGATATGACTCATGGATCATCAAATAACCAAAAAGATTGCATGGCTCTTAGTACTCCTGGGGTGCCAATGAAAGCCCTTTGCTTTTATTTAATTTTTTTAAATAAACTGAAAGCAGTTCTTTCCATTGATGGGGTGAAGAGCGTTAGCAGTGTTGGTAAGAAGATGGATATTTGGTGCATTTTAGTAGAAAGCATACAAAGTTATGGGAGGAGGTTATAATAACACATAATGTATAATGGACAATACTGTTGTCTTAAAGGCTACATGAAAATTGGTGTTTTTTTAAAAAAACGTGAAATTTTCCTAAGCAAATTTTGGCTGAAAGCCAGGAATAATTTTTGCATTGTATGCTTCAACCTGTCAGAATGCCAAGAACCAGGAAATAATGTTCTTTAAAAATTGGGCAATAGATGCACGTGGTGCAGAATTTGGAATGTAGGAATGCAGAGTTAGTGACAAATTTCTCCCTCCCACTTCTGTCCTCTCAGCAGGGGCAGCCAGTCTTGACAGTTTCTTGTGTCTGTCTGGAGATAATCTCTGCCTGAGAGACTATCTCTTAAGATCATGGTAACTTTCAGATCTTCAGCAAATTGTTTGGGCAAAGTGTCTTCAATTCATGGATTTTGTGTAATTGATATCTTAACTATCCATGTAGACTTGTGATTTCCAGGAGTCAGTGGAATATTTGATGTGCTTTTGTCTGTAGTGTGTTAGAGTAAGAACGCAGAATCCTTTGGTAAAAAAAAAATCCCAAAAGAAGATTATAAGTGACAAATCTGTACTTTTACCAAATGCAAATTTTGCTAAGGGTAAAAATATTATTAAAAAGTACTTTTTTTTTTTTTTTTTAGAGACAGGGTTCTTACTCCGTCTCCGAGACTGAAGTGTAGTGTGCAGTCAGAGCTCACTGCTGGATTTGACTGGGCCTGGTCAAAACATGCTTAGAATTAAAATTATATGTGGGCTTTTTGAGAGCTTAATGTAGAATTAGAAACTGCAATTTTGCTTTATGTGTTTTCTGTAGCCATCATATTTTTTAAACAAGTTGTATCTTTATAACAGGATGTACTTTGTCTAAATTAAAAAAAATTAAAAACTAAGCCGGGTGCGGTGGCTCACGCCTGTAATCCCAGTACTCTGGGAGGCCAAGGCAGGCGATCACCTGCGGTCAGGAGTTCAAGACCAGCCTGGCCAACATGGCGAAACCCTGTCTCTACTAAAAGTACAATAATTAGCAGGGCATGGTGGCAAGCTACTCAGGAGGCTGAGGCAGGAGAATCGCTTGAACCCGGGAGGCAGAGGTTGCAGTGAGCTGAGATCACGCCATTGCACTCTAGCCTGGGTAACAAGAGCGAGACTCCATCTCAAAAAAAACCAACCAACCAAACAAACAAACAAAAAACTAAGTAGCACATTGAAAGAATTGTGTTAAGAGTTAGCACTACTCAGTATTAAAGTCCAAGCAGCTAAACAGATAGAAGCTATGAAACTTAGCAGAGGTTAAATAACTATTGCAAAACCATAGTGATGACTATTCTAAGTTTTCTCAAAACTTCTCTTTGGTATGTTGTTGTTAGATTTTGCTTTACATTTTAACCTTCAACATTTGTTCAATGTATTTATTATATACATCTCTTTCTATATTTATAGATCTAGTTATATACCAAAGAATGGTATGACCAGACATGGTGGCTCATGTCTGTAATCCCAGGCCTGTGGGAGGATCACTTGAGGCCAGGAATTTGAGACCAGCCTGGGCAACATAGGAAGACCCCATCTCTACAAAAAATAAAATAAAATAAAGAAATTAGGCAATCGTGGTGGCATATGTCTGTAGTCCCAGGTACTTGGGACGCTGAGGTGGGAGAATCACTTGAGCTCAGGAGTTAGAGGCTGCAGTGAGCTGTGATCAGGACACTGTACTCCAGCCTGAGTTACAGAGCAAGACCCTGTCTCAAAAAAAGTCATTTTATTAATTTATTATCTAAATAGTGTCTCGAAGGCAAAGGAGGTTGGTTATTGCATGTTTGGGGGAGGGGTTCATATTAGATTTTGCTTCAGAGACCAGTTTTATTAGTTATATCAATTGAGCACAGGACAACATGATGAATATATTCATTAAGGAAACATCCATTTTTTGAGCCTCCTGTCCTCATCCACAGTATATGGTAATGATATCAATGATCTCCACCTGTGACATTGTTGCTGTGAAGAGTAAATAATGTATGTGAGAATGCTTTGATGAGCTCTAAAGTGCTACAGATGTTATCTGTTAAGAAAGTTTGTTCTGGCCAGGACATCGGGATGGATGGGGAGGTGGGGAGAGCTGGAGCTGGAGATGACGGCTGGGGATTTGTCACAGAGCTTCCTGATATGCCTGAGGTGGTGGGAATGGAGAGTGGGGGGGCAGGTTTAGAGGCTACATGAGGGAAGAATGTTTGAAAGTTTAGTACCTGGTTGACTGGGGAGAGGAGGTGGAATTACTGACAGAGGCTGGGGAGGGGAGAGGGAAACCGATTAGAAAGTGGAGGGGAAATGACATTGAGTTTGAGGCTGGATTGAAGAAAGGGCTGATGGAGTTGGCTTATTGAGTTTACAGCTTTAGAAACATTTAGGTGGCCAGCAGTCAGAGTTGGGACCCAAATGCCTCCGGGAGATTATCTGAAGCCCAGGCCTCTGACCTGGTCTTTTTTTTTTTTTTTTTTTTCTTTTTGAGATGGAGTCTCACTCACTCTGTCACCCAGGCTGGAGTGCAGTGGTGTGATCTTGGCTCACTGCAACCTCTGTCTCCTGGGTTCAAGCGATTCTCCTACCGCAGCCTCCCGGATACCTGGGATTAAAGGTGTGCGCCACCACACCCAGCTAATGTTTGTATTTTTAGTAGAGACAGGGTTTCACCATGTTGGCCAGGTTGGTCTTGAACTCCTGACCTCAAGTGATCCACCCGCCTTGGCCTCCCAAAGTGTTGAGATTACAGGCATGAATCACCGCGCCCGGCCCGACCTGGTCTTTAAGTCTCTGTCACCAGAGTTGGAAGACGGAAATAAAGGGAATGGGGGTGTGGCTGAGAGACTTAACACACAATGAAACTTATCCTGTCTAAAGCTGATACTGGTGTCTGTCAACAAGAAATCGACATCCAAGTAATAGAATAAAAACATTAAGCCCACGCAGCAGAGGATGATATAGAATCGACTTCTCCTGAAGGGAAAGATTAAATACACACTTTGAACTGGAGAATGGGGAGAGTAGCTATCAGCGTGTCGTGTGTCCCCGCGTTAGCATCAGCAAGTGGACCTACAGGGCAGAGGGGAGGAGAGGTGTTTGGCCCTAGAGCAGCAGGTAGAGCCACGGCCCAGGTCACCTGGTGCCTGGGATTCGCTTGGCTCCCCTGCTTTGGTTGCTCATGTCAGGGTGAGGGCTTTGGAATGTGGGGCAGCGGCAGCTATGCTCCTCCTTCCCAGTCCTGTCACACCGTTCTCCTACATTCAAATGTCTACTCTGAGCTATACCCCCTCTGCAGGCACATTCTTTTCTGTGAGTCTACATGGCCGTGGCTTTTGGTGGCTGAGCTATGGTTTTAGCTCACAGACAGCAATGTCAGCTCATGCCCTAGCTCTGGGATTACCAGGGGCGTCCCCTCCCTCCGTCTCCTGCTAGCTGCTTTTTACTGTCTGCTGGACACCCCAGGGGCCTGTAAGAGAAGGTCAGATGGCACCAGCATCTCTCCTTCCTTCCCCCTTTCTGCTCTGAATCTCTGGTCTATTGGAGTTTGGCACCCAAGAGCCAGTTGGACAAGTTCCTGCCCTGCCCAGCTTGGGCAATGACACTGGGCCTCTTTTGGTGTAACCCTGCTGGTCCTGCTTTTGTATTTACCTTTCATTGATAATCAGCTCTTAGATAATGTCTCATGGGAGATGGCAGGGCCTAAAGGAAAGTGCATGGGATTTGGGAATCAGGAAGGGTTGGGCTTGAATACTGGCTCCGCTGCTTGCTGCCTGTGTGACCCTGGGCAGGTTCCTTCACCTGCCCCATCCTTAGTTTCTTCATCTGTGAAATGGGATTGTTAGGATTAGGCGACCACATGTGAAGGTGCCTAGCAGCATGTCTGGCGCATCATAATTTCTAAATATATGTTAGTTTCCTTCTTTCTTTCTCAGGCTGTTACTTTGCCAAAGCACCAGATTGATGTTAGGAGTTTGAGCTCTGTCTTCATTTGACTCCCTAAGGAAGTCACTTCCCCCAGTTGAGCCTTAGAGGACTCATGTGTAGTGAATGAAGAGGTATGCACAGGACCTTTGAGTGCTGACATGCTGTGAGTTTATGGATCGATAGTTGGGTCTTCTGGTCATTTCTGTGTTCTTTGTGACTCTCACTGGAAGAGGCGGAAGGGAGTAGAAGTCACATGGGTAAAAATTTCTTCTTCAACAAGAAATACTGCTGTTGCTAGAAAAAGGATTAACGTGGGAGGTGTGCCACATCCCTGTATGGGCACCTCAGCTGCTTCCTTGGTGACGGAGAAGAATAAGCCATATATTTTCCCCCCTGGGGAGCTGGCTCCTTCAAGGACCTTAGTGGCAGAAGAGCTCTTGAGCAAAAAGGAAGGTACTGGCATTGTCTGCATAAAACCACCTATCTTTATTTATTTATTTATTTATTTATTTATTTTTGAGATGGAGTCTGGCTCTGTCACCCGGGCTGGAGTGCAGTGGCGCAATCTCGGCTCACTGCAACCTTCGCCTCCTGGGTTCAAGCAATTCTCGTGCCTCAGCCTCCCAAGTAGCTGGGATTACAGGCGCATGCCACTATGCCCGGCTAATTTTTTAATACTTTTAGTAGAGAAGGGGTTTCACCATGTTGGCCAGGCTGGTCTTGAATTCCTGACCTCAGGTGATCCCCCTGCCTCAGCCTCCCAAAGTGCTGGGATTACAGGCGTGAGCCACCACGCTCAGCCTAAAACCACCTATCTTTTAACAGGAACCTGCCCTGTGCCCTATGTGGTTCCACAAAATTTAGAAGTCCACCAAATGTACAGACCACTCCTGACTTGTAGACTTCCTCTCGTGGGATCGCTGCCAGCGAGGCACGGCACCCCACGGCATGGCATGGCATGGCACGGCATGGCACGGCATGACACGGGAATCTCCATTCCCTCTTCCTCTCTCTCTCCTACCTTTCCTCCTTCCTCTCTGTT
Source organism: Homo sapiens (assembly GCF_000001405.40). Lineage (NCBI taxonomy): Eukaryota > Metazoa > Chordata > Mammalia > Primates > Hominidae > Homo > Homo sapiens. The sequence continues at coordinate 38,930,744 of NC_000008.11, forward strand.
GGCTGCTGGTGCAGCAGCCAGGGTGACTCTGTGGGCTGCTGGCTGGCGTAGCCTTTTCTCTCACCAGCTGCTGTGTCTCTAGGGCAGACTCAGCAGGACCAGCTGGTGCCTACAGCCATGACCTCCAACCTGGAAGCACATGGAATCCCTTGGGAGCTCTGGAAACAGGCAGGTGCCTGGGTATCCCAGACGAGTTCAAACCCTGAGAATGAAGCATGCGTCTTAGTTTGTTTAGAAATCTCCCGAGGTGGCCAGGAGACATGGTGGCCCATGCCTGTAATTCCAGTACTTTGGGAGGCCAGGGCGGGCGGATCACCTGATGTCAGGAGTTTGAGATCAGCCTGGCCAATATGGTGAAACCCCATCTCTACTAAAAATACAGAAATTAGCCGGGTGTGGTGGTGCATGTCTGTAATCCCAGCTACTCAGGAGGCTGAGGCACGAGAATTGCTTGAACCCGGGAGGTGGAGGTTGCAGTGAGCCGAGATCATGCCACTGCATATCCAGCCTGGGCAACGGAGTCATCTCAAAATAAATAAATACATAAATAAAAGATACCTCCCGAGGTGATTCACATAAGCAGCCTTCCAGAACTTCATTCCCACCACCCACCGGCTCCACTTTGTATCTGCTCAGACGCCTTCATCTTGACGCTTCCAGTCCCTCTCCCTATGGCCCATTCCTCAACTCTGCCCCTACATTTTCCACCTCCTTTTCATTGGGGTTCAGTCCTTTCCTGCCTCTTCTACCCGATCCTGATTCCTGTCCCACAGAGGCCTTGCCTAGGTCTTGGGAGCTGCAAACTGAAGTGACCCCCAAGTTGGAACCTGGGAGATGTCACGAGAAAACGTTGTTTGCCGGTGGTGGGCAGAGCTGCATTGGTCTTCCAGTACTTTATGAACTCAGTGGGCTTGTATGGACTGGTTGGGAACTTCACCATCATGCAAATATTGTTTTCATTTAAAAATTAAGGAGTCCCCTCTGTAAAGCAGTAAGATCCTACTCATGACCTTCGTGTGCTTCCGTCCAGTAGGAAGAGACCTAAACTCTCAGAAAAACATACTCCGAGAACAGAGTCCAAGGCTAGATTTTGTCCTGTTGACCAGCTGTTCTTAAACTTGGGCCTGTTGAGGGATCGCGTGGGAGCATTTTAAAAATGTCCATGTTCTGACCACATTCCATTTAATTCTCATTCAGTGTTCTGGTGGGGGGAAGCTTGAGCGCGGGCTTTTTTTTAAAATCTCTTTTTTTCTTTTTAATAAATAGAGTCAGGGCCTCGCCCTGTTACTTAGGCTGGAGTGCAGTGACACGATCATAGCTCACTGCAGCCTCGAACTCCTGGGCTCAAGTGATCTTCCCACCTCAGCTTCCCACATACCTGGGACTACAAATGTGCACCACTACACCCAGCTAATTTCTTTATTTTACTTTTTGTAGAGACAGAGTCTTGCTGTGTTGCCCAGGCTGGTCTTGAACCCCTGGCCTCAAGCGATCCTCCCACCTCAGCCTCCCCAGGTGTTGGGATTACAGGTGTGCGCCACTGCACCTGGTCATTCTTGGGGTTTTTAAAACAAGCTCTCCAGGAGATTCTGGTGTGCACCAAAGTTGGAGAAGGATTTGTGTGCCTAAATCCAGAGAGAGGGGAGGTCAGGGCAGGCTGGAGTCGGTTCAGGCTTCAGGGAAGAGAGTCCTGAGTTTGTCCTTTTCCTAGAGGAGTCTGAGCTATGGCCAGGGAAGAGGGGGGACAGCTTGGGTGGGCTCCCCTCCCCAGCTCTGATCCCTTGCCGCTACCTAGGTGCTGTTTCTTGGCCTTCCTGCCCTGACACCTGGCTAACCAGGCCCTCAGCTCAGGCATCCCCACTCTGTCTTCCTTGATCAGAAAGCACCTTCCTAGGGCTGCCGATGTGTCACCCTGGCAGTCAGCTGTCACCGTTCATCTTCTAGGTCCAGTCACTGGAGTGGACCCTGAGCGTCACTTTGGATCAAGCCTCAAGGATCCTGGGGCTGTTTTCTCCCATGTCTCCCATTTCCCCTGGATGGGGAGGAAGGTGGGAGGGAGGAAGGCAGCATCAGACACGCGTCATATTTTCCTGGCTTCTCCTGGTGGAGAGGACGTACAGTTGAGCCCAGGAGCAGACTGTGGGTGGGGTGTGGGTGAAGGGGTGAGGACCCCTGCCCTTACCCCTGGGGTCCCTGGGCCTGGAGAGTGGCTGCGGCATCTTTCTCTCTGAACAGGGAGAGCTGCCAGGGAGGCCAGGACAGAGGGTGGAGCAGCCCTTGAGGGGCAGAGGGGATGAAGTAGTTGAAACCTGATCAGCTCATAGTTGTTTTTCCATGTGGGTTAGTGTCCGAATGGTTCCCCAAATCCCACTTCATCACTCATAATTCAGGCTAGAGCTCCGGAGGCTGCTGGGCTGTGGTTTGGGGTGAGGAGAGTGTGTTGTGCAACAGCGGCCCTGAGATTTGGCATTTGCATCTTGTAATTAGTGCTGTGGGAGGGGGATCGGGACTCCAATAGGAGGGGTTGGGCCCTCTCGTGTCTTTCCATGGAATTCTCCCCACCACCCTATGAAACAGGGTTTAGCATCTCTGTTTTATAGGTAAAGAGACTTGCCTGTGGTTACAGAGCATTAATGTCACAGCTAGAATTCCAACAGCTCAAGCTTTTAAAATTACCCCATGCCACTTGCAGGGCACTGCATTGAAAGTCAGCTTTGGTTTAGGCTCTGCCACCAATTATGTGACCTTGGACAAATCCCCTCACTCACAAGCCCACTTTCCTAAACTGCAAAATGAGGTCAGGGGTGGTGGACCCTTAGTCCTCAGCAGAGTCCTGCAGTTCCTGTGTCCCTGGAGCCCGTTGGTCTCCCTCTGTAAGTCTGACCTTGGGCAGCACGGTGTCTTTGCCCAGAGCGGTTCTCATTCCCTTCTAAGGCAGTGTCTGTCACTCATGCCTTTTGGGAGCTGGGGCTCCTATGTGGACTCTGATTTAAGGGCTATAAGGCCTGTCTCTTCCTACCCAATAGAGGTTTCCTAAAAAAAAAAAAAAAAGAAAAGAAAGAAAAGCAGTCGCTATGTGGTTGAAAAAAAATGTGTAAATAGAAGTGTAAATCAGATTATCCACAGTTCATATACAAATCTGGCTGTAAGAGGCAGCTCCTTAGCTTACTGCCTCATTCGCAAAGGGAAGAACGTGAGTGCAGAGTCTTTTCTAGGTCCCCCACTCTAAGATTCTTGGGTTCTGAGAATACCTTTTTTGGTAGTATTATCCCCGTCCATTTTCTTGCTTGAATTTGCTTCAAGCGATGTATGTTAATTTAGATAGGTGGGGTTAGAAGGACTCTTCCCTAACACCCTGAGGAGACATTTACAGAAAAGAAAAAGAAGAAGAGGTAGAAGAAGAAGAAGAAGAAAATATATATATATATAATGTTTTTATAGAGACGGCGTTTCACTATGTTGGCCAGGGTGGTCCCAGAGTCCTGGTCTCAAGCAGTCCCAGCCTCCCAAAGTGCTGAGATTACAGGTGTGAGCCACCACGCCTGGTCCACCAGAGACACTTCTTAAGGCTATCTCCTGATAGATCATTTCACTGATAATTCTTAGGTAAATTTCCTAAATTCCTTTATCCGAGATTCATCTCCTTTTATTGCTTTGAGAGGACCCCAGGTAATGGGGGCTTCAGAGATTTTTTTTTTTCTTTTTTGAGATGGAGTCTCTCTCTTCCAGAGATTTTTCTTGGAGGCTTTTGGCAACAATTTAAGAGGTCAGCAGGAGCTATGGACAGAGTCTCAGATTCACAGGGGGATGGTCTGCATTCGAAGCCCCAGGGCTGTGATTTCTAACCTTGACCGTGACTCTGGCATGGGACTGCCTTGGGTTTTCACTGCTTCATCCCTGCCAGTGGGGACATTAGAAAGCCAAAGATGGTGTGCCAGGGTAGAGCACAGTGCCAGACCTGGTGCCTGTGAGTCTCCTGCTGTCGTGATAGTGCATTCACTTCATGTTTTATACTGTACAGACATCTTTCCTTTGCTACTCATAACAGCCCTATGAGATGGGCTGAACAGATGTATATATATATATATTTTTATTTCTATATTGCGTGAGTTTGTATCCTATGTATTATAAAAAAAAAATTGAACTGGCATAAAACAGGACAGAGTCAGTGAGATCTCAGGGCACTCACAAAAACTATAACAGCTCACACTTGCTGAGAGTCTTCTACATACCAGGGACAATTAATTCCAAGTGCTCTTAAATGTATTTATTTATTTTTTATTTTTGGGGGATGGAGTCTTGCTCTGTCACCCAGGCTGGAGTGCAGTGGTGAGATCTTGGCTTACTGCAACCTCCACCTCCCAGGTTCAAGCGATTCTCCTGCCTCAGCTTCCCAAGTAGGTGGGACTACAAGTGTGAGCCACCAAGCCCGGCTCTATATTTTTAGCAGAGATGGGGTTTTGCCATGTTGTCCAGGCTGGTCTCGAACTCCTGACTTGAGGTGATCCTCCCGCCTCAGCCTTCCAAAGTGCTGGGATTACAGACGTGAGCCACTGTGCCTGGCCTTCTTAAATGTATTAACTCATTTTTACAGCTTTCTTATGAGGTAGGTGCTATTATCCCTATTTTACAGAAGGAAAAACTAAGGATCGGTGGTTAAGGAACTTGTTCACAGTGGAGCTTACACTTTTTTTTTTTTTTTTAAGAGATAGGGTCTTGCTGTGTTGTGCAGTGGCATGAACACAGCTTACCGCAGCCTCTATCTCCTGGGCTCCAGCAGTCCTGCCAACTCAGCCTTCCATGGAGGTGGGACTGCAAGTGTGAGCCTCCATACCCAGCTAATTTTTAAAATTTTTGTAGAGATGGGGTCTTGATATGTTATCCAGGCTGGTCTCAAACTCCTGGCCTCAAGTGATCTTCCCACCTTGGCCTTCCAAAGTACTGGGATTACAGGCATGAACCAGTATGCCCAGCCTGAGCACACACTTTTACCACTGTACTAGAATATTTCTTTATAATAGATAAGGCTTGGGGGTAATGTTAATGTCACAGGTTTCTATCAGGAATCCTGAATCATTATCCAGGAATTATCATCACTGTTTCACAGGTGAGGAATGCAAGTTAAAGAATGGTTGAGTAACTTGCTCAGTGTTGCCAGGAAAGTGGCATAAACAGAGCTAGAATCTTGGTCTTCTGTCTCTTGGTGCTGTTTCCACAGCCTTCTTAAAATGAAAACTATGTGTCTTTCAGAATCTGGCAATGGGGGCAGGAGCTGTTGGAGCTTTGCAGCTGACCTACATCTCGAAGGTAATGTTGACCTGGAACTCTGGGAATTCATGCTCTGTAAGTCGATCTGGTTTCTAAGCAAGGGGAAGTGTCCAGTCCTTTGGGCATTAGTATTTAGGGACGTTGCATGGTGTTGAAATGCTCCCCTGAACCCACACAATGCCTGTGGAGGCTTAGCTGCTAATGGGTGGCTGTAGAGGTATGTGGTTCCAAGTTGTTGGAGGGTGGACCTACAGCCTCTTACTCCTTGAACACATCAATCCATAATGCTCCCAGCTCCTGCGCAGGAGGTGTTATGTGGTGGTGGAGCTGGGGTAGGGGTAGTACATGATCCATGACCTTTTTTTGTAATTGGGACGAAAGGGAACACGAAAACAATCACCAAAAATCCAGCAACTGTGAAGGATTCTCTCAAAGGGTACAGTCAAACAAAAAATATTGGGGCTTCACTGGATTTTTTACCAGTCACCTGGACAGGATTACTGTGGAGGGAAGGCTAAGAAGGCCCTGAGAAGCCACTCAGATTACCAAGAAGACATTCAGCAGCCAGATAACTGCTGGGGGTTGGGGCAGGTGGCTGCGAGGCCACCCCCGTCCCATTTGTACAGAAGGGGCCGGAGCAGGCCCTCTCTTGTGCTGAGAGCTGGGGTGGGGACTGGTTAACGGTGCCCACATGTAACTGCTGAATTCAGCTTCTATTAGCAGCCGCTCCCTGGAGCAGGCACCACTGCTGACCCGTGATGCAGCGGTGATAAAAAGGCCGGGAGATTTAGAGCCTCCCCAGGAAGAGGAACTCTTTGTACAGTGAGGAGAGCCAGGTGGCACCCCGCCAGCACTGAGGTTTCGGAAGTCCTGTGCTCCCCACACACCCTCACTGCAGGCCTCTTGGGAGCCTCTTCTGCCCTGCACATCCCCTTTCATCCTCAGGGGCTGGAGGCCTGGGGGCCCCTGAGCCAAGGGTCTATCGGCTCCATCTTGTAACAAGCTTTGGGAGTCTTGTACCCTGGCTGGTCAGGAGATGAACCTGAAGGGGACTGGGGGACTCTGGAGGAGAGGCCACCCTTGGCTGGAGGGGCAGCCCGCCCCTGTGCCTGTGGTATGCAGGCAGAGTCTGGCAGACACAGCCCAGTACAAAGGCACAAGATGCAGGGCAGCGTCAGGGCGGATTAAAGAGGGAGAGAATGACCTCAGGGAAGGAGGAAGGGCCTTTTCAAGTCCAGCCTTGCTAGCACAGCTGCCGGCAATTTGTGCATGCCTTGTGGTGAGAAATGTGGCTGCCTCCCCGGGCCAGAGCAGCCAGAGGCCCAGGCCTGCCCGCCCTCCCTGGCTTGTCCTCATCTTGCTGAGAGCTCCTGAGGTCGTTTCTCCAGGAGGGTCGGAGATGGAGAATTGAGAGCAGAGGAGCAGAGAACCTCGCAGTAATAAAGGAAAACTGAAACCCTCTCCTGTGTGAGAGGGTTTGGGAAGCCTTTTTTTTTTATTTTTGGTTGGGGAAGAATGAATTCAGTCTCCTGCTGAATCATGATTTATAAATGCAGCTCAGATGAGGGTTTTAGAGTTCTCAGCCTTGGAGGCTGCGTCATTTAGAAAGGGTGACCTGCCGTTTAGCCCCTTCCCGAGAAAGGCAGGGCTGGATGGGCATTTTGCAAAACCCACAGCTGCCACTGGGTCGGGTTACACAGAGCTCAGAGCCTTTAACTCCTGCCTGACTCCCTGCCAGAAAGCAGGGGTTTTTCCCAGAATGACATTTAGCCTCAGAGGCGCTGGACTCCAGCTCAGCATTCCAGGTCATTATTTGTTAACTCTTAGGTATTCCTTCTTGGAGGAGAGCGCTTGCCACCGTGTCAGGTGGCCTGGCCAGAGGGCTGCGTGTGGGCTGGCTGTTCAGGGTGTGTGCTTCTCTGCTGTCTGCTGAGGGCCAGTGATGGGAAGATGAGGACGGGCGTGTGGCCCTGGCCCTTTGGAGAGACAGAGATGAAAGTGATGATTGGATGTCATCCAGAGCATCAATGGCAACAGAACCAGTTCTTAGCAAACTAGAAAATAATTAAAGCTGCACTTTGACCCCTGCCTCCACCCGCCGACTGCACAGCCAACCCCGCTGTCCCACCCCCAGCTGTGTCCCAGTTGTCAGGGCCTTGCTTTCAGCCACCTCTCAGAAAGAACTTGTAGGGGCTCATGGATCCTTTTTTGAGACTGATGAAATGCATGGATGCCTTCTCCAGGTAAATGCATAGGTGTACAGACACACCCTGCTTTTGCCTATAATTTCAGGGAGCCCATTGACCTCCTGAAGCTGGTCCAGAGACCCCCATCCCATGTAGGTGGCTGCTATTCCCCTGATCCTGATGCCACCTTGTGGGGCAAGGTCACCCCCAGATACCAGGGCAGAGGCCGCAGCAGAGCTAGGAGACCTTGTTTTGCTGCCACTGCTTCTGCCAGAGGGGCCCCAGCTCCTCTTCCGGCCATGGGCAGACAGGGTGGGGCTGGCCCTAGCCGTGCCTGGCCGCTGACGAGCTTGCAGCTCCTGTGGTCTGTGTTTGATCTGATAAGCGCAAGTTCCTGAGAGTCTGTTGAGCTGTGGAGCAGCCCTGTCTGCGTCACTCTACGGGGGACCTGTGCCCACTCCCTGCTCACATCCCTGACCTCTGCTCGCTGCTGGGGTGTTCACAGGACCCACCAGTCAACCACTGCTGGGTAGCGCCTCTGCTGTGGCCACCTCGGCTGTGTGGATGGCTGCACTTTGGTGGCCTCACTGGAGTCAGACGGTCGGGTGACCTCACCCGCCTGCAGCCACGCCTCTTCATGAGAGGAGGTGAAGCCACCACGTCTCCATGATAAGTTAGATTTCCTTCTTGGCCTTTCTTTTTCTTTTTTTTTTTTTTTAAATTTGAGACAAAGTCTTGCTCTGTCACCCAGGCTGGAGTGCAATGGTGCAATCTCGCCTCACTTCAACCTTTGCCTCCTGGGTTCAAGCGATTGTTCTGCCTCAGCCTCCCGAGTAGCTGGGATTACAGGTGTGTACCACCATGCCTGGCTAATTTTTGTATTTTTAGTAGAGACGGGGTTTCACCATGTTGACCAGGCTGGTCTCGAACTCCTGACCTCAGGTGATCCGCCTGCCTTGGCCTCCCAAAGTGCTGGGATTATAGGTGGGAGCCACTGCACCCGGCCCCATCTTGGCCTTTCTTTCCGTGGGACTCAGCAACAAGTAGAAATCATTTCATTGTCCTCTTTTGCCACTCTGTGGCAAAGGAGAATAGTGTTTTTACTCTGGCTTCACCTATTGTAAAGCTGATCAAAGACATTGAGGGTCTTACCCTTGCAGTGAGCCAATCAGGGCAGAACCAGAACCGATCCTGTTAATTCAGCAATGAGTTGGTTTGCCGAATCGCCCTTCCATGGTAAGCCATTAGGCATGAGGCCAATGATGGTTGTACACGCATGCACTCACACGTGCACTCTCACATGCCTCCTGACCAAAACTGGATAAACAGAGGAAAGCAAACAAACAAACCCAAAGCCAGACCGTCTCTTTGAAGGCTCCAGTTCCCATAATAAGCACATGGGTAGCATTCTCACAGCACAGGCTGGCTAATCAGTTGTGGTCAAAACGAGCATTTGTTATCCAAACAGAATTAAAACAGTCCGCCTGTGGTGCTCTCTCTAGTCAGTGACAAATAGGAGTTTTTCAGAGAAAAGGCAGTTCTCCTAATAAGCCAGAAAGGGTCTTGGAGTGCCCAGTTTTTCAATGTCATTCTAAAGCTGGAAGTAGGTTGGGCATAGTGACTCATGCCTGTAATCCCAGCACTTTGGGAGTCTGAGGTGGGAGGATCGCTTGAGGCCAGGAGTTCAAGACCAGTTTCAGTAACATAGCGAGACCCTGTCTCTACAAAAAAAATTTAAAAAATAAAATTTAGCTGAGCATGGTGGTGAGTGTCTGTAGTCCCAGCTACTTGGGAGGCTGAGTTGGGAGGATCGCTGGAGCCCAGGAGTTTGAGGCTGACCAAGCCATGACTGCACCTCCACACTCCAGCCTGAGACAGAGTGAGACCCTATCTCTTAAAAAAAAAAAAAAAAAAAAAGGGCCAGGCGTGGTGGCTCACGCCTATAATCCCAGCACTTTGGGAGACCGAGGTGGGTGGATCACCTGAGGTCAGGAGTTCCAGACCAGCCTGGCCAACATGGCGAAACCCCATCTCTACTAAAAATATAAAACATTAGCCAGGTGTGGTGGTGCGTGCCTGTAATTCCAGCAACTTGGGAGGCTGAGGCAGGAGAATCGCTTGAACCTGGGGGGCGGAGGTTGTAGTGAGCCAAGATCGTGCCATTGCACTCCAGCCTGGGTGACAGAGCAAGACTCTGTCTCAAATAAATAAATAAAGCTGGAAGTAGAAGGGGAGGATGAGATTGGTGGGTTCTGAGGGCTGGGATGGCCAAACACAGTTCTGCTGTGGTCAGGATTATGCAGAGATCAGGGGCAGAACAACCAGGAGTTATGGACCAGAGGACTGCAGGAATGTGGACGCTGAGGGCCAAAGCAAGAAAATGAGTGACTGACAGATTAACACTCAGGTGTAAGCAGGACAGAAGTCTATGCCGTGGTCCAGATTGAAGGGGCGGGGGGGGGGGGTCAGAAACCCAGGAAGCAAGATGTCTAGGGGCCTGGACTATTGTGTTATGGAGCCACCAGCGTCCTCTTACTGTGAGTTGACACACAACTGAATTTGGATCCTCTGTGTCCGAACTTGGGATAAGCGGGTTTACCTTTGCTCAAATCATCATTTTTTTAGGTTTTTCGTAGGCTCTGTGGCTTTCACCTCACATCTCAAAATGTACATCCCTTATTAAATATAATTGGCTATTATATATATATATAAAATATTTGAAAGGATTTTAATCATTTTACTTTTGGAATGATTTGGCTCTGAGTAACTCATCCAATTTGTAACTGGCTCTAATTTCTGGGCAATCATCTTGCACACGCACAAAAGGATTCTTGTGAGCTAAGAAAATCTAAGGTATCTTTTTTTTTTTTTTTTTTAAAGACAGAGTCTCGCTCTGTCACCAAGGCTGGAGTGCAATGGCGGGATCTCAGCTCACTGCAACCTCCATCTCCCGGGTTCAAGCGATTCTCCTGCCTCGGCCTCCCAAGTAGCTGGGATTACAGGCATGTGCCACCACACCCGGCTAATTTTGTATTTTTAGTAGAGACAGGGTTTCACCATGTTAGTCAGGCTGGTCTCGAACTCCTTACCTCAAGTGATCCACCGGCTGTGGCCTCCCAAAGTACTGGGATTACAGGCGTGAGCCACTGTGCCCGGCCTGGTACCAATTATTTTCAAATGAAAAACTTTTTAATGTTTCATTGAAAAATTAATGACGTTTACTTGACGTAACATCCTGTACGCATTTAAATACTTGTCAGGGAGGTTGATATAATGTTATGTAGGCATTCAATTAAATGTTTATTAACACCAGATACAGCATCTTCACTTTGTATGTAGGAGGCCAGGCAATTTTTTCAGGTTTCATACAGTTTTGCAGGCCCAGAGAAACTCATGGACCCTCAGCATTTTGCCCGTAGTTCCAGGTGGGACACTGCCTGTGTTGATGTGTGGAGTGAGGCTTTAAAGGAAATGAGGTATCAAAAGCTATAAATAATCCCTCCTGGGTTGAGCAGATTCTGTGTGGAAGAATGACTGTCTTACCTGCACTATCATATTTAACCCTCATGATAACCCTGTGAGAACACGATATTATGATCCCTTATTTGATAGAACAGGAAATGGAGGTCATTCAGTTGGAACACCTGTCATTTGAGACTCTCTGTCTCTGCCTGACCTTCTTTTGATCTTTTATAAGGTGCCACCTCAGTTCCCATTTATTTGGGGCAATATTAATTTTGGTTAAGGAATCTAGGCAGGTGTATAGCAAGAACTTAGAGCCAAGAGTAAGAACCTAGACAGACTGGTGAGTCAGTCATTGTTAGACCCTAACTGCTGTCAGCCAGGAAGATACTTTAATTTCAATTCAGGACTTTTTCTTTAGCACCTGGCTTCTGATACGCTGCCCGTTAAAGTAGCAGCCAGCCGGTTGCGGTGGCTCATGCCTATAATCCCAGCACTTTGTGAGGCTGAGGCAGGAGGATCACTTGAGGCCAGGAGGTTGAGACCAGCCTTGACAACATAGCGAGACCCCATCTCTAAAAAAAAAATGGAAAAATTAGCTGGGTGTGGTGGTACACACCTGTAGTCTAGCTACTCAGGAGGGTGAGGTGGAAGGATCACTTCAGTCTGAGAAGTCGAGGCTGCAGTGAGCTGTGATTGCGCCACTGCACTCCAGCCTGGGTGACAGAATGAGATGGGGTCTCATTCTGGGCTCAAGTGATCCTCCAGCTTCCTGTCTCAAAGAAAGAAAACCCAAAAAAACCCCACAAACAAATAAAATAAAGTGGGAACCACTCCTGGATCCCCTAGGTGGAGGACATGTCGAAGAATACCCTTGGCTGGAGGGGGATGGAGAGAATGGTATTCAGGGGAGGACTGTGACATCATGTGAATAGTCCCCGGCCTAGGACCCATGGGAAGGTGACTGTCTCTTTAGAGGCTCAGTGGTGGAGGCTCACTCCAGGGAGGCTCAGCCTCCATCAAGGATTGTCCCTAATCTTTGTGGGCATGTGGTGGAATATGAGTTGCTTTCTTTTTTCTTTTGTTTGAGCCTGAATGATGAGAGTTCACATATGCAGATACTCAGGAGTGTACATGCCAGGGGTAGGATTGCCAGAGCAAGATGAAATACAGCAACAGGAGGTATAGAAATACCTCCTCTGTTTCTTGCCCTTCCCTGAGATATATAGGAATGTTCTCCGATTCCATCAGCCCCTCTCTGGGCACCTGGAAGGTGCTTATTTTCATGGTTAGGCCATCAGGGCAGATGTAAAGGCAATTGTTCCATGTGTCTGAGGGCAGCGAGCAGCCTGCTGCTTCATCTCTCTGAGTGTTCTGATTGGAATCCATGCATTTGTAGCAATATTGCCTTCAGCTTGGAGAACGATTTAGGGAGAGGGTTGGCGGTTGAAAGAGGAGGGGAGGAGGGGAATCTTGCTAGTGTGAATGAGGCCAGGATAGGTTTTCGTCAGGACTTAGTGGCTTTTAAAAGTCTTTTTGAGCTGGGTGCAGTGGCTCATACTTGTAATCCTAACACTTTGGGAGGCTGAGGCGGGAGGATTGCTTGAGCCCAGGAGTTTGAGACCAGCCTGGGCAACATAGCAAGACCCTGTTTCTGCAAATATTTTTCTTTTTTAAAAAAAACTAGCCAGGCATAGGGGCATTTAAAAAAAATTAGCCAGGAGGTGGAGACTGGAGGATCACTTGAGCCCAGGAGTTGGAGGCTGCAGTGAGCTATGATTGCACCACTGTACTCCAGCCTGGGTGACAGAGTGAGACCCTATATCTAAATAAATAAATAAATAATAAACATAAGTCTTTTTGTAAAGATGAACAGACCTCAAGATAATGGTTATCTCTGACGGTGGGGATTCTGTCAGGGAGGGGCACACAGGGCTTCTAAGAAATAGGACTGATAATGCCTGTTTCTTAATCTGGATGATGAGTACAGGGTTTTCATTTAATTATTATTTTTTAAAAATGTAGACATATGTTTAATGTACTCTTTATATATGAGAAATTTCACAATAAGAAATCTTCAACATTGTAAGACACATATTCATGTTTCTTTTATTTCTTATTTGATTTAGGTGAGCATAGCTACCCCAAAACAGAAACCAAAAACTCCATTTTGCTTTGGTAAGTACTGAGCCAGGGGAGGGACTCATTTAATATTGACATGGCAACTTCCTCTTTTGCATGGAGACAGTCCTGTGATCACATGTGACTATACCCTGTGAGTATGAGTGACTTAAATCACAGTGACGGTCCTGGACGTCAAGTGATATTGTTTTCCCTGGTCTTGCTGCAAAGGTTGTTAATAACATAAGGACAGAGGTTCAGGGACTAGTAACATTTCTGTTTTCTTTCTTTTTTTTTTGGTTTTAGTTTTATTTTTTAAGTTGACAAATAATAATTATATATATTCATGGGGTACATAATGTATAGAGTAATTAGCATATCTATATTAGTCTGTTCTTGAACTGCTATAAAGAAATACCTGAGACTGGGTAATTTAAAAAGAGAACAGGTTTGCCCGGGCCTGGTGGCTCACACCTATAATCCCAGCACGTTGGGAGGCCGAGGCGGGCAGATCACCTGAGATCAGGAGTTTGAGACCAGCCTGGCCAACATAGTGAAACCCCATCTCTACTAAAAATACAAAAAAATTAGCTGGGCGTGGTGGTGAGTACCTGTAATTCCAGCTACTCGGGAGGCTAAGGCAGGAGAATCTCTTGAACCCAGGAGGCGGAGGTTGCAGTGAGCTGATTTCAGGCCATTGCACTCTACTCCACCTCAAAAAAAGAAAAAAAAAAGAGGTTTAATTGGCTCAGTGTTCTGCAGGCTCTATGGGGCCAGAGGAGAAGCAAGAAAGAGAGTGGGGAGGTGCTATGCATATTTAAATAACCAAATTTCACAAGAACTCACTATTATGACACAACAGCATGGGGGATGGTGTTAAACCATGAGAAACCGCCCCCACGACCCATCATGATCCAGTCACCTCCCACCAGGCCCCACCTCCAACATTGAGGATTACAATTGAACATGAGATTTGGGTAGGGACACAGATTTGGGTGGGGACAGAGATCCAAACCATATCAATGTCCATCATCTCGAACATTTTTTTCTTTTAATAATTGTCCATATGCATTTCAGTTTTCTTGATGCCACAAGGCAGGTGCAAAATGTCCACTATAAGTTTCTGTGAACCTTATTTTAGAGCTGAGAAATGTTGTGCTCAGAAAAGATGGAGGACTCAGAGGAGACGCAGATGGCAGTGCCAGGAAGGGGATAAGACAAAGGAAGGAGAATTCTGTTAAGGGTCTCAGTTGCCCAATAGTGACATGTTGGGGGATGGTGTAGGAGGCAGAGTCACCGTGCATGGGTGCCTCAAGTCAGGAAGTGGTCAGTGAATTCAGTGAATCCATCATCAAATAGTTACTTGGCTCCTACTATGTTCTCACAGCTGTGCTAAGTGCTATGAGCAAATGCTAACAAATAGTTTCTGTTGCCTATCTGGGGTGGTTCTGAATGTAAGTTTCACAAAGGCAGGGGTATTCCTCTGCCTTGTCACTGTGGTATCCTCAGCACTTAAAGATGTTTCCTAGCGCATAGTAGGTGCTCAGTAAATATTTGTCAAATGAATGAATGAACGGATGAATTCTGCATCTACCCCATGAGACTCACCTCCTACAGTTCAAGCTTATGCTAAGAGAATAAAGTATTCCCTTGAGCGATTCTGTCTCCCCACCTCAGATTTGTTCAGACTTCTTTGGCATGCTCATTCTTCTATTTCTTGCAAATTTCATAGCTAAGCTCAGAAATGACTCTCACGTTTTGTGGTTATCAGATCTGAAAATATATATATGTAATAATAGTGAATGTGGAAGTAAATTGTTGACCTAATGGAATGCTCAGAGGAAAGAACAGGTTGAGAGTGAGGCCAAGGTCACAGATTTGATCTCAGGAAAGCTTTGTTCTATTTCCCAACCACAGACAACTCTCCCAGTCCAGACCAGTTGTGCCAGAGGAGACCAAGCATGGGTCCAAAATTCTGTATATACCGTGATGACAGTAAATGTATTAGCACCGCCAGAATGCGGTTCACAGTTGTGTCTTGTTGACGGCAGACCAGCAGCCTCATCACCGCAGAACAGCACACTGAGGCTGCTGTTAACATGGTCAGGTGTTGTTCCTGTGGCCAATGGGATGTTTTTAAAGGTGGGAAAGAGAGTGAGCAGGTGTGGCCTGGGGCTTCCTAGATATCCAGGCAAATGACTTAGCATCATGGGAGATTTCTTGTTCTG
This sequence comes from Homo sapiens, assembly GCF_000001405.40. Classification (NCBI taxonomy): domain Eukaryota; kingdom Metazoa; phylum Chordata; class Mammalia; order Primates; family Hominidae; genus Homo; species Homo sapiens. The sequence goes on from NC_000008.11 coordinate 38,946,009, forward strand.
CTTTGTGGAGTTCACTCATCTCACTCCCTCAAACACCTTAGCTTTGTGGAGACTTGTTGTATTGCTTGTATTCTGACCTAGGAATGTCTTCCCTTCTTTTCTGTGGCTTTTGTAGTTATCAATGCCCTGTCTCAGAGATATTTCCTTCAAGCCAATGATCAGAAAGATATGAAGGACTGGGTTGAAGCCCTGAACCAAGCCAGCAAGATCACCGTAAGTTTGGTTTCTTCTGTTTTCTGGTGGTAGTAAAAGTGCCTCTTCCCAGGCTATGGCCTTGTTGGGGTTGGGGAAAACTGAGATGGCAGCGGGGACTTTCCCAGGAGCCTGGTCTGTACCCAGTTCTCTCCCACCTCGTCTTTTTCCTTGGCTGACCAAACACAAGTTGAACTGAGAGTCTGAGTTTGAATCAAGTTCAAGGGGAAGTTCATGGAGCGTCCCCTTTGTGCTTCCTGGGAGGGCTCCCGATCAGTCATGTTTCGGGTGATTCTGGGATGCTGATTCAGAATGTGGTAGGATTGGAAAATGGATTGGTGACTGTGAAAAGTCAAGTAAGGGGAAAAGCATATGGGGAGGGAAGTCAGAACTTTTTCCCAGCTTGGGGGATACTCTTCTTACTTTCAGAGGCTGCCTGCAGGGTCAGTCCAAGCCATCCGCCTCCCTGTCCTAGAAAAGCCTTCTGTTTAAAAGCATCACAGAGCTCGTTCATGGACTGTCCTACGAGTGTGCTCTTTTTCCTTGAGTTGGCTAATGAAGAATTCCTTTCTTTTTCCTTAGAGATATAGAAAAAGAAAGGAAGAAGGGTAGGAAGGATGGAGAGGGGAAACTATGTTTTGGAAAAAACTAGACTTTTAATCAATAAGACAGGCAGACTCCTGGCTTATATAGATCATGGCTTCTTTGCTGAAAAGTTTGTTTCTGTATCATACAGTCAGAAATGCTTATGTTTGAGGGGCTTCCAGTAGTGACTATTACATGCTGCAGCAAATTATCCTCCCAGATTTCTCAGGGTTCCTGTGAACAACTGTATAGAAGAAATTTGTACACGTATATAGTATTCATATTGCTAGACCCAACCTGAGTGTAATTGAGTCTCCTATAAGCACTTTTGCTGATTAGCTTCTTATTCTGATAAACCTTGGTAAACCCGTGAAAAGAGAGAGTGATGAAAAGAGAGAGGATGGATGGCTGGGTGCAGTGGCTCACGCTTGTAATTCCAGCACTTTGGGAGGCCGAGGTGGGTGGATCACCTGTGGCCAACATAGTGAAACCCCGTCTCTACTAAAAATACAAAATTAGCTGGGCGTGGTGGCACACGCCTGTAGTCCCAGCTACTCAGGAGGCTGAGGCAGGAGAATCACTTGAACCTGGGAGGCAGAGGTTGCAGTGAGCCGAGATCGTGCCATTGCATTCCAGCCTGGGCGACAAGAGTGAAACTCCACCTCAAAAAAAATAAAAAATAAAAAAATTAGCCAGGCCTGGTGGCTTACACCTGTATTCCCAGCTACTTAGGAGGCTGAGGCAGGAGGATCACTTGAGCCCAGAAGTTTGAGGCTGCAGGGAGTTATGATCGCACCACTGTACTTCAGCCTAGGCAACAGAGTGAAAGCCCATCTCTTAAAGAAGTCTCAGGTAGTGTAAACAGCTTTGGAAAGGCTCTGCATGTTGATCTGAAGCACTGCATGACACCGGAGCATAAGCACTGACAAACAGTGTTCTTCGGGATTTTGAGAGGAAACACAGCAGCCAAGCTTCTGTGCCTCCTTTTCTGGCCACTGGGAACTCTAAAAAGTTACTTTCTGGCCAGGCGCGGTGGCTCACGCCTGTAATCCCAGCACTTTGGGAGGCTGAGGCGGGTGGATCACAAGGTCAGGAGTTCGAGACCAGCCTGGCTAACATGGTGAAACCCCGTCTCTACTAAAAATATAAAAACTAGCTGGGCATGTTGGCATGCACCGTAATCCCAGCTACTTGGGAGGCTGAGGCAGGAGAATCACTTGAACCCAGGAGCTGGAGATTGCAGTGAGCCGAGATCGCGCCACTGCACTCCAGCCTGGGCGACAGAGCAAGACTCCATCTCAAAAAAAAAAAAAAAAAAATTGTTATTTCCCTCCTTCTTTGCTGGGTTTCAGGAATTCATCTGGGTCATTTAGGGGAAATTTCTGCAGTTCCATGGTGATTTTAATCACTAAATATCAACTAAAAATCAACATCCCTAAAAATGTGGTTACATAATAACAGAACTCACAGAAAGTGAGAAAGAGTAGCTTAGGTAGGTCGTGACATGCAGCAACAAGGAGTCAGGCAGTCCTAGAGCCAAATCACTTAATTTTAATGAGCTTGAGTTGACCTCATCTATAAAGTGGAGAAAATCATGCCTGGTTGATAAGATTAGTGATAATGCAGCAAAGAGCTTATCAGTGCATTGCCTGGCACTGAATGGTGGCCCAGAGAAACTGTAACTGCTGGTATCTCTCAGCCAGAAAGAAAATAGAAGGCGGAATTTCTGGCCTGATTTGGAGGGGTAGGGAGGGGGCAGAGGACGTCCTTGTCTATGTAAACTGAGTGTGCAGTCCAGGAAGAGAAGGTCTCGTTGTCTTTGTGGGGGCCCAGCATAATCAGGGTGCTCTTATTGTTTTGAACAGACACCAAATGACAGGGCTGTCATATAGCTCTGAGCTCGGATCCTTAGGTCTTTCTTACTCTGAAAGCTGTAGAAGTGGGAGAGGACCTTAGCTTTTCTCTCGAAGTCCCGGTGACGTCCCGGCAGATAGATGTAGGGTGTTGCGTTCTCCTGAAGGTGGGGCATTGTGATGCTGGGGCACTGGTGGGAAGTCAGAGTTTAGTAGACATTCAGCTGTTTTTTTGTTTTGTTTTTGTTTTGAAACGGAGTCTCGCTCTATAGCCCAGGCTGGAGTGCAATGGCGTGATCTCGGCTCACTGCAACCTCTGCCTTCTGGGTTCAAGCGATTCTCCTGCCTCAGCCTCCTGAGTAGCTGGGGTTACAGGTGCCCGCCACTACGCCCAGCTAATTTTTGTATTTTTAGTAGAGACGGAATTTCACTATATTGGTCAGGCTAGTCTCGAACTCCCGACCTCAGGTGATCCGCCCGCCTCGGCCTCCCAAAGTGCTGGGATTATAGGCATGAGCCACTGTGCCTGGCCGACATTCAGCTGTTAATCCTGGCTTTGGGTAAATGACTCAACTGTTCTGGACCTCTTTTTTTTTTTTTCTTTCTAACAAAATGAAAGATTTCCTCAGCATTTGCAGACTCTAGTATAAATGAGTGAAGTGGGCAAGGAGGAGGAAACAGGGCAACAGGAATGAGGATAAGTGACATTTGACCCCTGGCCTCTCCCGTTCTGCTGGGGAGAATGGTAGGGACTGTGCAAACACAATGTATTTTCTATCTAAAAGGGAACTGCTGCATAGCTGAAAATCTGGATTTTTCTGTGAAATATCCCAAAACTTAGATGCAGATTTTAAAAAATACTGCATGTGACTAACAAAACATTGTTTGGGCAAAGTCAGTGGGTGGGCCACCAATTTGCAACCTCTGGCCTGTGATTTCCAACTAACAATAAAAATTTTATGATGATTTGATCAGCTGTGGTACCATATCTCTGTCAAGGAAGAGCAAAGATAGCTCATTCTTCCAAAAGGGCTCTGTGTATAATTATTAGTAACAACGTGGGAAGCCTTAATTATAATATTTTGTAATATGTTTTTCTTTTTAGTTGTGTTTCTAAAGCATTTAATATACTCTATCATTTGATAACCACAACGATGGTTATGATAAATATTATTCCACTTTTCATTTTATGCATGAGACGGTTTAGGCCTAGAAAGGTTTGATGGTTGCCAAAGGTCTCTCAGGTGGTTCGTGAGAGGTGAAGGGTTATACCACACATCTTCTGGCTCCAGACTTCATGGACCCCTTGTTCTGTCTCTACAAAGGCATGCATGCATTTTTACCTGTTCAATCTGCCCAGAATGCCTTCTCCCAGCTTCATGTTCCTGGTTCCTTTTATTTAGTTTTTTATTTTGTATTTTTTTCGAGACAGGGTCTCTGTCACCTAGCCTGGAGTACAGTGGTGTGATTATAGCTCACTTCAGCCTCCAATTCCTGGGCTCAAGAGATTCTCCTACCTTGGCCTGTTGAGCAGCTGTGTGCTACCACACCTGGCTAATTTTTTTTTTCATTTTTAGTAGAGATGGGATCTCACTATGTTCCCCAGGCTGGTCTTGAACTCCTGGGCTCAAGTGACCCTCCTGCCTTGGCCTCCCAAAGTGCTGGGGTTACAGGTGTGAGGCCCCGGACCTGGCCCCCATCTCCTGCTTACCCTCCAGGTTGCCGTTTGAGTGTCTCCCTGCCTTCTCCTCTAGAGACCTCCCTGCCCACTCTGTTTCCAGCAGGTCCCCTGCTGTGCGCTGCCTCAGCTCTCTTGATCTTCTTTGTGCCACTCACCACCATTTGTAATTACTCTGTTTGTTTTACGTTTTTTTTTGTCATTCCCCCTACTAGCATGTAAGTGCCGTGAAGGTGGGGACCCACGTGTGTTTCGCTTGACACTTTATCTTTGGTTTCTAGCCAGGGAAGGGCTGGCTCATAAGTAGGCGCTCAAGAAATTCCTGGAGTCAGTTTGTATCTGTGTAGGGGGAGGGCGTTGCTGGTTGAGATGCTCATATTCAGATTTGGACTGTGGAAGGCTTGGGGAGGACACGCAAGTCTGACTGTAATTTGGCACATGAGCTTTTCTCACGGCAGCCCCATTCTGTTTTGGGCTCCCCATGTTTCCTAAATGTTCTGTTCCCCATTGATTGTTGCTGCCGCTCACCCCAGGTTCCCAAAGGTGGGGGCCTACCCATGACCACTGAAGTTCTCAAGAGCTTAGCAGCTCCTCCAGCCCTGGAGAAGAAGCCACAGGTGGCCTACAAGACGGAGATCATTGGAGGGGTGGTGGTCCACACACCCATCAGCCAGGTGAGGGGCCTGACTGGGGCT